>NC_000011.10:56949316-57252346 GCF_000001405.40 Homo sapiens | reverse complement strand
TCATGAGCCCTAATGACCTAATCACTTCTTAAAGTTCCCACTTCTCAACACTGTAGCATCGGGCATTAAGTTTCCAACACATAAATTTTGCGGGACACATTTAAACCATACCACTGTGTTTCCTGGAAAGCGAGTCTGGAGCTGAAAGTTTACAAATCGGAGTAACTAACAAGGAGAGTGAAGAAGAAAAGAGAGACAACTAATATGAGGGTACATGTTAATTGACCAATCTATAGAAACAAGACACCAAGAAGTTGTATCAACTGTTCCTGAGGACCAGACCTCTGGGAGAGAATGCAGGAAGAATATCTCCAGTAGCTCTTCTCATTGGTCAAAACATTTTTCAGTGGAGTGCCGACTCTTTTGCTTTTCTGAGTTTCCATGCAAAACATGGGCACCGTGCCAAGTCCAGTGAAATCAGCAAAAGCCCATGTGGGAGGTGAGAAAGGCATAGCAGGGACCAGAGGGGAGGGAGCTATCAGACTGTGCCTGCTTTGGGTTCATCAGAACCCTCCCAGAGCTGATAAAAAAGGTAAGTGAGCCTGAGAAGATCGGAAGTTGGCATGTAAGAAGACTCCGGTGCAATCACTAAAGGAAAAAGGAGAAAGTAGATACTGGGGCTTGCTCACCAGTTCAGCCACACCATGTTCACTTAGTTCCAGCAAGTGAGAAACCTGAGACGTCCCAAAAGCTCCCTTTTCCTTACACCCATACCCAATCCAACATATTGCTCAAGTGTACTTACTTCTCTCCATTTTATCTACCACACTCTTAATCCAGGCTCCTATCATCTCTCCTGGGGATTAATGTCTCCTTATTGGACTCTTGTCCTCTTGCTCTTTCTCTTGCTCTCTTGTGTTCTCTTGCCCTTCCACCTTCTGCTATGGGATGACACAGCAAGGAGTCCCTGGCCAGATGCTACCACTTTGACACTGGACTTCCCAGTCTCCAGAACCATGAACCAATACATTTCTATTGATATAAAATACCCAGTCCATGCCATTCTGTTATAGCAACACAAAACAAACTAGGACAGTAGGCTAAGGTGCTTGTCCTCTTGCCAATCCACTTTCGGCATACAGCCAGTGTGGCTTTTCTGTAACACCAACTGGATCATGTCACCATGCCCTGCCAATTAAAACCCTTCGACAGCTTTCCATTGCTTGGAGGATAAATGCAAAACTCCTCAAGGTGTCCCACAAAGCCCAGTGTGGTCTGGCTCCTTGTCTTCTCTTACAACACAGTCCTCATTGTCCTCTGTTCCAGCCTCTCCCACCTTCTTTCAGCCTCTGCTGTCTCAAGCTCCCAGCTTCTGCAGGAAGTACACGATCTGCCCAGTGCTTGCTGTAATTGTTCGTCATGGTTTTCACCTCTCTGCTTCTTATCCTGTAGCTCTCAGTACTGTTACCATTTTCTTAGGAAAGTCTTTCCAAATTTTCCTGACTAGGTCAAACTCCTATTATATATGTATCCACTCTTGGATTCCCCAACAGGCTGGCTAAACATCTCTTTCAGGCATTAGAGAAACAGGGTCACTCCCAATTTTTCATAACATGCTATTTGATTCCTTTTAGCATAAAATACTTTCAAAGATGTCATTATGGGAAAAATAAGGCTTTTGGGGATTTCTTTACACCTATCTTTAAATTGTTTGTTTTCATTTAAAATAGATTATGGAGGGGGCCATGATATTTTCAGTCCTTTGAAGTCTCTAAAAGTCAGACTCTAAAAATCCTGTCTGTGGACATAGCTTTCCTTGTAATACTTTGCACAGTTACAGCTTTACTTTTTTACATCATTCTTTAGTAGATGCCTCTGTCCCTGACAAGGCTCTATCTTTCGAGGGCAGAATCCTGGGTGGGGTTTTGATTTACCATTGAGCTTAGCATAGGGCCCCCTACAGAGGAAGGACTTAGTGGACATTTTTTGAGTGAGTCACAAAGCCCTGAAGCCCCAGCTCTGGCTCAGTCACTAATTAGCTGTGTCCCCCGCAACCTGTCTGTGCTGAAGTTCCCCTGTCTTAACAGAGTGGCTGCTGCCTGAGAAACAGGAAAACGTATTTCCAGAAAGAGAAAGAGGGAAAGGAAAATATACACACATATTTTAAGAGATTTGTCTAATTAAATCTGTGAGTGATCTTCAGGGTCCCAGGGCTGACATTGGAATAACTGGGAGGGCTCATGGATAAAGAATATCTCCATAGACACCTTCTTATGTGGGCCAACTCAACTGTGTAGCCACCCTTTTTCCCATGCTAAAATTAATGAGTGTATCGAAAGAGATTTCAGTGCAAAGTTCATTGAGATAAAAGATTCAGATAAGAGGCTCAGCAGAGAAACAGGTGAAAGGGAACATAAGAAATGCTCAATAAATGTTTTTAGTGGTGGGTAGAGAAATGAGTGGAAGCTGGAATCGCTGTCCTGCGAGAAGCCACAAGGTGGCGCTGGGTGCTCAGCAATGAGATTCCTGCCTCCAGAGATTTGGCTCAACTTTTCTCTATCAATGTCAGCTTATTAAAAAAAAAAAAAAAAAAAAAAGCAGTCTTTTTCTAGTCCATAATTTTCCTTAATAAAACAGGGTAACATTTTCCCTTTCATATGTTGTCTTTACAGAGTGACATGCTTGAGGAAGAGTGATGAATAATACTGAGGATGATTCAACGTCTCTTGGTTTTACTTCTGCACCACCCAAACAGAAAATAATTAGACAAGAACATTTCTTTTTCTATATCAGTGTCATAACATGTATTATTACAGTGCGGTGTAACCACATGTCAGAAGAGAATGTGTAGCTCAAAACACTGAACTAGGTGGAGAGGCCGAGGCCTTAATTCTCCAAGAGACTGGGACCTGTGCTGGGTTCTAGCGCCTGTTCAGCGTCAGAATCATCAGCTGGGTAAGTTCCTTTTGCTAAGGGTTCTTCTAGCCCCTGAGCCATAAGGTTCCAGGGTAGACAATTCCAGATACCACAGGGCCCTGGAATAAGGAGAGAGGTTGGGCTTAGGTGCACCCTCTGGGGTCTCAGGCTGCTGGGTCTGCATCCCGGTGGCGGGGCTGGAAGCCAGTGCTGGGACTCCTGGTGCTCAGAGGGAGGTCAAAGCTGAGTAGCAGCTCATCTCCACCAGAGGTCAGCATCACCGAGCCATCAGAGGCACAGCAGCCAAACAGCCAGGCTCAGGAGGCAGCTCTGTGCTTGAGCTGGCTCACCCATGTCCAGTTCTTCTTTCCACCTCCCCAACCATCCTTAGGGCCCGAGCAGTCCTAAGAGTGGGAGATGCTGTAGCACTAGTGTTGTGCCTTCTTGGCAAGGGTAGATTGCCGCTGGATACCTGTGGGACCCGTGGGACTGATGGGTCATTCATCAGCAGAGCCCCGCAGCATCTGGGGCAGCTACCTCTCTCTGTGCTCACACAAAGCTGTTGACTATCCCACTGGCTTCTGTCAAAGCCTCGGGCAGGCAGGGCAGGCACGTTCCACACTTCAAGGAACTAAGATGGAAAGTATCATTAAAGAAGAAGAATAAGAAAAAAATATGACTTTACAAACTGTTTAAGATTAAGAACTGTCTACCATGGTAGCTAAGACTGTAGATCCTCAAACCAGCCCTCCTAGGTCTGAATCCCATCTCCAATACTGAGAAATGGAGGGGCTTAGACAAGTTTCTTATTGTTTCGCATCTCAGTTTCTGCATCTGTAAACTGGGAATATTATCATTCCCATTTATCACTATTGATCCTCTCTACCCATTGGGTTATTGTGGGGATTAAATGAGATGATTGTAACAGAAAATATTAACTGAGCATTCGCCCTGTGCCAGGCATGGACCTAAGTCTGGTATCTAAGCCTATTATCTCAGAATTCTGACAATGCTGTATACGGTTACTCCTATTTTATAGTTGATGAAACAGATGCTTCATATGCTAGCAGAACTAGTATTTGAAACCAGCTATTTTTGCTTCCAGGGTTTACTTTTTAAATCATGGTCCTTCACTAGAACAGTGCCTGCTGACATGGAGTAAGCACTTAATAAATAAGAGCCATTATTATTATTATTAATAATTTTGTTTTAAGTTCTGGGATACATGTGAAGAACATGCCGGTTTGTTACATAGGTATACATGTGACATGGTGGTTTGCTGCACCTATCAACCCATCATCAAGGTTTTAAGCTCTGCATACATTAGGTATTTGTCCTAATGCTCTCCCACCCCTTGCCCTCCACCCCCCACCAGGCCCCAGTGTGTGATGTTCCCCTCCCTCTGTCCATGTGTCCTCATTGTTCAACTCCCACTTATGAGTGAGAACATGCTGTGTTTGGTTTTCTTTTCCTGTGTTAGTTTGCTGAGAATGATGGTTTCCAGCTTCATTCATGTCCCTGCAAAGGACATGAACTCATTCTTTTTTATGGCTGCATAGTATTCCATGGTGTGTATGTGCCACATTTTCTTTATCCAGTCTGTCATTGATGGGCATTTGGGTTGGTTCCAAGTCTTTGCTATTGTAAATAGTTACTAGTATTATTCACTAGTATTGTTATTGCTGCTATTGTGGAGTTATTCATAGCTTGATCTTTATGTCTATGGGTCAATGAGTAATTACAAACATGCTGGTTTTACAAATTATCTTTTTATCATCATAGCTGTGAGCCTACGTGAATTTTTCTCCACTCAATCTCATCATCCTTCAGACAGGCGGAGAGAGCGGGATCCATCTATGAGATTTCTCTGCTGAGAAATCTCCTCCCTCCCTCCAATGAAGCAACAGCAGGTCATATCTGAATGCAGAAGCATGGCCTTGTGCTGGGAAAACACATCCTGGCTGTAGAGCTCTCAGGCTTCTAGAGTCAAAGCCAAGGGTTCAAATCCTCTCTGTCTTACTCAGAAGCCACATGGTCCTGAGACAGTGAAGTAACTCTGTGAACCTCAGTTTACCAATCTGTAAGATGGGGATCATAATGTAAAAGATGGCATTAAAACTTACATTGGGAAAAAGCATTTGAGTGTGCTTATACAGTGCCTGGTAATAAACTTTACCTATTAGGATGCAATACACTACCTGTTACTATGGGAGTAATAGTAAGAGATGACTACCTAAGTCTGGTATCTAAGCCTAGTATCTCGTAGTTCTGACAATGCTATATACGGTTACCCCTATTTTAAGGTTGATGAAACTGAGGCTTCGTATACTAGCAGAACCAGGATTTAAAACCAGGCATTTTTGCTTTCAGAGTTCACTTTTTAAAATCATGGTCCTTCACTAGAACAGTGCCTGCTGACATGGAGTAAGCACTTAATAAGTAAGAGCCATTACTATTATTATTATTATTTTTTGTTTGTTGGTGACAAACTACCTGTAGTTGGAAAATTGGAATTGGAGTCTTCTCCTTAATATGGGCCTTTGGTCTGAAAAACTGCACCTGTTTCCTAACGAGCCTAACCCATTCTAACCCATCCTCAAAGATGCCTCCAGAGTGAGCATCCTAAGGCTTAGATATGATCCTTCAGCTCAGCACTATCCAATAGGACTATAACAGAAGTTACATATGTGATTTTAATTTTCCTAGTAGACACATTAAAAAAGTAAACGAGGCTGGGCATGGAGGCTCACTCCTGTAATCCCAGCACTTTGGGAGGCCGATGTGGGCATATCACTTGATGTCAGGATTTTGAGACCAGCCTGGTCAATATGGCAAAACCCTGTCTCTACCAAAAATACAAAAATTTTCCAGGCATGATGGCACATACCTGTAATCTTAGCTACTCGGGAGGCTGAGGCGGGAGAATCACTTGAACCTGGGAGACGGAGGTTGCAATGAGCTGAAATCCCGCCACTGCACTCCAGCCTGGGTGACAGAGCAAGACTCTGTCTCACAAAAAAAAAAAAAAAAAAAAAAAAAAGTAAAAGAAACAAAAGAAGTAGACTTCATTTTAACAATGTACTTACTTTAATATATCCAAATGTTATCATTTTGACATGCAATCAATAGAAAAAAATTACTAATGAGATATATTACGTTCTTTTTTCATACTAAGTCTTTGAAACCCAGTGTGTGTTCTACACCTGCAGTGTCCCACCATCTGCCTGGCCACATTTCCAGCCCTCCATAGCCACACATGGCAAGTGGCTCGCCCACTGCACAGTGCAGTGTTAGCTCTTCAGCAGCAAAATGGCATTTGCTAATTTTCTTAGCCTTATGTCACTTTAGTCCTAGGACATTTTAAATTCTTTCTTTCTTTTCTTTTCTTCTTCTTTTTTTTTTGAGATGGAGTCTCACTTTGTTGCACAGGCTGGTTGAAGTGGTGCGATCTCGGCTCACTGCAACCTCTGCCTCCCAGGTTTAAGCAATTCTCTGCCTCAGCCTCCAAAGTAGCTGGGATTACAGGCGCCCGCCACCACACCCATCTAATTTTTGTATTTTTAGTAGAGGTGGGGTTTCACCATCTTGGCCAGGCTAGTCTTGAACTCCTGACCTTGTGATCTGCCCGCCTTGGCCTCCCAAATGCTGGGATTACAGGCGTGAGCCACCACACCCAGCCTTAAATTCTTCCTTTTGCATCTTTGCACCTTAGCCTGTGTCTTTCTGTCCACATGGCATTCTTTGCATGCTGTCTCCTTTACCTTGCTGAAACCTTATACCAGCCCTGGGGCAGTAGATATTCTAATGACTCCCATTTTACAGATGAGAAAACCAAGACTTGAAATGATCACACTCCTTGGTGCTCCATGGCAAAGTGACTTGTAAGTGGCTACCTGACTCCAGCCTCTATGTTCTGAACCACTCTCCTCTCCTGAAGGTTGAATGGGTAGGGATGCCAAGAC
Source organism: Homo sapiens (assembly GCF_000001405.40). NCBI lineage: Eukaryota > Metazoa > Chordata > Mammalia > Primates > Hominidae > Homo > Homo sapiens. The sequence continues at coordinate 57,245,528 of NC_000011.10, read as the reverse complement.
TGGAATGGGAATGGGCTGCTGGAGGCAGGATTGAGTGTCTGGTCAACAGGGGTATTCAAGAGACCCCTGGATGGTCCTCAGAGTGGGTGTGGTAGAGGAGATTTCTGCACTGAATTGGGGTCAGGGATGCAGGTTGAAGATGCTCGTTGCAGGTCCAGGAATCTGGGATGTTTTCTGTTCCCCGGGGGAGGTTTCTGGGGCACTGTGGTCTCCATTGCCTGTTTGGGCCCCAGGGTGGAAGGCTTGATTTCTTCCTTTAGCTGTGCAAGGCTGGCCTTCCCCAAGACTTCCCACAAGGCCTTCCCACAAGGCTGGCCTTGCCTTTGTGCAGCCTCTGGGCTAATTGCGTTGGTCTTCTACCCTGGAGGGCCTGGCCCAGCATCCTCCCATTGTCAGTGCTGATATATATCTCATTAATGTAGACTCACTGTAAATATTTTTAGAAACACCATGTTGCTCTCCTGAAGGCTGGCAGGGCTGGGTGTGAGCCGGCCTGGTCCTGTCAGCCTCTTCCTGACCTCCTTCCTGCCTCTGCTGTACTTCCTGTCTTCACGGCCTCCTGCCCAAGTCCCTCCTCTCAGCCAAACAAAGACTTCCTCTGCACCTAACCTTTGGGGGTGGGAGGAGAAGACAGGGTGGCATAGGGACACCTGGACAAAACCCTTTGGCTCTCCCTCCCTTGCTTTCCCCATGGGTAAGGTCAAGTGTGTGGAGCAGATCGCAGCCACAACCTTTCGGCATCAAAGACTGTCTCGCTTGCTTTCCTGTTCTCCCCACAGTGAATCCTTTTTAAGGAAGGAGTCTGTTGATCTAACCCACCTTGTTTATGAAATCGTAATGAATTCATCTGCTCAGTTTTTATTCATCAAAGGCATGATGAGCAGCATGGAGTAACCAGAGTCCCCACACTAATTTATTAAAGTCTAAGCTCGCGGTGCTGGTGCTTGACATTTAAAGAGGGTTGTCTTATGATAGGGTGAGAAGAATGTGCCATTTCCACAAGATTTCATGAAATGCTGATGCTGGCCCAAGCTACTGCCTCTCTCCCCATTTCTATCATCAAGGGTCTCTGATGTCAGCGTGGGAATCAATGGGCTAATAAAATTTTAGGCATCTTTCCTGTTCTAAGTCATGGGAACCCAGTGCCCCATCCAGATTGTCCTAAGAAAGTTCTTTCTTTCTTTTCTTTTCTTTTCTTTTTTTTTTGAGACAGAGTTTTACTCTTGTTGCCCAGGCTGGAGTGCAATGCTGTGATCTTGGCTCGTAGCAAATTCTCCTGTCTTAGCCTCCTGAGTAGCTGGGATTACAGGTGCCCACCACCACGCCCAGCTAATTTTTTGTATTTTTAGTAGAGACAGAGTTTCACCATGTTAGCCAGGCTGGTATCGAACTCCTGATCTCAGGTGATCCACCTGCCTCGGCCTCCCAAAGTGCTGGGTTACAGGGGTGAGCCACCAGGCCCAGCCCCTAAGAAAGTTCTGATTACTCCAGAGGTTATAGAAATGGGGGTCCTACAATTCCAGTGCATATATTAGAGGGCACTATGTATGGGGCGCTGTGCCAAGTAATGGGGGGATGGGTGGGTAATGGTAGGTAAAAGGGTGACAGGAGGTGGGTGGGAGATAAGGAAAGGCTTCCAGACCCCTGATTCTCACAGTCTAACAAATAGCCCGTCAAAGTGGGCTTGGTGCTGTAGTGGGGAGAATGGATTCTCATGTGATCTTGCCATTCATCAACAAGAGGGTCAGTTTGTCTCCCACTTTTGATCTTTTTGGCAAGAAACCCACTTCTCCAATCACATCTGGAAGCCATAGCCATAATTCCCAGAATCACAGAAAGCTAAACCCGGCTGGCCCAATGTCCTCATGTACAGATAGGGAAACTGCCCCACAGAGAGGGGCAAAAGCCTTGCCCAGGGTACAAAGCAAGCTAGTTATTGGAGTTCAGGTAAGATATCAGTGACTCCTAAGAAACCTCCCCGATCTATACTATCTGAAAATGCCAGTTTCCATTTACTCGCTGCATCACTCTCCAGTTTATCTTTCCTTGTAGTGCTTATCATTACCTGAGTTCACTGCATTTATCTAACTTTCATCGTTTTGTCTCTCTTCCACCTCTAGAATGAAAGTGCAGGAAACCGAGGGCATAGTTTGAATTGCTCACACTGTATGGCAAGTGCCTCAAATAGAGCCTGGCACATAGTAGTTGCTCAAATTTTTTTTTTTTTTGAGATGGAGTCTCGCTCTTGTTGCCCAGGCAGGAGTGCAGTGGCGCGATCTCGGCTCACTACAACGTCTGCCTCCTAGGTTCCAGTGGTTCTCCTTATTCAGCCTCCCAGGTAGCTGGGATTACAGGCGCCCGCGACCATGTCCGGCTGATATTTGTATTTTTAGTAGAGACGGAGTTTCCCCATGTTGGCCAAGCTGGTCTCGAACTCCGTACCTCAGGTGATCCACCCACCTAGGCCTCCCAAAGTGCTGGGATTACAGGCGTGAGCCACCGTGCCCGGCCAGTAGTTGCTCAATATTTTCTGAGTGAATGAATTAGGATGGGATTAGAACAAGAGGGTCAGTTTGTCTCCCACTTTTGATCTTTTTGGCAAGAAACCCACTTCTCCAACCATATTTGGAAGCCATAGCCGTAATTCCCAGAATCACAGAAAGCTAGAACCAGGCCAGTGGGTGAGTTTTCTTGCTGTCCCCAGAGACCAGGGAGTTTTGGGAGTTTGCAGTATGGCCTTAGAGTTTGAAATAGCACCAAATGGTGGGGTTGGGGGTGGAGAGAGTTGCTGAGGGGGTTTCTGTTTTAATTATCAGAAAGCGGCTGACCATTTGTTTTTGGTCAGATAAGCTGCTAAAGTCGGGCGTGTGTGTGTGTGTGTGTGTGTGTGTGTGTGTGTGCGCGTGCGCGCGCGCACGCGCGCGTGCCTAGGGTGGGGGTTGGGGGTGTTGTGTGCTAGAGAAAGGAGAGGTGAAATTCCTCAGTGTGGGCTGGGCAGTCAAGTTATATCCCTCCTGTGTCCCTGCCCTCCCTTCCCCTTTCCCTCAGATAACACCACCAGCTGTTAGGGACACAGCTGTGGCTGCCTCTCGGGAAGGAGAGAAAAAGGCCCTGTTGCCCTGGGTGAGTTCCCAAGCTGTGGAGTTCAAAGCAGACCTGTGAAGTGAGGGGGCTGGAGCAGAGAGCTAGGAGGGAGGAGGTGAGAAGTCAGGAAGAGCACAGAAAGGCAGTACTTCCACTTTGATGTCCCCAGCCCACAGCTTTGGGTAGGGTCTGGGTGAGGTCCCAGCAGAGGGGTTCAGCTTTCCCCCTTCATCCCAAACTCTTAGAGAGATCCAATTAAGCACCCGTCCCTGTACTGCAAGCAGTGTGTTTATTCAGATCTCTGATCCCACTACACACAAGCAAGCACACTCTTCTACGCACCTGATGTACATTCCTTGGGTGAATGTGTGCATTCAGTGCACGCTCATGCCTACAACACACAAACATGCATACTCTTCTATACACGTTAATGCATGAACCCAATGCACATCATAGCCCACTATGCACAAGCAAGCACACTGTTCTACATGCATGAATGCATGCACCCAATGCACATCCTACCTCACTATGCACAAGCAAGCACACTATTCTACATCCATGAATGCATGCACCCAGTGCACACTCATATCCCCCTGCACACACAAGTTCAGCCTGCTCACAAGCACCTACAGACTTCACATCCAAGTGACCTCGTGGCACACAGAAAACTTGCATTCACAAAGCACACATAGTCAGCATGTCCATGGGCACAGGCCAAGTCAGGCTCTGCTTTTTAGGCCAGGCACAAACCTGGTGGTGGGGTGGGTGAGGAATATTGAACCACTGACTCCAGAGGTCTCCCAGAAGTCTGGGCTCTCCTCAAAGGGCACTAGCAGGTCTGGAGTGCTTTTCTGCCAGGTGTCATTCATCTCGGTCTCATCACAATGCCCTGAAGAAATCACCCAGGAGAGAGAGGGAAGTTCCCCAGGAAACCTGTGCAGGCCTCTCCAGGGCAGGCCAGCTCTGGGCACCCTGGCCAACAGGCTTGCCTTAGCTATTGGTTTGCCAGATAGCTCAGAGTAGAATTTCCTGGATCACTTTAGCAAAAGTTGCCTTGTTAATGCAGTAGAGCAGCTCTGGGGTGAAGATCCAAGTCTTACACCCTTCTCCTGAGTGTGTTTCTATTGCTTTAATTCAACAGACTTTTACCAGGTGCCAAGTAGGGTGGGGGGCAGAAATGAAAAGAAGATATCTGTCCCAGGCCTTGTATATGTCTAGTCTGTGAGGCCCAGGACCCATATACTTCTGAGCCCCGGGACACACAAGTTTCATCTTCAGCTACTGGTCCTATTTTCCAGTCTTTCTTCTGTGTGGAATGGTGCAATGCGGAACAGGGACAGATCAGATCAGGCAGGATAAGGAGTGAGCTGGCTAATTCTGCTCACTTCAGGCTGTCATTGCAGGGGGCACTCAGGCCATCTGGCTACAGCTGGCTCCTGGTTGGAGGCCGGATCTTATCAGCACTCTACCCTCTCTGGTCCCAAACGGTGGCCTCTTCCCAGCCCTGGCCCCCAATTCCCTCCCCTCTCAATGAGTCTGGTAACTCTAGTGAGATTAACTGCTCTTTACTCCCTCTAGGGCAGACATCCTGGAGGTCGGCAGATGAAAGCGATGGATCCATATCCTTTCCCACAGGGGTCTCCAGGCTCCTGTCTGGCTCAGCATTCCAGTGGGAACAGCTGAGGGGAGGGAGACAGGGACCTGATTTCAGGGACGCTTCAAGCTTGCTAGCTCCCTTCTCTCTGTATTTCTAGCTGCAAAGGGCACAGACATCTGCATCTTTCTGGGAGAATCATGGGAGAACTGGGATCACTAGGCGTCTCAAACTTGGTCTTTATCCTGGAATGTCCCAAGCAGTAATGTTTACTCGTAAAAGGGCCATCTATTATGACCTGACCTGAGCCAAGCTGGTCCCTGCACAACTCCAAGGTCCCCTTTGATAGGTAAAGATAGCTTACCACTGAAGAAGTCTGAGGTAGCCAAAGGTTAGCTATTTCCACCCAGGATATAATGTCAGGATATAATGAAACTATTATATCAGGATATGATGAATGAATCATGATATGATGAATGAATGTCAGGATATAATGAAAACCATTCTGCCATCTGCGCAGAACTTCTATTAGCCAAAAATGCAGGAGCAAGAGGCCCCAAGCAATTCCTACCCTGTGTACTGTGAGATGGATGGAGCCCCAGCTCTGGATCCTATTGGGTGTCCCAGCCCCCACTGTACAGAATGCCAAGATTCCAGGGGCAGAGTCCTGTTAGCTTTCTAGCTGGCACCAGGCAACCAGGAATTCTCTTTGGCAATGGCTAGAGCGAGGGTGGTTTCTGGATCAAGTCTATGGTGCTAACCCTAAGTGTACAGATTATTGCCTGGCAGGATTCTTATACCCTGTCTAATCAATGTGAGGTGTGTCTCTAAATAGTCAATCTATTTAAAATCTCACCCGGTAGAGCTTATTTTAAGGTAAATTACAGGTATCCTGGCATCGCCCTACATTTCTCTAATGCTTAACAGATGACACACCCCTCAGTTTAAAAAGGATTGGGCGTTTTTCTTTGGGAGCATAGTGGTTTAGTCCATGGGCTCGAGACAGCTTTGGTTCAAATTCTGGCTCTGACAATTACTGCTGGGTGATCTTGGCTAAACTGCTTCACCTCTGTGTGCCTCAGTTTCCTCATCTGTAAATTGAGGCTAATGAGAGCACCTGCCTCCTAATGTCATTTTGATGATTAAAAGAGATACTAATAAATATATGTAGAATGTATAAAATGTTTAGAAGACTGCCTGGCACACAATAAGTGGGCAACATGTAGTCCTCATGAGAAACACCAACATATTCATTACTCCACATTGCATTTAGGTGAAGGTCACAGGATCTTTCTAATCTCTCTCTGCAGCCTTCTCTCCTGTATCTCCCCACTGCACTCTAAGGCTTTTTCTATCTTTGCATTTTTTGTTTCCTCCTCCTGCCCCATCCTCTTGGTTCTTCTCCTGCCTTCTATTCTTGGCAAGCTCCTGTTTAAAGAACACAAACTCGGGGGCCAAAGACATGTTTTACTTATCATGGTCTGTGCTTTTTTTTGAAATGAAAATTGATTTCCAAAATTTACAAATATGAAAATTTCTTACAAAAATCCATAATTTGAAATTATCTTGGAAAAATCCTAAGACACAGTCATGCTGGGGTCCAGCTTTCTGCGTGGCAACCAGAGACTAGAGCTGAAGAGGCCTCCCTATGATGGAATGGGCACCCTCCAGTTTGCCACAGTCTTTACCATTCTCTGTTGTCTCAAACTACACTCTTGGCCTGTTTTTTTTTTTTTTTTTTGCAGGTATTTGAGTTTGAGTTCCTTGATCTCTGCATATGATTTTCTGATCCACTCTCCCTCCAGAAAATGGATTCCAGCTTTTGTAGTAACTTAAGACAAATATATATCGTGAGACAGGGTCTTGGCTGTGTTATTCAGGCTAGTCTTGAACTCCTGGGCTCAAGCAGTCTTCCTGCCTTGGCCTCCCAAAGTGCTGGGATTATAGGCATGAGCCACCTTGCCTGGCCAATTCCAGCTTTTGTAAGTCTTTTGCCTTGGAAGTGGCTAAGGCTCAGCTCCTGCTTTTGTTCCATCTCACTATTACCCAACGTCAGGTGGCTTCCCCAACTCTTCAAGGTTGTGGAAAGGGTGCGTATTTTTTAAAAAAAATCTTACGTCGTGCATCTTCCTTCCTTCCTAGAGGTCCTGGAGAGGTGATGAGCTGGGGCAAAGTGAGCGTCTACGGAACTTTCCCCACAGTATCCTCCAGTGACTGAGTCTTTCTCTAGAGACCCCCCTCCTCTAGCTCAACTTCCTGACCCCCTGTGGTCTTACAGAAACCTCTTGGTCCATGGAGGATAGTAAAAACCTGAGAACTGAAATGTATCCATGTTCTCACCACGTAGTAATTCTTACACTTGTTCTTCCATCTATGGATTCCCCTTTTCACTCACCTCCTACATCATCCATCCACTTACTCACTCAACAGCCATTCACCTGGCTGGGCGTGGTGGCTCATGCCTGTAATTTCAGCACTTTGGGAGGCCGAGGTGGGTGGATCATCTGAGGTCAGGAGTTTGAGACTAGCCTGGTCAATCCCCATCTCTACTAAAAATACAAAAAAATTAGCCTGCAATCCCAGCTACTAGGGAGGCTGAGGCGGGAGAATCGCTTGAACCCAGGAGGCAGAAGTTGCAGTGAGCCTAGACCAGCCTGGGCAACAAGAGTGAAACTCTGTCTCAACAAACAAACAAACAAACAAAACAGCCATTCACCTACGACATGCCAGGTACTGTATTATGTTCGTGTTTGGAGAAGAAGAAAAGCAAACAATCAACTGTAGCATAATTCACTTTATTACCTTGGGCAAAACATTGACCTTGTTGGGCCTTTGTTTCCTACAGATTTAATGACTTGTTTAGAGATAATTTTGTCCTGGGTTTCTTCCATCCTGTGACTGCCCTCAACCTTCTAAAGCATCCTGTGCCTTCCGCAAACTGCAAACTGCAGTCTACACTAGTGTAGGGGTATTTCTCTAGAAACCACAAAAGTTCTCAGAGGGAGGGTCAAAGCCAAGGGGTAGAGAAAGATGAAGCGAGAGGCAAAGTGGGAGAAGACCCTCCTGTGACACCTGGTCTGGGTGGGGGCTGGGGGTGCAGGAAGGGAGCCGAGGGGGCCAGACCTGCCTGCCAGGAGGACCTGCCAGATGCCCTGCCCATCCTGCGAAATCTTACACCCTCCTTGCTCCCTACCAGCCCTGGCTCCAGCTCAAGCTGGATTGCAATCTGCATAATGTGTCCCATTTAGATTGGATGGAAGGGGGTGAGAACAGGAGGGCGGAGAGCACTGAGGAGGGAGTGCCCTAAAGGGCAGGCAGGAAGTGGTGGCCAGAGGAAAGTGGAGGGATAGGGGCTGGGGTGAAGGTGGGTGGCAGCCAGAAAGGAGAGGCGGGGCCAGGAAAGCCGACTTGCAAAACCACAGATAATGTTCAGCCCAGCACAGTAGGGGTCAATTTGGTCCACTTGCTCAGTGACAAAAAGAAAAAAAAAGTGGGCTGTCACTAAAGATTTTGACTCACAAGAGAGGGGCTGGTCTGGAGGTGGGAGGAGGGAGTGACGAGTCAAGGAGGAGACAGGGACGCAGGAGGGTGCAAGGAAGTGTCTTAACTGAGACGGGGGTAAGGCAAGAGAGGGTGGAGGAAATTCTGCAGGAGACAGGCTTCCTCCAGGGTCTGGAGAACCCAGAGGCAGCTCCTCCTGAGTGCTGGGAAGGACTCTGGGCATCTTCAGCCCTTCTTACTCTCTGAGGCTCAAGCCAGAAATTCAGGCTGCTTGCAGAGTGGGTGACAGAGCCACGGAGCTGGTGTCCCTGGGACCCTCTGCCCGTCTTCTCTCCACTCCCCAGCATGGAGGAAGGTGGTGATTTTGACAACTACTATGGGGCAGACAACCAGTCTGAGTGTGAGTACACAGACTGGAAATCCTCGGGGGCCCTCATCCCTGCCATCTACATGTTGGTCTTCCTCCTGGGCACCACGGGCAACGGTCTGGTGCTCTGGACCGTGTTTCGGAGCAGCCGGGAGAAGAGGCGCTCAGCTGATATCTTCATTGCTAGCCTGGCGGTGGCTGACCTGACCTTCGTGGTGACGCTGCCCCTGTGGGCTACCTACACGTACCGGGACTATGACTGGCCCTTTGGGACCTTCTTCTGCAAGCTCAGCAGCTACCTCATCTTCGTCAACATGTACGCCAGCGTCTTCTGCCTCACCGGCCTCAGCTTCGACCGCTACCTGGCCATCGTGAGGCCAGTGGCCAATGCTCGGCTGAGGCTGCGGGTCAGCGGGGCCGTGGCCACGGCAGTTCTTTGGGTGCTGGCCGCCCTCCTGGCCATGCCTGTCATGGTGTTACGCACCACCGGGGACTTGGAGAACACCACTAAGGTGCAGTGCTACATGGACTACTCCATGGTGGCCACTGTGAGCTCAGAGTGGGCCTGGGAGGTGGGCCTTGGGGTCTCGTCCACCACCGTGGGCTTTGTGGTGCCCTTCACCATCATGCTGACCTGTTACTTCTTCATCGCCCAAACCATCGCTGGCCACTTCCGCAAGGAACGCATCGAGGGCCTGCGGAAGCGGCGCCGGCTGCTCAGCATCATCGTGGTGCTGGTGGTGACCTTTGCCCTGTGCTGGATGCCCTACCACCTGGTGAAGACGCTGTACATGCTGGGCAGCCTGCTGCACTGGCCCTGTGACTTTGACCTCTTCCTCATGAACATCTTCCCCTACTGCACCTGCATCAGCTACGTCAACAGCTGCCTCAACCCCTTCCTCTATGCCTTTTTCGACCCCCGCTTCCGCCAGGCCTGCACCTCCATGCTCTGCTGTGGCCAGAGCAGGTGCGCAGGCACCTCCCACAGCAGCAGTGGGGAGAAGTCAGCCAGCTACTCTTCGGGGCACAGCCAGGGGCCCGGCCCCAACATGGGCAAGGGTGGAGAACAGATGCACGAGAAATCCATCCCCTACAGCCAGGAGACCCTTGTGGTTGACTAGGGCTGGGAGCAGAGAGAAGCCTGGCGCCCTCGGCCCTCCCCGGCCTTTGCCCTTGCTTTCTGAAAATCAGGTAGTGTGGCTACTCCTTGTCCTATGCACATCCTTTAACTGTCCCCTGATTCTGCCCCGCCCTGTCCTCCTCTACTGCTTTATTCTTTCTCAGAGGTTTGTGGTTTAGGGGAAAGAGACTGGGCTCTACAGACCTGACCCTGCACAAGCCATTTAATCTCACTCAGCCTCAGTTTCTCCATTGGTATGAAATGGGGGAAAGTCATATTGATCCTAAAATGTTGAAGCCTGAGTCTGGACGCAGTAAAAGCTTGTTTCCCTCTGCTGCTTTCTTAGATCTGCAATCGTCTTTCCTCCCTTCTTTCCTTGTAGTTTTTCCCCCACCACTCTCTGCAGCTGCCGCTCCTTATCCCTGCCTTCTGGCACCAATCCCCTCCTACAGCTCGTCCCCCTCCCTCCATCCATCCTTCTCCCCTGTCTACTTTCTTGTTCTGAAGGGCTACTAAGGGTTAAGGATCCCAAAGCTTGCAGAGACTGACCCTGTTTAAGCTTTCTATCCTGTTTTCTGAGTGTGAGGCAGGGAATGGGCTGGGGCCGGGGGTGGGCTGTGTGTCAGCAGATAATTAGTGCTCCAGCCCTTAGATCTGGGAGCTCCAGAGCTTGCCCTAAAATTGGATCACTTCCCTGTCATTTTGGGCATTGGGGCTAGTGTGATTCCTGCAGTTCCCCCATGGCACCATGACACTGACTAGATATGCTTTCTCCAAATTGTCCGCAGACCCTTTCATCCTTCCTCTATTTTCTATGAGAATTGGAAGGCAGCAGGGCTGATGAATGGATGTACTCCTTGGTTTCATTATGTGAGTGGGGAGTTGGGAAGGGCAACTAGAGAGAGAGGATGGAGGGGTGTCTGCATTTAGTCCAGACACTGCTTGGCTCGCTCCCCGAGTCCTCCTGTTTCTGACTTCCTGCATAACTGTGAGCTGAAGGGTTTCCTCATCTCCCCATCTTACCCCATCATACTGATTTCTTTCTTGGGCACTGGTGCTACTTGGTGCCAAGAATCATGTTGTTTGGGATGGAGATGCCTGCCTCTTGTCTGTGTGTGTTGTACTTATATGTCTATATGGATGAGCCTGGCATGAACAGCAGTGTGCCTGGGTCATTTGGACAAACCTCCTCCCACCCCCCAATCCACTGCAACTCTGCTGTTCACACATTACCCTTGGCAGGGGGTGGTGGGGGGCAGGGACACACTGAGGCAATGAAAAATGTAGAATAAAAATGAGTCCACCCCCTACTGGATTTGGGGGCTCCAACGGCTGGTCCGTGCTTTAGGAGCGAAGTTAATGTTTGCACCAGGCTTCCTGTAGGGAGATCCCTCCCCAAAGCAGCTGGCGCCAAGGCTTGGGGGCGTCCTACTGAGCTGGGTTCCTGCTCCTTCTTGGGCTCCATGAAGGAAGTAAGAGGCTAGTTGAGAGCCTCCCTTGGCCCCTTTCCGGTGCCTCCCCGCCTGGCTTCAAATTTATGAGCATTGCCCTCATCGTCCTTTCTTGTTCCAGGGTCAGTGGCCCTCTTCCTAAGGAGGCCTCCTGCTTGCCATGGGCCAAAAGGCACGGGGTGGGTTTTTTCTCTCCCTACCCTCAGGATTGGACCTCTTGGCTTCTGCTGGATTGGGGATCTGGGAATAGGGACTGGAGCAAGTGTGCAGATAGCATGATGTCTACACTGCCAGAGAGACCGTGAGGATGAAATTAATAGTGGGGCCTTTGTGAGCTAGAGGCTGGGAGTGTCTATTCCGGGTTTTGTTCTTGGAGGACTATGAAAGTGAAGGACAAGACATGAGCGATGGAGATAAGAAAAGCCCAGCTTGATGTGAATGGACATCTTGACCCTCCCTGGAATGACGCCAGCTCTGGGGGCAGAGGGAGGAGGAGAGGGGAAGGGGCTCCTCACAGCCTAGTCTCCCCATCTTAAGATAGCATCTTTCACAGAGTCACCTCCTCTGCCCAGAGCTGTCCTCAAAGCATCCAGTGAACACTGGAAGAGGCTTCTAGAAGGGAAGAAATTGTCCCTCTGAGGCCGCCGTGGGTGACCTGCAGAGACTTCCTGCCTGGAACTCATCTGTGAACTGGGACAGAAGCAGAGGAGGCTGCCTGCTGTGATACCCCCTTACCTCCCCCAGTGCCTTCTTCAGAATATCTGCACTGTCTTCTGATCCTGTTAGTCACTGTGGTTCATCAAATAAAACTGTTTGTGCAACTGTTGTGTCCAAAGCCTCTTCTCATGAAAGTGTCTTGGGATAACCTCCAGCTTGCAAATGTTTCAGCATGGTGAGGGGGAAGCCGTAAAGAGAAGTGGGAGCTAAAAGGAGGGGGCGAAGTGAGGAGGGAGAGAGGATGGAGGAAATAGGCATCAGGAAAGGGAAAGGATGGGATTTAGGTGCAGAGAAGAAAAGGAAGAAAAGAAACAGGGGAGCAGCTAAGTGTTGTGCTCTGAAAAGCCACAGAACAAAAGGACACATATTTTGGAGGCCAGAGCATAGGTCTGGGGAAAAATACCAGCATTTCTTCCCATGGAGGTAGACCTATTACTCATCTATCCATCCATCCATCCATCCATCCATCCATCCATCCATCCACCAATCCATCTACTCATTTATGCCTTTATTCATTTACCATCTCCTATTGATTGATTTACTTAATATCACTTGAGTAGCCACTGAGTTTAGACCAGAAGCTTGAATCCCTGTTCTCCAATCAGAGTCGCTCTGGATGCTTTTGAAAATACCCAGTTCCTGGGTATCACCCCAGACCTATGGAGTCAGACTCTCCTTGACTCACCCCAGATATTTACAATTACTAAAAACTCAGATAATTTTTTGGGAAAGCCAGGCTTAGGGAATCTCTATCCAGATGGATTCTGCCCAAATTAAAGTGGGCATAGAAGACCAGAGGGTCAGAACCACAGCCAACTGGGCTTTGGTGGTCATCTATTTGGAGGAGGGGGGAAGGGGCTGAAATGATCCTGGGGTCGGCGTGGTGGTGGGGCTATTCAGTCCAGAGGTATTTGTCATCTTCAATAATGATCTCCTGGGTATTAATAATGTTTGCAGACAATGCAAAAAAATAATAATCATAGTAGAACTGATAGTAACAAGAGAGCTCGCATTTATGGAGTTCTGCCACTGTGCTAAGCATTTCCCAAGCATTATCTCATTTAATCCTTGCAGCCATCCTTTAAGAGGGGGCATTTTCACCTCATTTTGCTCATAAGGAAGCTGAGACTCAGAGAGGTTAGTTAGACCTCTTGACCAAGATCACAGACTAGCAGGTGGAAGAGCTGGGCTTGGAACCAGCTGAATCTGTCTGGCTCCCAAGCCCAAAGCCCACATTCTTGACCATGGTAAGGGGATGTTTCTCCCAAAGTACAAATGAGGCAACACTAGGTGTCTGGGAAGGAAAGTGAGAACTTCTGTGTGAGATGCCTGGCACACAGTGGAGAGTGAATGGGGATGGGGAGGGAAATGATGGAGAGTACCCGAAAGACAGAGACAGGGCAGAGAGGAGAAAGCAGAGGGACAGAGAAAGAAGAGAGAGAGGCGAGATAGTGAAGAGAAAGATAGAGACAAGGGAAGAGAGAGAGGGGGAGAGAGAAAGAGAGAGAGAGACAGAGAGAGAGAAATGAAGTATGGGGAGAGAGAAACAGAGGCAGAGATAGTGAAAGAGAGAGATATAGAAGCAGGGAGAGAGGAATTGAGAGAGAAAAGACAGAGGGAGAGGGAAGAGAGAGTGAATCAGGTAGACAGTGAAAGAGAAAGATAGAGACAAAGGAGGGAGAGAGAGGAGAGACAGGGAGAAAGAGAGAGATTGAGAAGAGAGAGAAACAGAGCAGAGATAGTGAAAAAGATAGAGACAGAGGCAGAGGGAGGGAGAGAGAAGAGAGAAACAGAGGCAAAGATAGTGTAAGAGACAGAGATGGAGGGAGAGAAAGAGAAAAGAGAGACAGAAAGAGAGAGGAAAGAGAAACAGAGGCAGAAATAGTGAAAGAAAAAGACAGAAAGAAGGAGAGGGAGAGAAGAGAGAGGAGAGAGAGATTGAGAGAGAGGGAAGAGAGAGAAACAGGCAGAGAGAGTGAAAGAGAGAGAGAGAGAGAGAGACAGGGACAGTGGGAAGAGAAAGAAACAGAGACAAAGACAGAGACAGAGACCGTGAAAGAGAGGCAGAGTGAGGAGAGAGAAATAGAGACAGAGAGAGACAGAGAGTGAGAACATAGGTGGGAAGAAGAAACGGGGAGGCAGGGAGGGAGACTGAGGGCAGGGAATCAGTGCCTGCTCTCCCTCTTCTGAAACACACCAGGGAAAGCCCTTTGGGAATTTACGACGGCAACAACAGGCTATTGGAGCCACTATTATCATTATTTTTACAGATGCTGTAAAAAACCTCAGCAAGTCTCCTGGGAAATCTGAGGTAAGCTATCCAAAACATGATACGGTTTTAGCCTTCCCTTGGTTGTGACAGCACTTACTAATTCACTGGTTCACACATGCCTTCATTTATTCACCCATTCATTCATCTGTTTGTTCCACAAGTCCTTATTTATCACGTATGTGCCAAGCGCTATGCTGGACGCAGGACCAAATGGTGAGCGGCCTCCAGTGGGCTCGCAGTCGGCTGGTGGAGGCAGACAGTGAAATGGGCGATTACAGCCCAGGGTGGTGAGTTCTAAGGGAATGTGTGAAGTGTTCGAGGGCCTGTCGTGGAGACAATGGAAGGAGTCAGGCAGGGCGTCAGGGGAGACTTTACAGCCACGGTGCCTGCCTGGAGCCTGCTCTGAAGCATGGAGTGTAAGTGGTTAGTGGGGAAAATGTTCTGGGCAGAGGAATTGCCCACGGAGAACACAGCCCCTCTGAGGAACTGGAACGAACACTCATCCTTGTTTTTACTCACCCCCACTCCAACTCTGGGAGGTTGGCCAGTTAGAGGCACAGAGAAAATCTTGCCCAGTTCTCATGGCGTGGATGCCGAGAATACTGGGGGCTGGGACTAAAATCCAGGAATCCAGGTCTCTAGACAATTGGGGTTGTGCAGGGCTTTTTTTTTTTCTTTTTTTCTTTTCTTTTTTATTCTTTTTGTCACTTCCAGTTTCTTCCCTCCCTGGGTTTGAGCTATCTTCCTCTAAGTTATCTGCCAGGGTCTCCTAACTAGGGGTTGGGAGGCCCAGGCCCTTTCAGTCTGAGCTTGTTAAAAAGAGGCAGATAGATTCCGTGGGAAGATCCTCCCCAACTTCAGAAGCCAGGATGACCCCCAGCGCAATAAGCTTTAGATGTGACACACCTCCCTACCGTCTCAGCAGACACCACTGTCTGCATTCCAAGGAGTTCAACACTTGCAGGGCCTGATCTGGGAGGGCCAGCTCTTCTCAATCATTGCACAAATGCTTATAAAGTCTCCATGCACGACGTTGGAGACAGACACAAAGATGTGACCCAGGGAGCTTGAAATCAAATACACAAGAAAGGAGGTTCTGAGATGCTGAGCTCACTCTAGAAGTTTCCATTTCTAGTTAGAGTGTTGGAGTATCAGAGCAATGCTCATTTATTTATTCATTGAATCCTTTTTTGTTTTTCAGTGTCTGTCTTGTGCCTGGGACTGTCTTAGAAGCTGGAGATGCTGCCGTGAATGAGACACACCATCCCTGCCTTCATGGACCGACTAGAAGCACCTTCTAGTCTTACTTTCTCATTGAACAGAGGGGTAAACTGAGGCTTATGGTTGGGAGGGGGAAATGATTGACACATGGTCATATAGTGGGATGGTGGCAGAAGTGGGACTAGATCTCAGGTTCCTCACTGCCAGGCAAGAGCGTGTTCTGTGACTCTAGGCTTAGAAAGGAGAGGAAGTCTCTTATTGAGAACACACAGGGCAAGTGGAGAGTCAGATCCATGATGAGCCACCAACTGGGAAGTAGGAGGGCACAAAGGTGCTTGAGGATCATTCGAGGTTTTGTTAATAAACCTTTTGTTTCAGAAGAGTTTTAGATTTACAGAAAAGTTGCTGATAGAATACAGAGAGTCCTCATATATTCCACACCCAGTTTCCTTTATTATTAGCATTTTAGATTAGCAGGACATGCTTGCCACAATTAATGAACCCTATTGATACCTCACTATGAACTGAAGTCCACTATGAACTGAAGTCCAACCCTATTGATACCTCACTATGAACTGAAGTTCAGACTTCCTTACTTTTTAGCTCATGTTCTTTCTCTGTTCCAGGATCTCATGCAGAATACCACATCACATTTAGTCATCATGTCTCAGACTTCTCTTGGCTGTGACAGTTTCACAGGCTTTGTTTTTGATGACCTTGACGGTTTGGAGGAACATTGCTCAGGTATTTTGTCCCATGTAGAAATATCTTTCTATGTCCATATATCAGGCACATGCTTGGTGATGAGATGAAGCAATACAAGATATACATGTGATTCCTGCTCTTTTGGAGTTTAACAATCAATAATAAAGTGCAGTAAGCATATTGCGGAGGAAGTACAGGATGCAGTGGGGACAAACACCCATATTCTGGTCTGCACCACAGAGGGGTCCCAAGACAGGGCTAGTGTGCTGGCTCAATGCACAGGCCCACGTTCAATTCCACAGGGGTATAAATGTCTGACATTCTCCTACTTCCAAAGCCACCTTAGGGTGCATTTTCTTGCCTAAATAACTAGAAACCTGAGGACATGAGACAAAGGACTATTTGTGCTCAGTGAGCATCTCCCCGAATATTGTTCTGTACTTTATTATTTAGTTATATGGCACATCTCTTGCTACTTGAGGCAGCTTCTTACATGGACAGTGGATAATCAGAAATGGATTCCCCAAACCTACTTGAAGCACCCCACTTGGCCAGCACCCTAGTACTCCCAGCCCCTTGTCCCCTGCGCACAGGGAACAGGTCTCTAGAAAAGCCCAGATCTGGCCACTCTGTCTGGGCTCTGCATTCCTTCTCATCTCTTCTGCTCTCTGGGCAGATCCTCTAGACTAGGGCTACGTTTATGCATCTTTTTTGTTCCCAGTGCCTGGAATGTGGCAGATGCTTAAAGGATGTTTGCTTAAATAATCGAACAACTGAATAGAGAAAGTGCAGGAGAAAAGGTGAGAAAAGCTGGTTTTTGCTTACAGCAAACAAGTTGATTGCTTTTAAAATAGCCCAGAAAGATGAAGTTAGGACTGGTGCTACAAGAGACACACTGGGATTGATAAGTACTAAGATTATTAACCCCTGACCCAATTAAACCAAATGTTCTGGCTCCTAAGGGCTGCCCTCTGGGGACCCAGTGACAGAAAAAAGGACTGGCTGGACCATGGTACATGGGCTCTTCTGATCTTCTCAGCAGAATTTCTCAAATTATGGCATTGTGGCAACCAGTTCAGTGTTCATACTGGAAACTAGGTCTTCAGGTCTCTTTGGATGGATGATGGTTTGCAAAGCTGGTTGGCTTCCTGGGGAAGTTATGGATGAGCCAAGTGGAGCCGACACTGAGTCAAACAGTTTCTGGGAATCCATGTCTGGACATCCACTGTTCATGGAGGAAGGACTTTTGTGGTGAGGGTGGGGGATGTACCGATTGAATAGAAAATAAGATCTTGGATTTCCCCCTGTATAAAAATACTCAAGGAAAACTTCTCTTCCGTTCCCTGAGAAAATCTGGGCCATGTTTAAGGGCATCGAGGAAGATTTGGCAGTCTTTCTTCTGGGTCTGGAATATGTCCCTAAGGTCACTAGGTCTTCCTGTATGATAGGGATGAAGCAGCCTCTGATGATAAGAGAGGGACCCAGGGAGGCAGAGATTGCAGTGAACCGAGATTGTGCGATTGCACTCCAGCTTGTGCGACACAGTGAGACTCAGTCTCAAAAAAATAGAAAGAGAGAGAGGGACCCAGGCTTTACTCTACGTGGACCGGGTCTGGTCTCTTTAGCAGAAAAAAAACTTTGGTAGCAGGGCCAGCCAGTGACCCAGAGTCTGAGGACTGTCACTGCAACGTGCCAGGAATGAAGATAATGGATGCAGCCCTTGCCCTTAGGAAAATAGATACACCAATATGGTGGTTAGTTGGCTTCCGGGATGAGACCTGGAAGCCCTTGAGATTCTTAGGATTCAGCTGGTTGCAAGCTCTGTACTGGGGCACTGTCAGGACCCCTGCAAGGTGATGGTTATTTGCTGTGCAGATAATAAGCTATTTTTATGTTTGGAAAAAGCAACACAGCAATTACCAAAGGAATTGACTAGAGATAGACATTACAGGTTGGAGAAGGAAGTGATTTCTACTCTGATGGTTTCAGGAGCAGCTCAGTGGGCTGATGTGAGGAATGCCACATAATTGAGCTGCACAGAATTGTCCCTCCAGTCCCACTTCACTGGTAAAGAAAATGGGGCCCTGGGACACTGGGCCATTGCTAAGTAGTGGTTGATTTGGCTGGTTTGGTTCTCTTGATTTTCAGGCCTGTTTACTTTCCACATCACCAGGTTTCCTCCTTTCTACATTGTAGACAGCTTTGGAAGGGATGGTCATAGGACTAGACAGGTAATCAGATGTGCTGCTGATGTGTACAACTTATACCAGTGATGACTTAACCTGTCTCCTTTAAAACCACGATGTTTGTGTCTTGGGTGTCCATTCTGTTAAGGGTACAGTCAGGCAGACCTAATTTATTTATTTATTTCCATAGGTTTTTGGGGAACAGGTGATATTTGGTTAAACGAGTAAGTTCTTTAGTGGTAATTTGTGAGATTTTGGTGCACCCACCACCCAGGCAGTATACACTGAACTTGATTTGTAGTCTTTTATCCCTCACCCCCTTCCCACCCTTTCCCTCTGAGTTCCCAAAGTCTGTTGTGTCGTTCTTATGCCTTTGTATCCGAATAGTTTATTTCCCACTTATAAGTGAGAACATACATCGTTTGGTTTTCCATTCCTGAGTTACTTCACTTAGAATAATAGTCTGCGATCCCATCCAGATTGCTGCAAATGCCATTAATTCATTCTTTTTTTATGGCTGAGTAGTGTTCCATTGTGTGTGTATATATATGTATATATGTTTTATATATATATGTATATATATGTGTATGTATACACCCACGTATATATGTATATGTGTATATACATATGTGTATGTGTATATGTGTATATACATATGTGTATGTGTATATGTATATATACACGTATACGTGTATATACGTATATACATGTATATGTGTATACATATATATGTATATATATCACAGTTTCTTTATCCACTCCTTGATTGATGGGCATTTGGGTTGGTTCCACATTTTTGCAATTGTGAATTGTGCTGCTAAAAACTTGTGTGTGCAAGTATCCTTGTCATACGATGACTTATTTTCCTCTGGGTAGATACCCAGTAGTGGGCTATCAGGATCAAATGGTAGTTCTACTTTTAGTTCTTTGAGGAATCTACACACCGTTTTCCATAGTGGTTGTACTAGTTTACATTCCCACCAGCAGTGTAGAAGTGTTCCCTTTT
Organism: Homo sapiens; assembly: GCF_000001405.40. NCBI lineage: Eukaryota > Metazoa > Chordata > Mammalia > Primates > Hominidae > Homo > Homo sapiens. The sequence goes on along the minus strand of NC_000011.10, from coordinate 57,226,304 downwards.
CACTGCATCCATGCCAACAGCTATTATTTTTTATTTTTTGATTGTGGCCATTCTTGCAGGAGTAAGGTGGTATTGCATTGGGGTTTTGATTTGCATTTCCCTCATCATTAGTGATGTTGAGCATTTTTTTCATATGTTTGTTGGCCATTTGTATATCTTCTTTGGAGAATTGTCTATTCATGTCCTTAGCCCACTTTTTGATGAGATTGTTTGTTTTTTTCTTGCTAGCTTGTTTGAGTTTGTTGTAGATTCTGGGAATTAGTCCTCAGACAGACCTAATTAGAATCCTAATTCATCTGTTATTTGGTTGTATTATCTAGACCATTGCTTCCTAAACTTGTGTGTGCAGAAGAATCATTAGGAGATGTTAAAATACAGATTTGGATTCAACAGATCTAGAGGGTGTCCTTAGTATCTTGTTTCTTAAAGCCCTCCAACAATGGTGGATGCTATTAGTTCATAGACTACATTCAGGGGAGCAAAGATCTAGGGGCATAACACCCATTAATAGGCTGTTTTCTCATCTGTCAAAATAAAATAGCTTTAAAAGCAATTTCCTCAGAGAACTATTTTGAAGGTTACCTGAGGTAATGTTTGCAAGGAACTCTCACAGTCTCCAGCACATAAGAAGTAATCTATAGGTTTTAATTTCCTCCCATTCTCCTGTTTGCCACTCCTGTTACAAAGAAAAGTGACTTGAGAAGCTCCTTTCCACTACAGAAGTCTTGGAGGATCTTTGCAAGGGTGCAAGGAAGAAGAGAGTGCACAATTCCAGGAATGTGGTGGTTGGTAATTAATCTTGTATTTAAAATATTTTTATCTTGGTAGTATCAAAACAAAACTAGAAAAAATTGACAGAAGTTTGCATATGAAATTAATCTGGTCAGAACTTTGTTGAAAAAGAAAGATAAAAATAATATCTTGCATATATATATATATTAAATTAAAAATTCACAATCTCAATCACCTTTCAAGTCTATGTGAGCCTCAGCTTCTCAGACTGGGATGTAGAAAAGGTAGCCTGATATAATTCCACACTGGTGATGTAGAGATGGAAACTCTGTTCCCATCACCGTCTCCTACTTAGTGTGTTCCCTGGGAAGTCATGCCACCTGCCTCAACCTCAGTTTTCCCATCTGTATCATGAGGAGCTTGAAAAAGATTGGGACAGTCATAACCTTCCTATTGTTATGGATGGCCTTTCTGGTATGATTGTGGTGCCAAAACTCATAATCCCTCTCCATGCAGCACTCTGGGCAATTGAAATGATAAATGTAATTTTGATCCACCATCTATAAGGGCTGACATTCTATAATTCTAAGAATGGCTAATGGTGGAATCTCAGGCATTAGAGTTGAAGATGGGCCTGAAAGGATAACTAGGATTTTGGTGACTTGAATGTGGAATGGGGGTGGTAGGAGGCATCCAGCCTGAGGAGACAGTGTGAAAGAGGGTAAGGAAGAGCATAGGAGGTCTGAGGAGCAAGTTGACTAGCTTGTGTGTTGGGTATACATACAAAGGAATGTGGAATAAAGGAGGAAGGATTAGACTGGGGACAAATCATGATGACTCATTCATTCATCAAATACTTGTTGAACATTTACTGTGTGCCACTCACTCAGCTAGCCACTAGGATTATAGTGATGAGATAGACCTTGTCTAGCTTAGCATTTTTGTAGGGAAAGATAGAAAATACACAGATACATAAACTGGCCATTTTATGAAATGGCCAGTTATGGAACATACTATGAAGGAAATAACATCTGAAGTGGAAAATAATATTAAGTACAACTTCAGAAAAGGTGCTTGGGGAAGGCCATCTTGGAAGCTGACCTTTCCGTTGACATCTGAAGAATAAGAATGAGCCTGCCCTGTGCAACGGAGGCTCAGAGAGTCCCAGATGCAGAAAACAGCAAATGCAGAGACTGTGAAGCAAGAAAGATCACAGTAGGTTCTGGGAAGGTTGTCAGGGCAACTGGAAGGCTAGTCCCAGGAAGCCAGGCAGGGGGTGGCCTGAGACAAAGAGAGCCAAAAAGGGGCCAGGTCATGTAGGACCTTGAAGGCTGTGGTAAGAAGTGTGACTTTATTAAATGCAATGAGAAATCATCAGAAAAATGATACAATCTAATTTGCATTTAAAATTGTTCCTCAAGCTGTTGCATAGGGAATGAGTTGAAGGGGAGTAGGAGGGAAAGCAGAGAGACCGGTTAGGAAGCTACTTCAGAGGCCAAGATGAGGGATGTTGGTGGGTCACATTAGGGTGGTATCCACAGCAACTGAGAAGAGAGGCAGGTTTGAGCTATATTTTTGATGCAGAATGAATAGGACTTCTGATCGCCTGGGTTTGAGTGAGTGGGTGGATGAGGGGGTGAGAAAGAAGGAATTATCCAAACTTTCTGACTTGAGCAACTGGGAAGAGGGTGATACCAATTAGTGAGATAGGGAAGGCTGGAGAAAGAATAGCTTAGGTTTTGGCTACATCACCATATCATTCCTGAGATGTTAATAAGACATTCAAGTGCGGATGTTGAGAAGGCAGTTTGATATGTAATGGAAGAGAGGTCTGGACTGATGATAAAAATCTGAACATCATAGAGATGGAACTGTGAAGAATCCTACAGAGAGGTCAGATAAGAGGAAACCAGAAAACGATCCACTGGATTTGGTGACACAGAGGTCTTTGGTGACATGGGTCAGGGGTTACAGTGAATTGTGTTCATAGAAGATAGACTACAGGTTGTGTTTGTAGAAGACAGACAGTAGAAGACAGACTGCAGAGAGCTGACGAGTGGATAGGAGGATTGGAGAATGCTTGTGAAAACAACTCTTTTCAACAGTTTTGCCACTTTGGGAGGCCAAGGTAGACAGATCACTTGAGGTCAGGAGTTTGAAACCAGCCTGGCCAACATGGTGAAACCCCATCTCTACTAAAAATACAAAAATTAGGTGGGTGTGGTGGTGTGCACCTGTAATCCCAGCTACTCAGGAGGCTGAGGCAGGAGAATAGCTTGGACCTGGGAGGTGGAAATTGCAGTGAGCCAAGATTGTGTCACTACACTCCAGCCTGGGAAACACAGCCAGTTTCTGTTTCAAACAAACAAACAAACAAACAAACAAACACCCCAAAACAATAACAGTTTTGCTGGGAAGGTAAGGAGAGAAATGGGCAATAGCTAGAGAAGGGCTTTAAAAAATTAAAGATACAAGGGCATGTTTGTGTGCTAGTAACAATCTAAGAAAGACCAAAACTATAAGTGAGGGTGAGGGCAAGAATGAGCCATGAAGAGACTGATGCTTTTGTGGAGAAGAGATGACTGGAGGAGAAAAGCCTTCAAGAAAGACAGAAGGGATGCAGGCAGGAGCACATGTGGGAGGGTCAGCCTTTCCTAGGAAGAGAGGACATTTTATTCAGTGCACTAGAAAGGACGTAGGAGAGGATGGATTAAGAAGCAGATAAGTTGGTAGAGTTTGGTGGTGGGAAGATCAGGAAGTCCTGGCTTTGTAACCTCCCATTTCTAAGTGAATTGTAAAATGAGATCATCTGCTGAGCATGGGGTAGGGAAAGGGGTCTAGAAAGTTTTAGGGGGATAAAATGTTATCTTGGGCAACGAAAAAACAAAAATTCCTAGGGAAGCTTCCAGCTCCAATTTTCCACTTGAGATTTGTGTCCATGAATTTAAAGTGAAATCACTTAGCCAGGTTGTGTGAAGTTCTCTGGCAACATTTAGATGCTGCAGCAAAGGCACAGAGAAGGTAATAAGCACATGTTGGAGTTTTGCAAAGGGATTGTGACAGAGGAGAGAGGCTCCAGGGCGTTGGGATTGTTTGTGAGAGTAATTATAAAGAAGGACAATGGAATCTAATTTATGTAAGGAAGGAAACAAAGGCAGGAAGTGGCTGCTGGAGGGTGGGTGTGTGGTGAGATCAATGGGTTAGTGGTCAAGATAAGGGGCCAGAAGTGTGGGGATGAAGGGTACCAGAGCAAATGAGCTAGAATTACTGGAAATGAAGGCCAAATAGAAGGATTTGGAAATAGAGATTTCTGGCCATGTCATGGTCTATGGTGTGGCTGTTGAGTGGGTGGCTGCAGTGGAGTGAGGACAAAGGTTGGTGGGGTAGAAAACATCAAAGAACAAGACCAAGTGGCTCGTTGAGTTGCACATACAGATATTGAAGTTTTGAGAATTATTGTAGGAAGAGGGCAGTGAACATGATTGTAACCAGGACCTAAAGTCTTCAGTGAAGGAGGAAGGATGATTAAGAGGTGAGTAGAATGACCCCAGTAAGGAGGAGGGCAAGGGTATAAAATAGCTGAAATTGGGGCCTTGGCTAGCTCATATGATGCCTTTGTACAAATTAGGAAAAAGTAGTCTTTCTCCAGTGGAAGCGGGCCCACCCAAGGGTGACGCCTGTGGGGATGTGGGCTGGATTCTACTTACCTCTCAGGTGGGCTTCCTTGGCCAGGATGCAACCTACTTGTATAACCTGTACAGCTGTGCCTGGACACCCTGGTTGAATGGCATAGGTGTCAAAGGAATCAGCTTTTTGAAGGAGAAAGAGCCTGAAAGAGGCAATGGGGAGCAAAGATCAACCTTCTCATTTTACAGACAGGGAAACTGAGGCCCAAAGAAGGAGGAAATAATTCAGACACACTGTAGGTTGGGGGCAGAACTGGAACTAAACTCTGCTCTCCTGAGACTCAGTGCTTTCTGTGACACCCTATAATGGAAGTGATGTTTTAGCAAACACTCCAAAATTGCAAATTCAAAAATATGTTGTCCCTCAAAGTTGCTTCTGTGGGAGGTGAGAGACTTCTTTCTAGTGATGCTGCCATTGTTCCAACCATTTCTGGAAACTCCTTCCGAAAGAAGATTTTCAGAACCAGCTTGTGAGTCACAAAGACAGCCCACTGCACTGCAGAGACTTATTTAGCATATGGGATGGGAACTGTCCTTTTCCTTCTTCGGTGCAGGGTCTCAGAGTCCAAGATTCAACCTGTGAACAAGGAGTCTTGTGGCTTTTCTTCATTGTATTTCAGCACATATTTATTTTCTACTCAGCATGTTCCAGGCACATGAGATCCCAGTTTAGGTGGGGAGTCAGATATTGCTGTGAGGTCTATTCAGTCCGATGAGGTTTGATTTTGTTAGGCTGGCAGGCATGAGGTTTGCATCCTTCGGGGATCTTAGATGTAAACAATACCCCTCTTTACAATACAAGATGTAAACAGTACCCCTCTCAGCTATTTATGCAGAAAATGAATTTGATAAAGGAACTCAGGGAGCTCACAGAATCTCTGGAGCATTGGGCTGCAGGAAGGAATCATCTGAGAATTATCTGTCTCTAGTAGGGACTTCTCTGCTTGCACCGTGAAGTTCTGTCTGGGACTGGATCTCCAGAACTCTCACTGCAGCTGTCTCTGAGACTTTGAAGATTCTCTGCTACTTTCCCTCCTTAGACAGAAAATCGGCTTCATGCAGCTCCTGGATCCTCAGGTGGTTTTCTTTCAAAGTGAATTTTCACACTTGGTGAATGGTGGAGCCCAGGTCAATGCTAGCATTAGTGGCAAAGGAATCTGGGAAAGTGAATTCTAGCTTCTAACTTGGAAAGTGGTGCTCAGATTGTGGGAAGATCCTCAAACATAGTGAGTCTGCTTAAAAAAACCTTGTGTGCCACAGATGTGCAAAGGTTGGCCACAAGGTTGTTGGTTTCCTTGGACCTTGGTTCCTAGAATTTGGGAAAGCTGCCCCAAGTTGCGCAGTCCTGGCTGAGCTGCGGTCCTTCCTGGTCCCATGGCCTATCTTTACGAAGTGTGATAGCCAGCTCAGAGATCACAGTACACTTGGGCTTTTTGTATTAAAAATTTAGAGTTCCCTTTAAAATGAATGCAGTTAAAATATATACAGGAAATCTTTCTTCAAGCCCCCGAAAGTGGATGGTTGTCAAGGTTAAAGCCTCCCACCAGCGAACTGGTGTCCATGAAGAAAGCTGAGACATTCAACCTGGAAATGCTCTTCCTCAGTGATCCAGAATTCTTTCCATCCAGTCTCTATAATAAATAGACAGATGACCCAGCAGCTCCCTATGCATGCTGAATGTTAGTGGGGCTTGCTAGGTGTCAGGGACTGGGCTTGAGCCTGAGCCGAGGGGGCCGTGAGGTTTCAGAGATGATGAAAATATGAACTCTGTTTACAGAAAACTCAGTCTAGTGTGGGAGACAGACAGGACCATGTCCATGTGTCCATGGAGTATAGTAAGTAGGGGAAAGGGGCCTTGGAGCCTTTTGACCTCAGGATCATACGCTGGGCTCTGTGAACTAGTTTTCCTATCTGCAAAGTGGGGATAATAAGGCTTAACTCATGTGGTGGTTAGAGTCTGTGGAGTTGCTAGTGGCGCATAGTGGGCACTTAGCAAGTTGTGCACCTTGCCCCCACCCCTCCTCTTCTCCATTCATTGTAAAGTGTGATGGGATCACAGAGAAGGTAGCGGTTAATTCCGCTTGATGGATTTAGGTTGGGCTCCTAATGATGACAGGGAGTTCTTTAGGTGGAGGGCTAGGAGGACACTTCAGGAAATGGGAACTGTGTGATCAAAGCCACGGAATACTGTGTCTGGTGAATGGTGCACTGAGTGTCTGGCTGGAGGTGTGTGAGTGGGAGAGGGGAATGACAGGAGGTGAGGCTGGAGGGGGATTTAAGGGCTCCATGAACCACAAGGGGAGGCTGAATGTTCTCCTGTAAACGTTCAACCATGGAAACATGGGTGGTCAATGAAGGGCTCTGAGGCAGAGGCCTGTTCCGGGAAAGCCAGAGCAGCTGCTTTGGTTGGTGAAAATATCTGCCTTTTATTTGGAACTGCCCTGGACTTTGAGAGATAAGGATGGAATGGGTGAAGTGCTTCTTGGCCTCCGTTCAGCCTGGGGATGTATCTGGTTGGTGGACATCTGCCACTCTCAGCACACTGTTAGGTGTTTTACATAAACAATCCCAAATCCTTTGAATAACTTTGTAAAAGGAAGTATTATCATCTCATTTTTGCAGAAGTAACTGAAGCTCAGGAAATGTTAGGCAATTTGCTCAAGGTCATGTGATCAGTACACGGCCATGCCAGGATTCAGAGCTGGGTTTGCCTAATTGTAAAATCCGTGCAAGTTTCACCATGCCGTGCTCCTGAGTCCCACTGGATTATTTTTAATTGACATGAAACTTGTGGCATGAAAACTCTCAATCTGTATTCATACTCTCTCTCTCTCTACCTATCCACCTATCTATCTAATGGAATGTCAAAAATTTACCTAGTGTCTCGAAATCTCTTGCCTTCCTTTCCTAAAATTGCTGGGAAGTCCGGTGAATTCTCTTTTTTTGGATGCTGAAACGTGGCTAACTGTTGCCATCAGAAGTGTCCTAGAGTGAGGCTGTCCTGCCTGACACCTCAGTCATGCACAGACCCAGATCTGGTTCCAGGAGAAGGAAGCTTTGGAAGCTGCCTTACAGAGTGTGATAGAGATTCCTGAAACTTCTTTTTTATTTTAATAGGTTTTTGGGGGAACAGGTGGTGTTTGGTTACATGAATGAGTCCTTTAGTGGTGATTTCTGAGATTTTGGTGCACCCATCACCAGAGCAGTGTATACTGTACCCAAAGTGTAGTCTTTTATCCCTCACCCCCTTCCCATTCTTTCCCCGAGTCCCCAAAGTCCATTGTATCATTCTTATGGCTTTGCATCCTCATAGCTTAGCTCCCACTTATGAGTGAGAACATATGATGTTTGTTTTTCCATTCCTGAGTTACTTCACTTAGAATAATAGTCTGCAATTCCATCAAGATTGCCGTGAATGCCATTATTTTTTTCCTTTTTATGACTGAGTAGTATTCCATGGTGTGTATATATATATATATATATGCCACAATTATATATATGGTGTATATATATATATATATGGTGTGTGTATATATATGGTATATATATATGGTATGTATATATATGGTATATATATATGGTGTGTATATATATATATGGTGTATATATGTATATATCGTATATATATGTATATGCCACAATTTCTTTATTTTCTTTATTCACTTGTTGGTTGATGGGCATTTGGGCTGGGTCCGTATTTTAGCAATTGCAAATTGTGCTGCTATAAACATTCACGTGCAAGTATCTTTTTCGTATAATGGCTTCTTTTCCTTTGGGTAGATATGCATTAGTGGGATTGCTGGATCAAATGGTAGATCTATTTTAGTTCCTTAAGGGAGATTTCTCAAACTTCTGTCTCTCCCTGCAGATCCCTTTAGACACCTGGCAATGCCAGAAATTCCTCTGTCTTTTGGTGTATTTTGGTATCGTGAGATGCATACGGCTTTGGACTCACAGAGACCTCAGGTGAACTGTCAGCTCTTCCCTTACCAGCAATTGAATCTATGGATGAGTTAGAAAACACCTCTGAGCCTCAGTTGTCAGCCAAGTAGAGGTGGCAATTGTACCTACTTATAGGCTGTTGTGAGAATAAAATGAGATGTCTGTAAAATTCTGGACACACAAATGCTTATTATGTATCTTCTTTAAACTTTTCTAGGGTGGAAATGTATTAAGCTATATTAGATAGTCATTTGGAATAATTACTTGGAGCCTCATCTTTGGAAAGACTGATTGGGGTTAGATTGTAAGGGTACTTGGCCATGGTGTGGAAGACGGGTGGGATTGGAGGTAGAAAAGGGAAGAAAGCACGAAAAGGGGCTTATCAGAAACAAAGTTCAGTGACTTCATAATTTATTCAGGATCCAGGCCCAGGTCAGCCTATGAAAGTGGTAGCAGATGGGCCTGGGCAGGCCCCTTTGATGCTGACTCTGTCCGTAAAAGGTTGGATGAAATCTTCATGAAGCCATAAATATGTTCTGGGCTCCAAATACAATCTTTCCTTAAAGGGCAAAATGCTCTCGGGTGGAGAGGTGACTTTATTTGGGTTTCCCTGAGATGGACAGCTCCTTACTGAAGGCTGCTGGCAGGAAGCTGTCCTGGTGGCTCTTGGCCAGGCCGGTGGAGATCTCTGACCTCCTCTCTGGCCCTCAGGAACTTCTGCTTCCCCAGGAGGAGGAAGGTGGTGGGGAGGAGGGGAAGGCACAGGGAGGAGCAACTGGAGCTTTCCAGAAAAAAATTTGGCAGTCAGGGAACCAAGGTGAATGGGAGGACTCCAGCTGAACTGTAAGCTTTATGAGTTCGTTGGTAGTTTTTGTTTTTGTTGTTTGTTTGTGACCCTTACTTCTTGAGTACTCCTTGAAGTCAGTGAGCGATGAAGGATCATTGGGTCTCACCGCTCCATTTAGCTTTATGTAACAAAGACCTGGAAAGGGCAAGTGGGGTTCCCAGGGTCCCCTGGACTCTTCACTGTTCTCCCTATCCTTCTCTGCTCTACTGTATTATTTTGTGATTGAGTTGTTCTAGACTTAAGTGGCATTGCTAATAATAATAATAACAACAGCAGCACCAGCAGCAAAGTCAATTGAACAATTTCCAAGCTGGACACTTCCTCAGCTGGAGTATTTCATGGGCTTTAATTTCATTTAATTCTGGGAGGCACAAGGGCTATTGTGATCAGCCCCATTATACCCCCATTATACAGATGAGTAAACTGATGTTCAGAAGGATGACGTAACCTGCCAAACATGAAATCATAGCCAGCAAGGGATAGTTGGGATTTGAACGAGGGTGGATGGGATCCAGGGCCCGAGGATTTCTTAACTACAATATTGTACTGTTTGGTTGAAAGTGATTGCATTTTACTCACCCCCTGGTCGTCTGCAGTGCTTGGTATGTGGGGTCAAATTGCTCAGTAAATTGTTTGTACATAAGTAACAATGAAATTTTTCTTTTTTGCACTTTACAGTTTTGCTTGGATCTTTGTGCTGAGAATACACATTAGGCACTCAAAATTGATTGGTTCAAAATTAATTTTCATGGGTAGTGAGGGACTGGTGTAGAGACACTAGGCATTAATGTGCACATATAAGATCTATTGCCTCCTTGAGATAAACAACATGGCAAGAGAGAACATGATTAATGTTGTTTCACATCTACCAGCACACTGAAGAGAAGTAGTGTGCTTTGAACACACTTTTGCAGGGCATTTTACTATTGTTATCTTGCAATCCCTGCAACTGTCTTGAGGAGAGGGTCCTATGTTATTCTATCTATTTTGCAGATAAAATTTAGAGTCAAAGACGCTGGCAAGGATGTGGAGAAAAGGGAACTCTTATACACTGTTGGTGGGGATGTAAATTAGTACAGCCACCATGGAAAACAGTATGGTGATTTCTCAAAAAACTAAAAATAGAATTACCATTTGATCCAAGCAATCCCACTGCTGGGTATTTATCAAAAAAAAAAAAAAAAGAAAAAGAAAGGAAATCAGTGTATCAGGTTATACCTTTACTCTCATGTTTATTGTGGCACATTTCACCATAGCAAAGATATGAAATCAACCTGAGTGTCTATTAATGGATGAATAAAGAAAATATGGTGTATATACACAATGGAACACTATTTGGCTATAAGAAATGAAATCTTGATTTTTTATTTTATGTTTTTATTTTCAACTTTTATTAAGTTCAGGGGCACATGTGCAGGTTTGTTACATAGGGTGAATGTGTGCCTGGTGGTTTGCTGTGCAGATCATCCCATCACCCAGGTATTAAGCCCAGCATCCACTAGTTATTCTTCCTGGTGCTCTCCCTCCTCTCACCCCCCACCCTCTGACAGGCAACAGTGTGTGTTGTTCCCCTCCGTGTGTCCATGTATTCTCATAAAAAAAATGAATTCTTGTCATTTACAGCAACATAGGCTGGGTGTGGTGGCCCATGTCTGCAATCCCAGCACTTTGGGAGGCCAAGGCGGGCAGATAACGAGGTCAAGAGATCGAGACCAGCCTGGGCAACATGGTGAAACCCCGTCTCTACTGAAAATACAAAAATTAGCTGGGCGTGGTGGCATGCACCTGTAATTCCAGCTACTTGGGAGGCTGATGCAGGAGAATCACTTGAACCTGGGAGGCGGAGGTTACAGTTAGCCAAGATCATGCCACTGCACTCCAGCCTGGTGACAGAGTGAGACTCTGTTTAAAAAAAAAAAATAGAGTTAAATGAACTTTGCTAAGGCAATATTGCAATTGAAAGAGTCAGGTTAGGGACCCAGAAAAGTTGGAACCCAAATCTACTACACCAAGTTGCCACTCAGGTGGTGGATAAATGATTTAAGCAGAGACAGGACCAGATTTAAATTCCACTCCACATTCAGGGGTGAGATCTAGGCAGAGGAAGAGGAGGGGTCTCTTATTTTCCCTTTGAGGAGTAAAGAATTAATGCAAAGTAGAGGTACAGAGTAAACTAAGCAAGGACTTCGGGTGGGCCCTACATAAAGCACCGACTCAAGGGGCTTGACCTCTGTGTTTCCCCACCACCAAGACCCCCTGATGCTCAGAAATATCTGGTCTCCCAAGCAGACTGTGCTGGATAAGAACTAATCCCTAGGTTATTTTATTTACTAAAAAATTAAGCTGGAACACCAGAACCGCCCACCAGATTCCAGACTGCTTTGTAATGGCCGATGAGTACAATCTGGAATGCTGTTACTTGTTACAAAGATAGAGGCTGCACACTTTCATTCCCCTGCACTGCTATGGCTTGTCCAGCATCCACAGAACCCTGAAAATACTACTGGTACTTGGAGGGTGCCTTTCCAACCTGAATACACTCTTAGGGGTCTGGATCTTCAGGCTGGAACCCATCAAAGTGGGAAATGAAATGTTTCTCTCCTGTCCTCATTTATCACTTGCCCACCATCCTTTGTCCTGTTGAGCAGGATCAATGGCTTCTGCTGGGATCACGTGGGAAAGCCGACAGGGGTGGGGGGCTTCCAGTCTGCAGCATCTGTGACTCTCCTGTCACCAGGTGCTTAAAGAGGCAAGAAGCAAGTTTTGAACTGTCAGTTTTAAGACCAGGGGACTGAGGCACAAGGGGCTGGGGGATGGGGGCTTCTGAGGGTGTGGTCATTGGAAGGGTTTTTGCATCCTGGGAATGTACAGAGGGTGTTCTAAGTGCAGGGCTGTCTTATGGAAGGTTTGTTTTCTTAGTGGACTGAGCCCAGCTGTACTGGGAAAGGCGGGGCTGGTGAGTGTGGATTTGTGTGTATGTGTGAAAGTGTGTGTGTGTGTATATGTTTGTGCTTGAGTGTGGCTGTGCGGGTAGGTATAGGAGTGTGTGTGTGTTTATGTTTGTGTTTATATGAGTGTGACTGGGTATGTATATGAGTGTGTGTATCTGTGTGTGTGTGTCTTTGTGTCTTTGTGTGTGTGTGTGTCTGTGTGTGTGTGTCTTTGTGTGTGTGTGTGTCTGTGTGTGTGTGTGTGTCTGTGTGTGTGTGTGCGCCTGTGCATATGTGTGTTCCTTTAGGGCTGCCAGGCTGAGTTTGGACTTAACCCAACACAGCCCCTTTGAAGTGGAAATGAGCTCAGTTCCTCTTTCCCCACTTAAACCAGATCGAGAGCATGATGGGCAGGCATTTGTAAGCTGTTTTTGCACTTTCTCACTGTCTCTGCCACCCCAAATGGTGGCACAAACAGTGTTTTTGCAAAAGACCCCCTGGCTCCTGGGCCTCTCTGGTTTCCGTGGAAACCATAAAGCCCATTTGCAGGGGCGCTTGAGAGAGAGGAGGGGCTGGGAAGGGAGGGAGCCTGGAAGCTCCAGCCGGTGGGTGGGTGGGAGGCTTCATCTCCAGACAAAGGGAGGAACAAAGGCTTGGGGGAGGGGAAAGAGGAGTGTCACTAAGGACCAGATTTATCGCCTTGTCTTGTGGTTCTCCGAACTGATTACAGAATAATGAGCTTTGGGGCGGGGTAGTGGGGGAGGTAGCTAAAGGGGGACTGTGAGGCTATGTCATGTGTGGCCCTTTGTCCAAGACCAGGACAAAGGGGTTGGAGGAAAAGTCCTCTTCACAACCCCTTGCCGGCAGGATAAACTCCGAATTCCCTGGACTGCCATTCAAGGCCCTTTCAGTATCTGAGCTCGAGTTGCCTACTTTCCTGGATATCCTCCCTGACAGTCCCATAGAAAAGCATCAGCTTTGGACTGTAATTTCCTCCAGGGCAGCGACCTTGTCTTATTTATTTCTGCATCTTCAATGCTTGGCCTCATAGCTGAGTTGTATAAATTGGTAAAATGTGCATGCTAACTTCAGTACCCCCTGTCTGGAAGGCCCCTGATTCTTCTCTCTCCCCATACAAATACTACCCTTTTTAAAACTATCATGTCTCCAAAAGTTTTCCCAACCCACATTCATTACCAAGTTCCTTAAAAGATGAATATAGTTCCTTGGCTTGTAAGTGTATATTAATATCTGGTTTCTTTAAACACCTGTGTTTGTAATTAATCACAGCCTGTTTGTTTTTAAAATGCACACTCTTTCCCTTCTGTTGGAAAGGGCATGGAATTTGGATAAACAATAATGAAGAATGCTCATCAATAATTCAGTTCCTATTATGAGTGCTTTGCATGCAAATTATCATTTGAAGTAAAAAAAATCTGACTTTGAGACTTGGTTGTACATCTACTACTTGTGAACTTAAGCAAAACATTTCAACTCTCTGAACTTCAATGTCTTCATCTGGAATATGGGAATTCTCATACTAATCTCCACATTCTCTTCATTGGGTTGTTTTAAGAGCTAGTAGTCAGGACAGTGCTTTGAAACCTGGTGTTGTGAGTTATTGTCACCGGTAGGAGTTCTTTGAATGCAGGGCACGTGTCTTACCGACTTTATAGCCTTCTTTCTGTTCCACCCCATGCATGAGGTTCAGCCACCAAACCAGTAACACACATCAGTTGCTTCTTGAGTGGAACTGAAGGTTTGTAGAGAAAATGGTGCTGGAGGGTTGTCTGACTCTAGGTGGGGAATCCATACCCATTGTGTGTGGTCATTCAGGCCTGGGGATTGTTAGGGTGTTTGTGGGATTTTCTTAGGGTAACAAATCCACAGGGGTCAAAGGTCACAGCTTAGGGTTGAGAAATATTAAGAGAAAATTTAGGAAAAAGGGCAAGGTGAAGGCTAAGAAATCCTAGGGAACAGAGTTAAGGAAGCTCAGACTTTAAACTACAGTTGACCCTTAAACAATGCACAGTCAAAAATCCGTGTATAACTTTGTACTCCCCGAAAACTACTAATAGTCTACTGGTGATGGTAAGCCTTATTGATAACATACATATTAACACATAGTTTGTATGTTATATGTATTTTATACCATATTCTTACAATAAAGGAAGTTAGAGAAAAGAAAATGTTACTAAGAAAACCATAAGGAAATAAAATATATTTACTCTTCATTAAGTGTAAGTAGATTATCATAATAGTCTTTATCCTGGTTGTCTTCACGTTGAGTAGAGCAAGCTTGTCAAACTTACGGCTCACGGCTGCATGTGGCCCAGGACAACTTTGAATGCTGTCTAACACAAATTCATAAACTTTCTTAAAACATTATGAGACTTTTTTGTGATTTTTTTTCTTTTAAGCTCATCAGCTATTGTTAGTGTTAGTGTATTTCATGTGTGGCCCAAGACAATTCTTCTTCTTCCAACGTGGCTCAGGGAAGCCAAAAGAGTGGACATTCCCAGGAGAAAGAAGGAGGCAAGGAGGGGTTGGTTTTGCTGTCTCAGGGATGGCAGAGGCAGAAGAGGTGGAGGAGATGGAAGGGGAGGCGGGAGAGGCAGGCTGTGTTATTCAAGGGTGAATCGTACTTGAGTACCCCTGCTACTTGACAGCCACATTCATCTATTAATCATCATCTGGTTTTATTTTCACAACCACCTTGTTAAGTGGGTGTTGCTATCCCATATTAAGGGTGAAGTGACTGGGCTCAGAAGCTTGCCTTGCCCCAACCCAGGCCTTCTTCTGCAGCTTTGTATTACTTCCATGACCCTGTACCCTGGTCTCGAAGTCTCATCGCCCTAATGGAGCAAAAGTAAGATGATCTCTCTGAAGCCCCACTGAAGATATTGCCAGGGGAGAGAAAACCAATAGGTGTGGTGACTGTAAGAAAACATTTGGTTGGAAATCACAGCTTGTCATCCAGGAACGAGCTCACACCAGGGAGAAGAAACCCAACAGAGCTTCCTGTGTTGTTGCCCGGGTGGTCTGCTCCCTGCACTCACACTCCCTGCCTGCCTGTCCATCCATTTAACTCACAAACATCCATCATCACAGGGCATTGCAGGATGAGGTGACATAGAGGGGCAGGGAATGTGGAGGGGGAAGGGAAAAGCAAATGGTGATCACCAACAGCTGGCCTCCCTTTCCTTGCCCCACCCCCAGGACCTCAAGGTTCCCAGGGGCAGGGGTGAGCCCGATTAAGAGCCGTCCGTCAGGACATACCCACCAGCTGCCGGGTGACCTCGGAGGCTGTTTAATGTCCAGCAACACAATGTCAGTCACAACCTTTACCCTGTCTGCACCGTTGGAGGATGGAGCTTATTCCAAAGAGGAAAACGTCTTTAAAATAGAAGCTAGTCTCCTCAGCCTGCCCCCCTGGCTTTTCCTGCAACTTCAAGGCTCCTGCTGGAAGCTTGGAGATGGGTGTTTTCCTTCTTCAGTTGAGCCAAGAAAGGGGCCAGGTGGGAATTTACCAAATGGAACAGACCACCAGGACCAATTGTTATCTCAGAGCCCACAAAAACATTTTGATTTCCAAGGACATGTCTTAGCATGCCTCCCAATCCTTTTATGAAGGGAGGAGAGCCCCTCATTTTCATTCTTCAGTCCCTGCCTGTTATCTAGAGGGGTAGTGTACCCTCCTAGGTCTAGAGCTGCAGTGGTCCAATACGGTAGCCAATAGCCACATGTGGCTATGCAAATTCCAATTTATATTATTTAAAGTTAAATAAAATTAAAATTTTAGTTCTTCGGCAGCACTGGCCACATTTCAAGGGCTCTATAGCCACATGTGCCTGGTACTTACCACACGGGACAGTACAGATATGGAGCACTTCCATCATGGCACAAAATTCTTGTGAACAGCATTGGCATAACACAATCTGTTTTTATTCAGCATACCCCTGCGGCTGCACATTGGTATCATCTGGAAACTTTGGAAAAGTCCTGATGTCTGGCTGGGCTTACCTCCAAAACTCTAAGTCAGTGGGTCTTGAGTGAGGTCTGTCATTGGGATTTTTCAAAAGCTCCCCCAGGTGATTCTAATGTGTAGCCAGCACTGGTCTACTGAGTCTCAAGCTTATCTCATTATAAGAATTATGAACGGCCGGATGTGGTGGTTTACGCCTGTAATCCTAGCACTTTGGGAGGCTGAGGCAGGTGGATTGCAAGGTCAAGAGATCGAGACCATCCTGGCTAACACGGTGAAAACCCATCTCTACTAAAAATATAAAAATTAACTAGGTGTGGTGGCATGTGCCTGTAGTCCTAGCTACTGGGGAGGCTGAGGCAGGAGAATGGCTTGAACCCGGGACGTGGAGGTTGCAGTGGTGCAGGATCGCACCACTGCACTCCAGCCTGGTGACAGAGCAAGACTCCGTATCAAAAAAAAAAAAAAAAAAAAAAAATTAGGAACATGAGAGACTTCTAAAAAGAAATACAGACTCTTGGGAACTATTTTCTAAGGATTCGAATTCAGCAGGTGTGGGGCAGGTTTCAGGAATCTGTTTTTATTCAGCATGCCAAGTAATTCTTATGGTCAAGCAGGTTTGGGAAAATTTGATGTAGCCTAAAGATGAGAAGAACCAGGCACCAGTTTGGTCAGGCATTACGTTGGGGCTGTAGCCACAAGACCCTAATGGCCACAGCAGTCCTACAAGGTGAGTTTTATGTGTACTTATGTCATAGGCAAGGAAAATGGAAATTCAAGAAAGGCTTGTCCCAAGCCACAGCCAGTAAGTGATGGACTGGTCTTTGGACCCGGCTTGAATATTTAAGAAAGTAGGCTTTAGAGTCATTTTGAGGTTCAGATCACACCACTAAGTGAGCTTGGGCAAGTCACTAAACTTCTCAAAGTTGATCTCCTTCTTTGGAAAGTGACAGTCCCTACCTCCTAGGGATGTGGTAGTGATTGATTGAGATTATGTAGGTAAAAGGCTTTTGGTTCTTTAGGCATCAGATAAGGGTCCAGTAGCAAACTTAGCTCTGGTGGTAACAAAGAGAATGCCACTGCAGACAGCTCTGCTCTTCCCATCACATCTTTGTTCTAAGAGCATCTTTTGTTTATCTGTCTGTCTCTCTTTCTCTTCTTTTTGTTTTTGTTTTTGAGACAGGGTCTCATTCTGTCTTTCAGGCTGGAGTGCAGTAATGTGATCATAGCTCACTGCAGCCTAGACCTCCTGGCCTCAAGTGACCCTCCTGCCTCAGCCTCTTGAGTAGCTGGGACTATAAGCATGTGCCTGGCTAATTTTTTATTTTTTGTAAAGAAAGGATCTCACTGTATTGCCCAGGCTGGTCTTGAACTCCTGGGCTCAGGTGATCCTTCTGCCTCAGCCTCCCAAAGTGTTGGGATTACACATGTGAGCCACTGTGCCTGGCCTGTCTCTCTGTTTTATTAGGTGGTAGGGAGGTGCTGGTTTTGCTCTTTCATGGCGCATGGCTCTAGGTGTTGAGTGTGGAAGTCAGGAGGGTTCTTGCTGTTGACCAGGTAGGCCCAATCTGCCTCCTTACCCAGAGTCTGCTGTGCTGCAGGACTGCAAATACAACTTCAGCAGAACAATAAATGCATTAATAGAAATGATTACTTTGTGACAAAGTAGCAGCTGCCATTGATTTATAGAGCACTTGAATTCCAGGCACTGTGCTAAGTGCTTTATGTATCAATGTGTTTAATCTTTTCAGCAAATCTGAGGCAGGGGTTGTATGCTTCATTTTATAAGGCACTTTCATAGACATGGAGTCATTGGATTCATATAACAAATGCTGTATGGTGGGGGTAGTTATTCCTGATTCCCAGATTAGGAAAATGAGGTCCCTAGTAGGTGTGATATATCAGGATTACCCAGCTAGTGGTAACCAAGCTGTGGTCTCTTAGCTGCTACATTTCTGCTCCATCAACACAAAATCACTTAAGAGAAATTCAACTTATTATTTCCAGTTTTTAATTATCTTCATTCTTCTTGTGCCTTGTCCCATGAATGATGAAGAGTCAATGGCTTCTCTCCTTCAGGGGTGGAAGTGCTTTGATTTGGTTAAGGCCTGAGCAAACACAAGATGGGTGCTATCTCACTATTACATCTTAGTTCTAGCTCTTTCTCAAGGGTGAGGAAGATCCTGTGACCTCTAGACTCCCTGTAGGGAAATGCTGGCTCCTGGGAAGGCCTTTTCCCCCTCGTTCACTGCAATTCTCCACTTACACAGAACAAAAACTAGCTCATGGCAGCAAGTGGGTGTTGCAAGAGAAAGGGTGTTGGAGTCAGGAAGAACTGTGTTGGAATTACTGTTCCTTTTCCTTCTTGCTGTGTGAGTTAGAGCACATCATTTAACCTCTCTGAGCCCCAGCTTGCTCTACTGTATAAATGAGATTAATAATAACATTTATCTTACATGAGTGCTGTGAGGGCTGAATTAGTCAATGGCCATTAATGCCTAGGCACACAAAGGCATTCAAATAGGAATGATGACCATCTGTGATCATAGTCATCAGCCAGCCAAGTAGAGAAGTAGCAGGAGGAAGGGGAGCTGTGATGCTCCACCTGGAGTTGTCCCAGGGCCCCTTTCTCTCAGTGTTGATTGGGGACAGAGGAAAAGGGGGGTCGGTCCTGGAGAAAGGACAGAGGTCCTTTAATGAGCTCAGGAAAGCCATTCTCCTGACAATAACAGCCCTGGGCTCTGCAATAACATCCTGCCAGAAGAGGTAGCGACAGGATATGTGCTAGGAGTGGGAGCGTGTGGCAGCCCCACCGCCCGCCTGCCTGCCAGCCCCTTAGCCCTAAGAAGGTTCAGGAAGTAGCAGCCGGGGATCAGAGGGAGATGAAGACTTCCCCCTCCACATGCATCCTGGACTGATATGGAGACTGGAACATCAGCTGTCTTGGACAGACACTCCTGTGGGGCAGATGGTTAGAGGCTTCTCCATGAGCTGCTCCTGTTCTATCACTGCCCCTGCCTTAGCAGGAACTATCTTCTGGGTCCATTCTCAGTGGCCTCTGTGGTTCCACTGAGTCAAGGAGCAGGACACATAAAGGGGAGTGGTCTCCACTTGTCAATCAAACACCCCTACAATATTTGTCGAACATCCTCTGAGTGCTGATGACAGAGCCTGACTGTGCAAGTACATTGATGATGGGGAGAGAGAGACTGTCCCAGGCCAGGGGAGTCTGTGGTTGGGTGGAGGAGAGAGAGAGAGGATAAGCAAGCACAGTGAGCTGAATGGAAATCCAAAAGTCCAGGGTGCTTTGGAGGTTGTGTGTGGGGTGGGATAACATGAGGGAAGGCTTCATAGAGGAGGAGGCTGGGCATTCAGCTGAAGGAAGAGCAGGAGTTGGCCAAGTGAAGAGGTGGGAAACAGCCCTGAGTGAGCTGGTAAGGTAAGGGAGGAGCTGGGAAGTGCCAAGTGAGGGACTGTGGCTCAGAGTGACAGGGCCGTGTCTGGAGACGACATCGGGGTCAGGGTCTCGGAGGACCCATCCTGAAGGATGAACTTCATATGAGGGTGGGGTGAAGCCACTGCAGTCCTTCAACAGAGAAGTGAGGCGATCAGATTTGCAGTTTGAATCTTGACATGCTCTCTCCCATCAACGGACAGACACACCTTCACAGGGACCTGCTCTGCTCTCAGGCCTGGAAGGATCCAAGGAGGCTTCTTGTCAGGGCCAGAGTCCAGAGACATGGAGCAGAGAGATCAGTGTGGGACACCAGGGAGCAGGACCCAGACCTTGGCTCTGCAGTCATTCACATGGCAAGTCTCTTTCACCCTCTGGACCCCATTTCCTAGGTGTAAACAGAGAAGCTGGAACCTGGTGAATCCTAAAGGCCCTTTAGAACAATATATTCTGTGATCCAAACTTAAGATACTTTCCTGACTTCAAGAAACTTATGGTCTGGGGTTGAATGACCGAATGAGACGGCACATTTAATAAATGCTGGTTGACTCTCAGAAAGCATCAACTGGGGGTAGGGGGTGGGAAGGAACCATAACTCTCCATTTCCTGGAAGATGAACTTTCTGCGTGCAGAGAAGGGAGGGATTGCCATCGTGTGCTCACCTCCTGCTGGAACTGAGGTTGGATTCTTCATTAATCTCAGTACTGAGTAGGGTCAGCCTCTCCAGCTGGTGGGCAGGCAACACAACAGGCTACAGGTGCTCTCCCCATGGGAGAGTCCGGCATCTTGCTCTTGGAGCCTTTCTTATAAAGGGGTGATTAGGCATCCCCGGAGAGTCATTGGAGGCTCTTGTCCACAGGATCATAAATGAATCCTATCGCAAATTCATTCCCATCCCTTCCTGAAGGCAGGGATGCAACAGGGAAAGGTGTCAGCTTGAAGTGGTAGACGTGGGTTAGATTCCTGGCCCTGCCAGTGAGTGACTTGTGTGACCCTGGGGGACAAATCATTCTTTCTCCTGGATCTTGGTTTCCTCATCTATAAAATGATAGAGTCTTCCCAAGTGATAGTTGTGTTCTAGGCACTGGATGCTGGTGATAGGAGATGAAGAAGGCTATTCTGGCTGAGGAGACAGGTGTGGAAACACATTCTCTCAGTGTAGTAGTATACAATGCTAGTGGGATGCCCAGGAGGCATAGAAATGCAGATTTAGGAACCTTAGTCCAGCAGGGGTGATACAGGAAGGCTTCCTGAAGGAGGAGGCCCATTTACACTTGAATGATCTGTGCAAGTCAGTGGGTGGAGAAGGTGGGGGAAAAGGCACTTTAAGACATTTCCAAAGAAGAATCTATCTAGTCATCTTGTCTTTCCACAGTACAGACTTCAGCTCTCCTCCTAATCTGATGCTCTGGAGCCATTGCCCCGGGCTGCCTGCTGGCTGGGAGGGCAGCCAGCTCAGAGCGCTCTAGGGTGGACTTCTGAGCACCCTCTGCTGGAATGAACTCTGAGCATAGCCATAGCAATTGGCTAAGTCTCAAGCTTGCCTTGGGCAGAGCTTTCCAGCAGTCAGCAGGATGTCTCCTCGGGAGCCTGACAGTCTTAGATCAGATCTGTTTTAGTCTTGGTCTCTGCCAGGGCTTTTGGAAAAGGTGCCATCCTCTTCTTAGGAGCTTCCTAAGGGCAGAACATCCAGTCCCTCATCTTGAAAAGGTTTATTGAGTGTAGACTATGGGATGAGTAGGAATGAGAGAAAGCAATGTCATCCCTGAACGCACTCAGAAATGGACAGGAATGCTCTGTAGGGAAGGCAATGGTCTTATGGGAAAGTCTACCCAGGGAATCTGAGCTAGCCTGGTGAGTTCCCAGGAGGATTTCTAAGCAGAGATGCCTGAGGTGAAATCTAAAGGAAGGGAAGAAATGGACAAGTTGAAGAAGGGAGTGGGATAGAGAGGAAGCAGATCAGCATTCTAGGCAAAGAAATTGCATGAACAAAGATTGAGGCTTGGGAGGCTTGTCTATTAAGGAAGCGAAAGGCCAAGGGACTTGTGTACATTGAGGAAGGGAGGGTGGTGAGACATGGTGCTGAGGGGTGGGCTGGGTTAGCCGTGAGGGTCTCACAAGCTGCACTATTGTTTACCCTAATTGCAATGGAACTCCATACAAGCAGCAGGCTAACATGATCTTATATATATATATATATATATTTTTTTTTTTTTTTTGAGACAGGGTCTCACTCTGTTGCTCAGGCTGGAGTGCAGTGGCATGAGCATGGCTCACTGCAGCCCTGACCTCCTGGGCTCAAGTCATCTTCCTGCCTCAGCCTCTTGAGTAGCTGGGACTACACACAAACGCCCCCATGCCTGGATAATTTAAATTTTTTTTTTTTGGTAGAGCTGGGATCTTGCTATGTTGTCCCGGGTGGTCTCAAACTCCTACGCTCAAGTAATCCTCCTGCTTCAGCCTCTCAAAGTTCTGGGATTGATTACAGGCGTGAGCCATTGTGCCTAGCTGATTTGTGTTTTGAAAAGAAACTTCACACTGGTAGTCTCCAGCATAGAGATGAGGGAGGGGCGGCAGATGTTGCTTGACCAGTTAGGAGGCTATTGCAGTGGTCCAGGTGAGAGCAGGCAGCCTGATTGAGTAGGTGGCAATGGAGCTGTCGAGATGGGGTCTGCTGGGTTACAGTGCATGCAGGTGATCAGGGAGAGGGCATGTCAAGATGTGTTCCAGTTTCTGAGATAACAGAGCTCTGGACTGAGAGATCATCTAGTCCGCCCCTCATTTAACTCCCCAAGGAAACTGAGGCTTAGAAATGGGAAGGGACTTTCCCATGCTGGCAGAGCAGGGACAGTATTAGAGCCAAATCCTGTCCATGCTCATCCTGTTCTTTTATGGTAGAAAGCTGAAATCGTAGGGCAGGAAGTAACCTTAGACATCAACTTGCCTAATTCTAACATTTTATAGATAAGAAAACTGAGGCCTCAAGGGATGAAGCTTTAGTGGCCAAAGGCCACCCAGGGAGCTAATTAATTAATCAGTTGAATGGCCTAAGCACATATAAACATGGCTCTGCTGACCCCTAGATAGTGGGACATGTGTTTGTTCAGGAGGGAGATGACTTGGCAGACGTCCCTCCGAAGGCTTTCCCAAGCATCCTTGTGTTGCTGCCTCCTCACTCAGCTGGCTGCCTGGGGTTAGGGAATCCAGATGTCTGGGGCTACAGAAGCCAGCTGGATTTTCCCATGTCATGGGTTCCCAGAGTTTGGGCTCAATAGTTCAGTAGCCATGGGAAGGGGGGTGAAAGGCAGGGAAGGAATGCCAAGCTGTTCTTTCGGCAAATTCCCCAGCTGCTGAGGTTAGAAAAAGGGTTGATGTCCTCTGGTTTCTGGATATCCTCCTTCTGGCAGGTCAGAGCCCTAAATCTAAGGCCAGAGCTTGCACATTGCTACCTTGCATCAAAATACAGGGACCGTGCTCTTTAGAACCAAATGTTGTGACGGGGTCTGACAGATGTTGTCAAATATTGTGCTGTTTCCAGATGAACAACAGCTCATTTGAGAGACGTATTAGTTTGGTGGCAGTATGTTGGAATTTTCATTCTTTAGAAAAACAAGCAGAATATTTGAAATTGGGATTACATTGGAAAATCCCAGAACATATTTTTGGCAGCTGTCTGAGTAGCCCATCATCTGGGTGACCTGGCCTTGTCTCTGAGGAATCACTCAGAGACCTAGCTCTCTGCACCTGTCCCCCTTGGCCCCTCAGGAACATTCAGGCAAGTGGGGAAAGTGGCATCAACTTTCCTGGAGGCTCAGGTGGCTCGGAAGACTGTGGTTTGTGGAAAAGCACAGGGTCTTTGGAATGATACATCCCTGGGGCTGGAGCTGGGGGGCACAGTTGTGTCCTGGCCTTACCACTTACTATGTGGGTGACATCGGTATTTTCTTCTCTGATCCCCAGTTTCTCATTCTGTTAAGTGGGAATGAGGATCCCTATTTCACGTTACCATTGTGAGTATGAAATGAGAGAATCGGAAAAACACACTTAATATGTTGTCTGGCATTGAAAAAAGCATTCAGTAGATTTAAATTGTTGTTTGTTCTCACTCCAGGATCCTGAAATCAACCAAGGCTGAGTCAGATGGATTTCGATCAATGGAACCCTTCCTCTCCAGCTCTGGCCACTCCTGGGTGCCCCTTGGGGTTCACTGTCATGGCAACGGGTCTGTGGAGTGGTGTGGAAGCCGATCGGGGAAGCTAGGCAGCCAGAACGCTGCCTGGCCTGCCGGCGCCACAGCCAAGGAGGGCGGCCACCTGATTAATGCCTGCCTGATCCATTGGCCTCATCTCAGGCCACCCTGGTAGAAGCTTCTTGCTCAGGGAGGGATGGAGCGTCACTCCTTGGGATGTGCCAGGACCCTGGTCAGTGGGCACAGTTACAGGTGCCGCAGAGTCTTAGAACTGCCCAAGCAAAATATCAGAGCTGAAAGGGACCCTGGAGATTTGGTATTCCAGGCGCCTCTCTTTATGGCTGAACAAAGAATACATGGGTAACGAATGCTTACAGTGTGCCCAACACAGTATGAAGCTCTTTCCCCACAGGTTAATTTCTACAATAACCCCGTGGAATAAGTATAATTATCCCCATCAGGGAGGTAGAAACCAGGGCTCAGAGATATGAAATATTTTGTTCATGACACACGACGTATATTTGCACCCAGGACTTTCCTGTTCCTATGTTCTTTCTACCGTCTCACTTTACTGATTGTTTGTCCAGTGCTCTGGAACTTACCTATCTCATCCCTGGCTGTATTTCCTATGCTTGCACAGTGCCTCACGTGTCTTAGGGTTTTGGTAAAAGATTGTGGAATAAATGAATTGCTGTGGTTAATCTTGAACTGTTTTTGCAAGTATGATCCTAAAGATGGGTCAGGGAAGCATATGCATGTTGAAGGGAGGGCCAATTATCAGACTCTAAAGATGAGAAAGGGAGGACTAAGACCCTAAAGATGAAAATCTCCCCTGCACCTCCCAGACCCTCCATTGCAGGCTATTCTTTCAAAATACCCTTTGTTCCAGTCACACTGGATTCTGTCGTGAGCATCCACTCTTCCTTCCCCTCTGTGCTGTCTCTCCTGCTTTCCCTCCACCTGGAATGGCTCATTTCCATCTTTACTGAAGAGCTTATACCCATCTTTAAATTTCAGATGTCCCCTTCTCTGTAAAGTTTGGTCTCTCACTTCTCTAAATTCATATTGTACTTGCAGATCTCTTTCTCGTGTCCTTGATTGCATTCTTCATTGTAACACGTCTTCTTGTGACTGTGGAACTCCTCCCCATTAGACCATGGGCAACTGGAGGGCCCTGGCAGTGTCACATCCTGGCATCATCCGGGGCATCTAGCATGCTGGCACACACATCAGTAGTAATGAATGTCTAATTGAATGGAATTGACTTGGGGCAGAGTACTGATACACTGGGATTGGGCTGGATTGGTCAAGGAGTAGCGCTAGAGTTAGGCAGAGATGAGGGTGGGCAGAAGGGGTGGGCCTCTATCTGCTCCATTTCCCTGAAAGCGGCCCTCTCCAGGGACCTCTCTGACCTCCGCTGACCTTCACTAGGGCTGTTTTCTCATTCTCTTGGATCAGGCTGAGAAAAACAGGAAGAATCATTAAGAGACAGAGCCTTCCGAGCCAGCGAAATTATTGCTGATTCTTTTTGCAGGCACCAAAAAGAATTTGTTTGTGCGTTGTGACGAAGAGTGGGCCTTTCCTGCTGGCCCCCAGGAGAAGCCTCTACCAACCTCCTGGATCCACCCCAGGCACCGTGCCCAGCCCCATTTACCTCTCTTTTTCTCCCTTCCATAGTTAGAGTATCTACTATTTTTTCATAATTAAAAAACAGAATCGGAGGATCCCTCATTGTATCCAAAATTTCTCCCTGAGAGATCATTTGCCCCATTGCTACTCAAAGTGTGGTCCATGGGCCAGTAATGCTGGAGGTTTGTTAGAAACGCAACTTCCAGGCCTTCCTTCCCAGCCTACTGGTTTGGAATATGTACCTTAACAGGATCCCCGGGAAATTGTTATGCACATTCAATTTTGAGAAGTGCTGCTATAACCCACTTACATTTTTTAAATTTTAAAATAGGAGGTGAAATACCAACCCCAGAGAGGGAAATTGATTTGCTAACTAGTGTCATTATTAATTTGGTTAAACAAACATTTACTGAAAACCTGCTACACATCCAGCCCTATGCTGGGCACGGTGGATAAAACATGAATCAATAATCTCTGATCTCTTTGGTTTTTAGTAATTCTTCATGTACCTAAACATTGCCTTGCCTCACGCCAGGGCCTCGGCAAGTGTTTGTTGAGGGACTATGTCTCTTGAATTAAAGCCTAGGGCTTCCTCTACATTACTACAGCTGCCTTCTATAATTATCAGCCTCCTGGAGTAAATCGTAGCACTTTTAGCCAGAAATAAATAAATTCTTCAAGGAGGAAATCAGAGTGGGCTGCATCGTTGGTTTTGCCAACTCTTGACAAATCCCAAGACTCTAATAATGAGATAGGGCTCATGCATCCAAAACTCCACATATCACAAATGGTAGAAGAGGAGGATCTTTATGGAAACAAGGAATGATTTTCAATGGACTAAACCAGCAGTCCCCAACCTTTTTGTCACCGTGGAATGGTTTCATGGAAGACAATTTTTCCACACGCCTGGGATGGGGAATGGTTTTGGGATGATTCAAGTGCATTACATTTATTTTGTACTTTGGTATTATTACATTGTTAACAATAATGAAATAATTATACAACTCACCAAATTGTAGGATCAGTGGGAGCCCTGAGCTTGTTTTCCTGCAACTAGAGGGTCCCACCTGGGGGTGATGGGAGACAGTGACAGATCATCAGGAGTTAGATTCTCTTAAGGAGCGTGCAACCTAGATCCCTCGCATGCGCAGTTCGCAATAGGGTTGGCACTGCCATGAGAATCTAATGCCACCGCTGATCTGACAGGAGACAGAGCTCAGGCAATAATGCGAATGATGCGGAGAAGCTTTAAATACAGAGGAATCTTCGCTCACTCGCTTGCCTGCTGCTCACCTCCTGCTATGCAGCCTGGTTCCTAACAGGCCACAGACTAGTACCCATCCGTGGCCCGCAGGTCAAGGACCTCTGGACTATACCATTGCTTCGATGAAGCAATACAGGATGTATAACGTATCCAAAGATCAGTGCTCAGCTCCACCTCCACCAAAGGTCTGGTGATTGTTCTCAATTCTACTGCTGATGATTCTATTCTGTTCAATCTAGATCGTCTTCTGGGTATTCCATGTTGCTCTTGTTCCCTGAGATCTCTGTTGGAATGTCTATTTTTTTCGCTGAAGGACTTTATTATACGTTTAAAGTAATCTACAGAAATAACCTTTATTTCTATGGAAGGCCTTGCTTTTCCCTTATCTATTTATTCATCAAAATGATGAATGCAGTACAGCTGCACTCCTCTATGTAACTCATGGGCTCAGCGTCTTTGTCTGTGCTACCTTTGACTGCTGCTTTATTTCTGGGAACTCAATATTCTCCCACCATTGTGGAGTGAGACAGGTTTAAAATTCTTTGCATAGACAAAATCTCATACTACTTTGTGTCTGAATTGGAAATGAATTTTTTTTTTTTTTGTCAAAAAATGCCTGTCATGATACATTGCTCTGTAACAATGCCATTTTGCAGGAGTAACTTGGGAAGTCCCTATCTTTTTTCTTTTTTTTTAAACAGAGTTTCCCTTTTGCTACCCAGGCTGGAGTGCAATGGCGTGATCTCGGTGCACTGCAACCTCTGCCTCCTGGGTTCAAGTGATTCTCCTGCCTCAGCCTCCCTAGTAGCTGGAATTATAGGCGCCCACCACTGTGCCCAGCTAAATATTGTGTTTTCAGTAGAGACGGGGTTTCACCATGTTGGCCAGGCTGGTCTTGAACTCCTGACCTCAGGTGGTCCACCTGCCTCAGCCTCCCAAAGTGCTGGGATTAGAGATGTGAGCCACCATGCCCAGCCAGGAAGTCACTACTCTTAACGAGCAGTATGAGACCAGTTGTGGTCATCTTCTCTTTCTTAACTTTTTTTGTCCTTGTCAAATCTTTTAATAATCAAGTCTTTACAATACTGTGCACTGAAATTTCCTAAAGCAAAGGAAAGTGATACAAATTTCCTGCAGCATTATTCCTGGAGAAGTTAGAAGCAAAAACTAAGGATTTTTATCTATTCCTTGCATTGCAATTAAATTGCATCTAGAATAAGTGTATTCTTGTTAATAATAAAAAAAGCAGCTAATTTTTTGTTGATTTCTTACTGTGTGGTTGGCACTATTATATGCTCATTAATAGGACTCCAGAGCATGGATGATTATTTTCTGTACAGCTTGCTTCTGGGATGCAACAGTCACTCTAGGTTTCAGCCTTGTGTTACTGACACATTTTTGTCCCCAATAAGTCTTTTTCTTATAGATTAGTGTTTCAGTTGCATATTGTTGCATAACAAAAACATAGAGGCTTAAAACAATAAATTGTCACCACTGTAGCTTAGTTGGAGAGTTGTTTTGCTGGTCTTGCTTTGGTGTCCCATGGGGATGCAGTCAGAGGGTAGTTGGGGCTGAAATGTTCAATATGTATCCACTAATATGTCTGGTGCCTTGGGGGAATGGCTAGAAAGATGGGCTCAGCTGGCATGCTGGAAAGGTTGAGCTTCTTTTCTCTCCACGTGGTCTCTCCATATGGACTCTCCATCACTCTCCATGGATCAGACTTAATCCATGGTGGCTCAGGGCTTCCAAGAGCACAAAAGCAGAAGCTGCCAGGCACAGCATTACTTCTGCCACTTTTTGTTGGTTAAATCAAGTCACAGGGCCAGCGCAGATTCAGTGTGGGAGTGGACCACTCATGGATATGAATATTGAGGTCATAGTTCACTTGGTCCCAGGTTTGGAGACTCGCTTTCACAGCTTGCCAGTGTGACCTATCTGGTATCTGATAGATACTGGGTCTGGAGGACAGAGGTGATTAAAACCCTGGCTTTGTCACATTTCAGCCCTGTGACATTAGACAAGTTACTTAAGCATCTCTCAGCTTCTAAGTCTTTCCCTGTAAAAAAGGAATGATAGTAATAGTCGCTATCACTAATTGAATATCACTCTGTCCCAGGCACTGTTCTAAGTACTTTATTTACATGAGCTCATTTAATCTTCTCAGAGGTCCTATGAAGTAGCTACCATTATCCTCTGAAATTTACAGGCAGAGAAACTCAGATTCAAAGAGGTGATGTCAGCTGCCCAAGGTGGCAGTATTGGGATTTGAAACCAGGGAGTGTGGTTTCCTAGTCCATGCTTTTAATCAAGTCTGTGCTTTCTTCCAGGAAAATCGTGAGACATCCGTGAGATATTGCAAGTACATTGGTGCAGTGTGTAATACATTGTAAATGCATAATGATTATAACGGTTTCGGATGTTCTCAGTATTAGCACCATCCTGAGACACCTAGTTTCTCACAATTGCCTTTCATTCCTTGGTTAAGATGAGTGAGTACAAGCTGCTCATTCCCATTTTTCTTTATGTGATTCTGTGCAATATTCCCATTTCATATTTGAGCCCATCTCAAATATAATTTGTTTCCTGGGTTTGTTTCCTGGTATACAGTCAAGGGAGTCTAAGACTCTCCTTCTAGGAAACAACTTTAGATTGATGCTCCGCCTCTAGCACATCACTATGGATACAAATCTATCTCTACTGAAAATGCTGCTGATTATTAGACTTGAACTCCAGTTCCCGAGGCCCCATTGCTCTATTTAAGGTCCACTGGGACACTCCGAATGATATTGCAGACTGTTGAAACCAACTCTGTGTGTTCATATTTTTCTACCCCCATCTCCGGGCCCTCAGGTTTTGGCCGTTTCCTGACATTATGAATCTGTTTTTCTATCTGCTTCCTCCCTCTCCCTTCCAACTTACTCATCAGGGTTTTCTGACTTACTGATTGTTGACTATCTGTTGTGTGTGTATGTTTTTTAATAGAATTAAGACAGTCTTTCCGCTACTTAGGCCTGGCTGAGCATTGCTGCAGCTGATGTGAAAAAAAAGATTAGGAGTTATTTTTGATTTTTCTTTTGTCCTGTCTCCCTACATCCAATGCATCAGCAAGTCCTATTGGCTCTGCCTTTCAAATTTCTACTCTGATTGTTCCTTCATCCACCACCAGCCCTGGTGTCCCTTTGGAATGCCTTTCCCCTGGACTCATGGAGAAGGCCCCTCCCTGATGTCACAGCTTATATATTCTTTCCCACCTTTTGAACATACAGCATCTAGAACGGTCTTGGAAAATCGCGTCAGATCATGTTATTCCCCTGCTGAAAGCCCTCCAGTGGTTTTCCATTGCATTTATACAAAATTTGAAGTCTGACCAGAGCCCACAAGGACCTACTTATCGGGTGAGATCTAGGCCTACCTCTGTAATCTCACCCCCCAAACCTCTTCCTGCTGTATTTTCTTTGCAGCACTTATCACTATCTGGAACTATTTATTTTTCTTGTTTATTGTCTGATCTACCACCATTACCGACCCTCTCACCCCGACCCCTGCATAGAAAGACACCAAGGGGCAGGGGCAGGAATGTTAGTTTCTTCAGCACCATATACCCAGCCCTGGAAATATATGTCTAGCATGTAGAGGTGTGGGATTCATATTTTTAAATGAATGGAGGCATAAACTGCTTATTTATATGGGAATCTAACTCTTGGCCAAGTAGTCTTCTTATATCAACCATTTTCATAGCTTTGGCTTATTTATTTATTTAAGACTGCGTTTTGCTCTTTTCACCCAGGCTGGAGTGCAATGGCGTGATCTCAGCTCACTGCAACCTCCACCCCTTGGGTTCAAGTGATTCTGCTGCCTCTCCCTCCTGAGTAGCTGGGACTACAGGCATGCACCGCTACGCTCGGCTAATTTTTTTGTATTTTTAGTGGAAACCAGCTTTCACCATTTTGGCCAGGCTGGTCTCGAACTCCTGACCTTTGGTGATCCACCTGCCTCTGCCTCCCAAACTGCTGGGATTACAGGCGTGAGCCACTGTGCCCAGCCCAGCTTTGGCTTTTAATATGCAGATCCAGGGATCTCTTTTGAATACTGGCTCAGCTACAGGAATAGAATCCTTAGCTTTGTAAAATTAGCCACAT
This sequence comes from Homo sapiens, assembly GCF_000001405.40. NCBI lineage: Eukaryota > Metazoa > Chordata > Mammalia > Primates > Hominidae > Homo > Homo sapiens. The sequence goes on along the minus strand of NC_000011.10, from coordinate 57,195,504 downwards.
TATTTTGTGTTTTCTAGAATGTCATGCAGTATACTCCTGAATGATTCCATGAGATAGGTGTAAAGCTGGGTGGAGGATGGGGGCACCTAACAATATTATTTTTCTTGTAACTGTGTCACAGTGGCGTTTGTATTTCCTTGTGATCTCTGCCTTCCATGTTGAGGGGGTTGGGAATAATGACCAGCAATACAATACAGCCAACATTTTCTCTTTAGATAGCCTCTTTACCAGCATCCACTAGGAGTAACTTTTTCCCAGCAACCTGGCAGACCTATCCCTGCTGTGGTGATTTCTGGTAGACTTTCTGAAATCTGAATGTCATCAGTGAACTCTCTAGCTTGGTAGCATTTTTTTTCTTCTTCTCAGTTTCCTTCCTTCTCATCCCGATGACCATTTCCCATGAGGAGTTTCATTCCCTTCGTGAAGTTCAGGTTGCCTAACTGTTGATGCATTTTAAATATTTTTGGTCTCAGTCCAGATTGATCCAAACCAGGTTTCTAAATGCCTTACTTAGTTCTAAAGGAGTTTGAAATTAGAAATGAAAAGAAAGAGAAAGAAAGTAAAAAATGAGGGGCACTAAAAAATGGAAAAAGCTGACTGCTTCTAGACCTAAATGATAAGAGATAAAATTGAAAAAGGCTGTGAGCAACAAGGTGCCCTAAAAACATCCAGTTAATGAGACTTAGCCAAGAGGAAATGAACAAGAATAAGAATGTGTCCTTCTCATCTGTTGTTTCAGATAATTGCAAGGCTGCATTAAGGGAAGAGAAAGAGGCATGGAAGAAGAGAAAGCAAAGCATCACAATAGGCTTGAAAGCACTTTTTGGGACAAAACTTTGTATGTGTACTGAAATGTGGAACTTAGTGGAAGCAAACAGAAATCTACTACGTTTTTAAGGGAGGTAAATTGCTATGAAACCATGAACCTGGAACCAAAAAGCTTTCGACTATTGAGTCCTAAAACCAGTTTCACGCCAGCATACTTGCACCAGCAGAAGGCTGGCTGTTGAAGCTGGGTAACTGCCAAAGGTTGCATTCTCCCCAATATCCACTGTAGATATAGCCATGGTGGATAATGGAAAAGGGAGACCCTTCAATCAAAAGGGAAGAGTCAGGTCACAGAGGACGGTGACAAAGGAGTTCTTCTCAGAAAACAGAATCAGAGTTGAATATAAGAACTTAGTCTGAGGCCTTCATAATGCTCTCCAAGCAGGATTTCAGAATTGCTATGAACCATAATGGGCGTGTGTGTTTTCCTTCTTTTCAAACAAGGTCTTTAATTTGCTGTTACTCTGTCCCTGTGCCACCATTGTATATTGGGTGTGTGTAGAGTAGGGGGTGGGTTGGGGGGCAGATAATTTTTCTTTTTAGTTCATAGGTCACTGGACCACCAAGAGACCTGATGGAGATACTGGAACATTGGCGATCTTGAGCTTTGACCTGGATGTGCTGACAGGGTAAGATAAGTGTGGAGGAAGAGTGAAACAGGTATTTGGTAACAAGAAGAGCAGACCATGTTAGAGACTGGTGGAGTTGATCAAAGTCTGTTTCCTTTGCCTTCTATGTGCACAGCTAGTCTACTTCCCTGATGTTAAATGAAATCATGGGACTCAGTTCTGGCCAATGGAATATGCGGGAATTAAAGTACAATGCTTCTATTTTTGACTCCTGCAAATGTCCTTGAGATCCTCCATGCTGTAGAGAATTCCCATGGCCTCAGAGATGGCAGAGCCACTAGATGGAAGAATCCTGGGTCCCTGAATAACCATGTGAGGCAGAGCCTCTGACATGCTTTGGGACATGACATGAGCAGGAAATAAGAATTAATTGTGTCAAATAACCTAGCAAACACATCTCTACTTTGTTGAGATTTTGGAATCACCTATTATCACAATTAGTCTACCTTGTCCAATGCAACCATTAAAGCTACTTGCAATGAAACAGATAGGATACTTGTTGGTTTTACCTATTACTCTCCAATTTTTTTCACCAAATAATCACAGAAGACTGATATGGTTTGGCTGTGTCCTCACTCAAACCTCAACTTCAATTGTATCTCCTAGAATTCCCACGTGTTGTGGGATGGACCTAGGGGGAGGTAATTGAATCATGGGGGCTGGTCTTTCCCATGCAGTTCTCGTGATAGTGAATAACAAGATCTGATGGGTTTATCAGGGATTTTCCCTTTTGCTTCTTCCTTATTCTGTCTTGCTGCTGCCATGTAAGAAGTGTCTTTCACCCTCCGCCATGATTATGAGACCTCCCCAGCCATGTGGAACTGTAAGTCAAATTAAACCTCCTTTTCTTCCCAGTCTCAGGTATGTCTTTATCAGCAGTGTGAAAATAAACTGATATAAAGACCTCTGTGGCTAAAACCCTACTTTTGACTGAGACTGAATTTTCTCTTATGGCCCACATTGTTCTTGTCTTCTGAAGTTAGTCAGTCACCAAGTATTACTGAGTGTCTAAACTCAGATCAACTACTTACTAGCTATGTGACCTTAAGCACGTTAGCTTGTTTGTGCCTCAGTTGCCTCATCTGTAAAATAGAAATAATAATAGTACTTACCTTGGGTTTTTGTGAAAATTAAGTAAATTAATCCATATATAGTGCTTAGCAGAGCAGCTGGCACACAGTAAGTGATGAGTAAATATATCATCATCATCAACATCATCATCATCACCATCATCAGTCCTTGGCACTATGAACAGCATTGAATGGGATATGCAAGATCTGGTCTTTCATGAGATGTCTGCTTATTTCAGGAGCCTTATTTTTGATCTTGCACTTGTTCAGCATAGTCTCTATTAAATACTTAATTTGAAGAGAAGGGTTTTGCCTCCCTCTAATCTACTCTAGAAAACACTGATTACAGTTGAAGATGTTCTCTGTTTAGCTAAGTGTTCTGAGTCAGTATCTGTGTTCCATTTAGAGGCTATGAGTGCGGTATTTGTTTGTACCCTGTGGCAATTGGAGTGGGAGGAATAGAGGGAGGTTAACATCCCTATTGGTGGAAGGAACTACTTTCTGCTCAGAGCCACTTCCTGCTTGGATTGACTTCCTTACAGCCACTTCCTACTTAGAATACTAAGATAAAAACAGCTGCCATTGTACCTACAGAAGTACACTTTCCTTCTTTTCCTGTCCCTATTCTCAAGGTACACTGCCTAGGCATCTCACTTCTGATGATGTACAGGCAACACTTGCAAAACCCAGGAGGTTTAGAATCCTTTCCCTTCTTTATTAACCTATGAGAACAGAGGCTGAACTTATACCAGCAATGGCCTCATCCAGCCCCAACACCATGCATTTAGATGCCTGATTTACCTGCATGCCTGAGTTAATGTCTTTCTGCCCATGCTGCTGGTGTGTGCTATCTCCTTATCACACACCCTTCAGTGATGCTAACTAGGCAGGCACACCCACTTGCCTTGGTATGTTTTATGGACGACCCAAGTTGCAAACATCAACATGTGTAAGACATATGCTCTCTTCTTTGTGTAATTTCAGGCACCAAAATATGCCTACACAGAGGGGTATGTGCATACAGACACACGCGTATTCTTTTTTTGCCTGGTAGAAATATACTTCTGTGATGTTCCTTCAACTCCCACACATGCCCCTCCATGGCTGGCACATCTCCTAATTATTTCCATCCACTCCCTCCCATAGACCTTTTGTGCGTATATTTTGGCACACATTCTCTTGGTTCCGCCTAGTTCCTTTCTCTCTTTCTTTCTCTACCTCCCTCCCTCTCCCTATCCCTCTTCACAGCTCTTAGGAAAATTTGTTAAACTATACACTCTTTATTATTAATGTACATTTATGAAAAATTCTGCACAGTTACAAAAGTGCATGGTTATAAAATCATCTCCATACAAAGGTTGGCATCTTCCCTCTAACCCCACCCCTCCCCAGCCCTCCCACCCCCAGACATTAGCACATTACAGGACAGTGCTTAGAAAAACTGAGAGCTCTGTGGATCCAGCTCTCCGCCCAGTGCTGTGACAAACACAATAGTGATTTACAAAAGACCTTGTGACGCCCTCACTTCCCTTTTGCCTCTTCCTGGGGTGGGGAAGCGCAGACAATTTTCTCTGGCTTTAGGAAGATGTCCTTTTGAGGAATGGGTTAAGATATATCTTTTTAGTCTTCTACTGCTGGAAAGGATGTCAGCACAGACACGTATAGGGGAAAATGGAAGCTGGAGGTCTTCCCCCATGGTTGAAGACAAACACCTGTCTTGATCTGTTCAAATTTCATACATGTCCCTCCTCGAAAGGAGCCATGAACCTCTGTAGCAACTCTGGAGACCTATTTCTGCAAAGTTCCCTGGGAATTCCTCTAGGAAGGGAGAAAAAGAGACGAGGGTTTGTCTGAGGGTGACCAGAGATAACTGGCCCAAAGTGATGTGATTCAGATATGAGGGCTCTTCTAAAAAGGAATTTTCTTGGCCCAAATCTTGACCAAACTAAACTTTGATATCCTCTGGCCTAGCATGGAGGAAGCTTCTGCAATGGGGACAAGTCTCTGAGGCGCAGGAGAGAGCAGAGGGAAGCAAGGAGAAGTCAGGTTCTCATTAGGATGCCTCTGCCACAGATTTTTCTCCTTCTTTATTTTTTGAGCATCCAGTCCTACCCTAAACCTGGTGGGATTCCATCTTAATCTATCAAGCAATGTAATATTAGATTGACGCAAAAGTAATTGGGATTTTTGCTATCATTTTTAATGGCAAAAACCGCAATTACTTTTGCACCAACCTATATATGCCTATTTAGGCATGCTTATTTATGCATATTTAGCCACTCAGCCTATGGCTGAGTGGACTATGTCAGAGAACTGAACCCAAGTTCTAGAGAGATCTGTCCCAAGTCAGCGGACAGCCAATATACAAGGAACCTCGCAGACAGACATACAGATGCAGAGATACCCCATCACATACATGTTAACCAGTTTGGACAATTTGAATGAAGCCTGTGGTCACCAGGGATATGGGAGCAATTCTAATCAGGATTGTTAGATTATCTCTAGAAGGTTGCTTCTGATAGCTTGGACAAGATGATGGCGGTGGGGGAGAAGCAGGGAATTCCTTGGCAGTAGGGAGGTTGAATACTTTCCTCATTGTGCTCTAGTAAACTGAGGAACTTCTAGCAGCAGGAGAAACATCTGTCCTTTAAAAGCCATGTATCCTGTTCAGAAAGGCTTGGCATTAATGGAGACCAAATTGTCCCACTAGAAAGGACATTGATGTCAAGGGGGCATTTGGTGTCTTTTCTGGTTCTAGTCCTATGCAAAAAAGCATATATCTTAAAATATATTAACTACATTTTGGCAAACAATAGTTCCTGGGAGGTTATTATAGTATTATGGTATGCCCCTATGGGAAACTTTTCTATTTTGTCAGGATTATAGTTTCTAAAAGTTCCTCTCCAAGTATTTAGGTTGCTGGCCTGGCTTGTAGAGAACAACTTGAGTTCACCATCCTTGGTCATCACAGAAGGAGAGAGCAGGGCACAGTTCTGCTTCGGATGTCACAGGGCCAGGGATTTGTCCCAGATGTTGTAAGAAAGATTCAGGGGACACAGGTTCAAGTACTTCAGGTCTAGCAAAGTTTCTGAAGACTCTTTTGGTTGACTAGCTCAGGGAAGCACGAGTGAGGGATGCCTTCCTGGAAGATGACTTATTAGCCTCCTTCATTCCTTTCAGGCTTTCCAGGAGGATGGGCTGATAGAATACCGCTGGAGCTTGGGGCAAGGGAGGTGTGGAAAGCCCCTGTTTTAATTCTCCTCCTGGCCAGACTTATCAGCATGTTGGACTGTGCCTTGATGTTCTTCTCCTAAACTGCAGAGGTTCTCACCTATAGCTTTCTTGCTCTCTTAGTATCTCTTGCAACACACGCAGCAGGGCTTGAGCAGGAGTGGTTAACACAGCTTCCTTTCTTGATTCCCAAAGATCTTACTTTTCACATGACTGCCACCATGGCCACCATTGCTGATGTTTTATCTACACATTGTAAAGCAGGAGTCTCCTATTCAGGTGTTACCTGTGTAGTCTCTGTTTCAGAGCCTGCAATTTGCCCTACCGTGAGCATAGTTCAATCTGTACAGCAGATGGGTTTGGCTGCCTTCTATTTAGCTTATCCACTAGCACATTCATGGATGCTGAATTCCAGGGCCCCACTACCCAGCCTTCTGAGGCATTCTCTTCCCCAAGCACTTGAGAAAGCACTGGAAAGAGAACTGTGTTAGGGTTGAGCCCCAACCTTGCCACATAGCAAGTCATATCCAACCTTGAGACTTTTTTCCCCATCTGTAAAACAGGATTACTGATGTTTGATTTACCTCCTGCACAGGGATGTGAAAAGTCAAGGAGAATGATGCAAAAATACTCATGAACTATCCGGTGCTGAACAAATAGAGGGAAGATAATGATGCTGCTGACGAAACTGATGAAGAAGACCACGATGATGATAATTGTGCTTTGCTCGTAAAGTTACTTGATTTTTGACTGACTGATTAGATGCAGTTTCCCTGAATGGAGCTGCCTACCGCCTTCCTTCTAGGGCTTATCCAGACAACCTTGGGTAAGTCACTCAACTCTCTACGATTAATTCATCTGTCAAATGGGGATAATAAAAACCACCAGGCAGTGTTGCTGTGAGAATTGAAAGAAGTGAGTCAATAGATATAAAAGTGCCCAGAGGAGTGCCTGGACCTTATGAGGAACTTTGTCAGCTCTAGTTGAATTTGAATTTATATAACTCTAGAGGGAATGGTGATGTTCCCCAACTTGGATGGGGCAGTAGAAAGAGCACAGACTTTATCTTGCTCATAGTGGCATGTGACTTTAACCTCTCTGAGCCTTAGTTGCCTCATCCGTAAAATGGGAACAACAGCGTTCACCTCAAAAGATTTGTGTGTGTGTGTGTCAAAGGGAATGGTTTGTGCAGAGAGCTTTTCAAAGTACCTGACACTGGCAAGGGCTTAGTATTTAATAGCTCTCTCACCCTCATGCTTAACGTGGGTAAGTTGCTTAGAAGAAAATGCAAAGCCTCATATGGTCATAACTGTGCTGCCTTTGTCCCCTTTTAGCTCTGGGTGCTGCCAGGCTGTGGGTCTGTGGCCCACAGTGCACTTTCCTGGTGAGACCCTGTGGCATGAGCACTGTGGCAAGAACAGTCACATGATTAGGATCCCAAGGTGCCAGGACTCTTGCTGCCCCAGTTGCTGGGCCTCCTGCCTCTCTCTTCTGAAGCAAAACTTGAGTGAGAGGCAGGAGCAAGGGCATTGAAAGTGTCCATCCTCAGCCTGCTGCCTGGGACCTCACCAACTGGTGACATTTGGTCATATGGGGGCAGTCACTGGGAGGTGGTCTCACCTGGTAGCTGCTGGTGGAAGGAGGCCAGGGGCTGTCATAGAGGTGTTCTTACTCCCTGTAGGCAGTGGCTGGCATTGCTGAGAGCTGACAGTTTTGGTGTCAGGAGGTGAGGGGTAGGTTTGAGTTCTGTGCCACACCCCCTCTATACAAGTAAGTGACCAGGAACTGTTCACTCTTCTCAACACAGCACACTATGCATATTCTGGCCTCTGCCATGTGCAGACACCCTTCTTTGCCTACCTGACAAAGTAGATATTTCCTGATGACCCAGTTCACAAATCACTCTAATCTTATAATTCTCATGGACATTGCTAGATACAGATGATGGCTCCTCCTCTGGGCCTCCATAATGACGTGCTCAGAGTCCTGACATATAGTCTTAAAGGGAATAGTTTTTGGATCTCTCTCCTTGACCAGAGGGAAGTGCCTTGAGGGCAGGGACTGAGTCAGTTCATCTGATGTTCCCAATTCCTAGCGTGCCGCCTGGCCCAAAGCAGATGCTCATACAAAATGAGTGTCCCCACCTTGCTTGAACCATGACTGAGGCAGCCAGGTCACCATGGAACCAGAGTGAGCAGTCAGGGAGGGCGTCTGGTGGCCAGCAGCTGTGGCGGTCAGCAGCATGGAGGGATGAGAGGCAGGCATGTCAGATCTCTTCCTCTTCACTGGCCTTGCTCCAGCGGTGGCAGCAGTTGGCAGTGATGCCCAGGAGGAAGTTGGTGGCCACAGAAGCAATGGAGACCACGAAGCCCACGAACGCAATGAATAGGTAATCATCCAGGGTCAGGGTCAGGTGGCAGGCCTTGAAGCTCTCCTCAGTGAGTGAGAAGAGCGGGGCGCCCTCGACTTCAGGAGGGCCCCGGCACTCAGCCAGCTGAGAATCTGTAACACAGAAGCCAGGGAGGGTGAGGTACCCAGGGAAGGAGAGGGGATTGGAAAGTCCACCCACAACCGCTTGCTGGAAAAAGTAAGAAAGACATTCATTGAAGTTCTTCCATGTGCCAAGAATTCTACTTAACTCCTTTAGTTCCCTCAACAACTCTCAAGACAAGGATTTTTATGCCTATTTCTATAGATGTGGAAAGTACTGTTTAAAGAGTTTAGCAATTTGCTGAAAGTCATCTGGCTGTGACCAGTGGTAGATCTGGGGACACCATCATCTCTTACAATAACCTCCCAACTGGTTTCTGGGCTTCAGAAGGTGTCTGTCCTCAGCCTGCAGGCTGGGACCTCACCAGCAGCTGACAAACGATTTTAATACAGTCAGCTGAGTGGTTCTTTCAAACCTGATGTCCTGCCACACCTTCTCTACTTAAACCCTTCCCTGGATTCCTGTCTTTGAATGGAGCAAAAACCAAGGTGCTCCCCTTGGGCTCCAGGGATTCTTTCCCATCTCTTCCACTCTGTTCCTTACTTACCCTGCTCTAGCCACACACACCTCCTGGTCATCCTTCCATGATCTCAGAGTGTCCCCTCTTGAAGCGGGGAAGGGATGCTTTTGCATTTGTCCCTTTGGGAGGGAACTTCTTCCCTCGATCTCTGCACAGCTCAGCTCCCCACTTCCTTTGGGACTTGGCTCAATGCCACATTATTAGTGAGGCCTTTCCTTAAGACTCTGAATAAAATAGCACCCCACTTCACCTCCCCCTGGGCTCCCTATCTTCCCTGCTCTGCTGTGTTTTTCTATGTAGTGTTGATCACTGCCTGAAAGTTTATTGGTTTATTTTCTGTCTTCTCCCCTTTCAATATAAGCCCCTCCCATGGTATCTTTAGCATGAGAACAGTGTCTTGTCCATAGTAAGTGCTTGACGAATCTTTACAACATGAATATAAGAGTCTGTCCAACTCCAAATCACTGGGCCTTTCCACTACTTATGTTGCATTTCCAGATACACAGGGTATAGAGTTAAGAGTATGGGTTCCAGAGCTATTGGCCTAGTTTCAAATCCCCTCTTCACCCCTTGCTAGTTGCATGATTACAGGTAAGATATTTAATCTCTCTGTGTCTTGACTTCTTCATCTGTCAAATGAGGATAATAACAGTATCTACTTCTCAGGGTTGTAGTGAGGATTCAGTGAGTTAACGTACACGAATTATATGCTACATATTAATGTAATATATAATATATAACATATATTATATTTCAATTATATGAATTATTATATTGGTTGTTTTTCCTAGAGAGGCCATTGGGGGTCATATTCTGCACTCAAGCTTCTGTAGGAGGGGGCTGCTTTTTCTGGTGGGGTTATTGTTATTTTCAGCATTGATGGTCTCATCTCATTCTTCTGGGGTCACTTTTATGAATGCATGATGGCTGTCAACGGTCTTATCTCACTCTGCCTGGGAAGTAAAGGTAGTGTGCATGTGACACTCTTGCCATGCAGCTTTAGGCACCAGCTTTTGAGCAGCCAATCATTCCTTTGTTTAGTGGATAAATATTAATCAAGCTCTTACCTTGGGTAAGTCTTTTTTTTTGGTCTTTCTGGCTCTCATGCTCTGCCTGTATAATAAGGGGCCTCTATAAGAAGGGGATAACCCAGCCAGACACAGTGGCTCATGCCTGTAATCCCAGCATTTTGGGAAGCCAAGGCGGGTGGAGGTGGATCATGAGGTCAAGAGATTGAGACCATCCTGGCCAACAAGGTGAAACCCCATCTCTACTAAAAATACAAAAATTAGCTGGGTGTGGTGGTGCGCACCTGTAGTCTCAGCTACTCGGGAGGCTGAGGCAGGAGAATTGCTTGAACCTGGGAGGTGGAGGTTGCAGTGAGCTGAGATTGCACCACTGCACTTCAGCCTGGGTGACAGAGCGAGACTCTGTCTCAAAAAAAAAAAAAAAAAAAAAAAAAAAAGAAAAGAAAAGAAAAGAAGGGGATAATCCAATCTAAATTTTCTGAGAGTCAGTATGAAGACATTTTCTAAATTATGTGTTGTATAAATGCATAAATGCTATGTATTCATTCTGCAGTTTTTGAGGGCAAGGAATCAAATGATGGATTTGGATTGAACCTTTCAAGAATTGAATCAGCATCAATATCCTTGGAAATGGGGAGTCAGGTTTGGAAGGAGAACCCAACCTTCCCCAAATCCCAGGTTGAGCAATTCCTGTAGGCTGTGAGCACAGGACCCCCGTCCTGCCCAGGCCAGGATCCTCTCTGGGCTTGACTCGCGTGAGCTCTCCTCTGGAAACCTGAAGATGCTGAACTCTAAAGTCTATTAGGTAGATGAAGTGGGTACTGGTGAGACAGTGAGATGGGGAATGTGGCAACCCTCATATGGACCAGCCAGAGGAGCCCCTGACAGCCCTTGGTGGGACCACACAGGATGCAGGGTGGGAACGTGGAGGCTGACAAAACCCCCTGGTAAGTCAAGGCACCAGTCCTAAAGTCATGCTGTATCCCAGGGGCTTGCTTATTATGGCCCTCTTTGTTCAATTTTTCCAAAAACCATGGATAACAGTGGAGTTCCGCAAAGAAAAAGGGAGGAAGCAGCTGAAAAGGACCTAAAGGGAAGAGCATCACCTAGTTCTGCCTCCACTGGCAAGGTTTTGTCCCTAAGGAGAAGCACCCTGGTGCGTGTGGCCTGGTGTTAAGTGTGTTCTGTGGAGGAACAGGGAACCTGGCTTTCCAGCTGGGACTGCTTGCTTCCTCATCATGGGCCTGTGGACAGTCACTGTCCCCTTCTGGAGCTCAGGTTCCTCACCTGTACTGATGTATGTGTGAGCCTACACTGATGAAATCTTGGACCCCTCTCCTGCTCGCTGGGAGTCTGAGCTTCTTCAGAGCAGCAGGGACCTCAGAGATCACAGAAAAGGAGTCCCTGGGTGTAATGTAAGCTTAGTGCTTTGGGTGCCCTTTCTGTTATTAGTGCACAGGAGAGAGAGGGAAGGCGCGCCTGCCAAGTTTGAGCAAGTTGAGAGATTGCTCCAGGCATCCTCCCACTCCTGCCCTCCACCATCGCCCCATCCCAGTCCCCAGCTATTTTGATGCAAGAGAATTTCCTCCTACAGCTCTGTGGAAACACTGGAATCGTGACCCACAGCCCTCCCCAAACTATTTTGGTCTTGGGCTCCCCACTCAGTCCTCCTCTCCCTTTTACCACATTCAGCATTGCTTCTTCTCAACATGGGCTGAGCTCAGGTTCTGGGAAAGCCCCTTGGATAGGGCCTTCAGCTACTACTTCTGGGTTCTTGTGCCAAGTCTTGGTGTTGTCACACAGGAGAGCTGGTGGCTAGGGCCACAGCTGAACATTGCCTGCCTCTGGGTCAGGCTCAGATGCCACTGGGTTGGGATGCCCATCAAACCTATGTGATTTGGGCTTCTTCAGGCCCCAGTCCACCCTCCAGTTGGGATTGGCTGGTTGAGTTGCCGCATCTCAGTCTTCCTTTCAGCTCCCTACCCTGTGCCCAAAGTTTACACTGCTCAGGGCCTTGAGTTTGAGGAAAGCCAGGTTCTCGTAGCTGAGATCCAGGTCTTGGAGCTGCATGAGGTCCTGGAACTCTACTGCAGCCCTTTGGCCAGTCCAGGACTCAGGTTCTGACTCTTCCGGCAGGCCAGAACCTGACTCTTCAGGATATAGTCAGGGAGATTGCCAGGACTCAAATCCTGGCTTCAACACTTAGCAGCTGTGTAACTTCCAACAAGCTACTGAACCTCTCTGTGCCTCAGCTTCCTCCTCTGTAGAGTGGCAATCTCATTAGTGTTCTTCTGGGGATAGGAAGAGATAGGTAAAGCTGCTTAAGAGAGGGCCTGGTAAATAGCAAGTACTAAGGTCTCAAGTTCCTCCTGGAACATATTGGCTGTCACGCAACTTAAGCTATTGCAGCTCTGTTGAGATTGTGTTAGTCATTACTATTTATACGAGAGTTTCCAACACTTGGAATGCTAAAAAAGCATTCTGGTAGATTAGAACAGGGCTTAGAAGTCAGATAAATCTAGGTTTTATTCATGGTCCTGCCACTTTTTAATTTTTTAATTTGTATTTTTTTCATGGCCCTGCCACTTTCTAAGTGTGTGATTCCTGTCAAGCCTTTTTATTGTTCTAAATCTCAGTTTCTTCACCTGGAAAATGGGTATAATAAAAATGGGGGTCTCATGAGATAATGGATGCCAAGATCTTAGGTCATGGTGAAAGCTCAATAAAAACCACCAACCATAGGCTATTCTCACTTGTCTACTATCCGTCTGCCTCATTAGGTCATGAGCAGCGCAGTGGTGAGGGACATCTATTTAATGAATGAATGGGCCCTCGGTGCCTCACATGCACTGGAAGGATTCTACAAACAACCTGTTGGCCGAGCTGGTGTACAAAGAGGCAAGCCCACATTAGAAAATGCAGTAGGTGCTTTCTGGCTCTAAGTTCCCCCGCTTTCTTTGGAGCCTTTGCTTCCCATTGAGGCAAGCCCTCCCTGTTGACTGCCCCGTTCTGCCCCTCTATTACCTGCTGTACAGCGCTGGATCCGGTTTCGCAGCCACTTCAGCAGGGGTTCCATGGTGCAGCCACACACCCAGGGATTGCCACCGATCTGCAGGGTCACCAGCCCCGGTAGGCCCTCAAGAGCCTCCAGGCTGAGGAAGGCCAGGCCCCCATAACTGAGGTCCAGGTCTCGGAGCTGCATGAGGCCCTGAAAGGCCTGGGGATGCACCCTCCGCAGCCAGGGGTTGTGGCTCAGGTCGATGTGGACTAGCCCATGGGCCTCCTGGAACATGTCGGCTGGCACATGGCTGAAATTGTTGTAGCTCAGGTCCAAGTGTGCCAAGCGCTTGGCATGGAGGAAGAGGCCCCGGGGCAGCTCCATTAAGGAGTTGTTGTGCAAATCCAGCACCTGGAGCTCCATGTAGCATGTGAGGTAGCCAGGCGGCACTGCTGTGATGCGGTTGTGGGCCAGGCTGAGGTTTCGGGTGTCCATTGGCAGGTCTGGGGGCACGGAGAATAGCCGCTGGCTGCTACAATCCACCACCTGGTTACGGCATGTGCAAAGGACGGGGCAGCTGGTGCCGGCATCCGAGTGCATCAACCCGGCTGCCAAGAGGAGGGAGATCAGCAGCATTGCTGGGTGGGGTGGCCCGGGCCAGGGAAGCTGGGCCCAAGTGTCACCCATCTTAGGCAGCAGGCAACAGCAGTGCTGGAGGGAGCCCATGAGGACTGTGTCCATGGAATCGAGAGTCTGTGACACAGGAAGGCAGCTACATCTGGGGCCAGCGTCTGTGAAGGTGGGGCTTCTGAGCATGTGGTATCATGGCTAGGGACTTTCCCAGGAGCCTCTGAGCACCAGAGGGCTTCCTGAGATCCACGGGAGGTCCCCTTCCGGAGCCTAGGGGGCAAGACACCCAGTTGAGGTCCCCTAGGGTCTGGAATGATGATCAAAACCTGAGAAAGGGAGGGGACAAGAATGGGGCTAGGTCAGCTGCCAGCAAGTCCTGGAAGAGTTCCTGCAGATCTTTTGTGTCTCTCTCACCCATGCCTGCTGGATGTTTCCTCTTGGTGCTGTGTCTGGGAGGGAGGGGCTGAAGGAGATGAAACGTGCCCTTTAAAGATCCTTGGCACTTCTTCTGAGAAAACTTAAGTCCTGTCCCACGTCTGGGACTGATTAGGAAGCCGGGGCTGCACCTGGGTCTTCAGTGTTGAAGGTCTCAGAGGCCATTTGTCCTGGTGGCCTGGTGGGCTGGAGTCCAAGGGGGTCCCAGGGTGGGTGTTTTGGGAAAAGGGCCCGGGAGGAAGTGAGTCTCCATGGGCCTCCTAAAAGCCTGAGAGTCCTCAGCCTCAGTGGCTGCTGGAATCCCCAGGAAGCCTCTTTTTTTCCCAAAGAGAGGAGGACCCCAGGTGATGCCCACTGTCTGGGCCTCTGGGGCCAGAAGAAGTCATGAGTCCTGAAGGTGCAGGCTGAGTGTCAGCTGGCAGAGCTCTGGCATCTTCTCCAAGCCAGTGCCTTCCTCAGCGCAGTTCTGTGTTCAGCAGGTGGAGGCCAAATTCCCTCTGTCAACAAGGAAAGCACTCAGGCAGAGAAATCCTGTGCCCTTGACACTCCCTTGTCCCTTCACCTAGGACGCTTGGCTTATCTTTGTCTCTTTCCTTTGCTCCCCCAACCACAAAGTTCTCTGCTTACTGTCTGTCAGGTGTGGGCCATGGTAGGTTCAGACCCCAGGCTCACATTGCTGTTACCCACGAGCCCTCCCTGACCCAACCTGCAGCCATCCTCCTCTGGGTTCCTGTCTTGGGTTAGATGCATTTTCTTCTTCTTCTCATAACCCCACCCTCATTAGTACCAAACACGCCACCCTTGAACAACTCCCTAAGAAAAATCTGCATCCACACTCTGGGGGTTTGCACACCCCTTTCAAACACTCTAAGCACTCCTCTCTCTCTCACACGCACACACACACACTCACTCACACACCATTCTGTGACTCCCCCGTATTTTGCCCTGCCCCGTGCTCACGCCTCGCGGTTTTCGCTCCAGCTTCCTTCTGCACAGGCGATTCTGCAGACCCCTCCCCAGTCGACCCCCAGCATCTTTCGCCCCCCTCTCAGCGCACACCCTTCATCCCAGCATCCCTTTCCACACACTGCACTCTCCTCGCCGCCCCCAGCAGAGGGACCGAGAGTGATGCCACGCCCAGAGCCTCAGCCCTCGCGCCCCGCGCCCTCTCGCTTCTCCCTTGCCCACCTGCTGTCCTCGGTCCTCCCCTCACCCTCGGCCTGGCGCTGCCTATTTTCCTACCGCTTCAAGCCTCAATCCCGCCCACCTGGAAATCACCCCAGCTCCCCTTCATGCAGACTCATTTTTCTAAGCCCCAGGTCTCCCCCTCGCACTCCCACAGGCCCCAGGAGCCTACTCACTCCGTTCCAAGGACACAGCCATCAATCTGCGGCAGACGCGGGTCTCCCTCCCTCCTCCTGGAATCCCCGCTTGCTCCTTGCTTGCTTCAGAACAGATTGCCTCCCAGGCTGTTCCCCTCCCCCGGCCTCTCCTCCTCCTTGTCTCCCGGATCCCAGGCCAGCATCTTCTATGATTTCCCGTCCTGCGGTCCCCCTGCCCCTTCTTTCACCCAAAGGG
Source organism: Homo sapiens (assembly GCF_000001405.40). Lineage (NCBI taxonomy): Eukaryota > Metazoa > Chordata > Mammalia > Primates > Hominidae > Homo > Homo sapiens. The sequence continues at coordinate 57,180,066 of NC_000011.10, read as the reverse complement.
AAATCACAGAGACAGGATGCTCGGAAGAAAGTTCACAGAATCTGAATGCTTCTTTCTGAAACTCAGCTGGTGCCCAGGCTGCTGGGGTATAAGGCTTCCGCCAGAGCCAGGTCTTCCCCCTCCCTCCCCCCTTCCCACCCTCTCTCTCTCCCTCCCTCCATCCCTCCCCCAGTTCTCTCCCTTTTTCACTCCCCTTTTTTTTCCTCGAGGGCCAGGTACTGACGTTTCGCTGTCTCTTAGCAACTGCCTCCACATTTTTGAGCAACAGGAGAACTGGCTGTGGACCCCACCACAAAGAGAGAGGAGAGAAGGAAGCACAGGGCAAAATTCACAGCCGCCCACAGGATCCTGGGGATAGAGCGAGGAGAAGAGGGGGAGACAAGGGTGGGCAACTGGACAGGGGCAGAGAAAGAGGATCAGGCAGGGCCCAGTGGGAGAGGTCGTAGTAGGGGCAAGGTGTGGACCTGGAATCGGAGACAGAGGAGGGATGGCTTAAGGGCATCAGATCCAGAAGAAAAAACTAAGAGGGCTTGCAATGAATGGAGAAAGGGACTTAGTGGGGGATGGGGCGAGTGAAGAATGGGGACATTGAAAACATGAATAGGAATGGAAACAAAAAAGGGATGTGAATATGATAAGTTTGCTCACTTGATGGGATATATCTTTGTAGTCACCATATAATATCTACTTACCTGGGTTGGAAGGTATTTTGGGCTCCAGCTACCAGGTGATTGGCTCAGGGCTTGTTAGGGACCATTATTGCAGGAAAGACCTTTTATATGTTCCCTGATTGTCCCTAAGTCCTGACCCCATGGGCTTTCTGGGGCTAGGAGGCTTGGCTGGAGTAGACCAATTTCCCCTTGGCTTGGGATATGAGAACTTTTGGGGTCCAAAAGGCCAACTACTTGGCCAGGTGGGGGCACCTGGGGCTCTACAGACACTTGGGTCTGTTAAGGGGAAAGGAAGCTTGTGATCCTTTCTTCTTTCTCCAGGCCTAAGGGATTCTGTCTGTTGTCTTGTTCCCATGCTTCCAAGCTTCCTTGGAGTGACTTCAGATGAGGATGAAATTTGTGCAATACCTGTTTTCTTGCTCACCCATTAAACAAGTCTCTAGCTGTCCTGCATTTTAAAAATTGTCTTGACCGGTTGGTTTGCTCAAAGAGCTGACTTATTTCTTTGCTTAATAAATATTTATTGAGCATTCACTGTATGCTGGGTACTTGGCCAGATGGTGGGCGACAAGATGGACATAGACTCCTCCCTCATGGAGCTGCTTCATTTGGTTGACCTGGGGCCTCTCGCATTTAAGTAAGAGCTTAGGTCTTTGGGGGATCCAAAATGGAGTAATAGAAAATAACAAGTGTGAAGTTATACAGATTCTGGGCATTTATAAAGTTCTTAAAATCATGGTTGTTGTCTTCTCTAACATGATTCTTTTTGCTATATGCTTGTAGAAAGTCAGTTCCCTTCTGTGTTCTCTCAGATGCTCATTTTGAATCTTTCATGTTCTACAGTCTCTGGCACAGAGTAACATGGCAGCCACTCCATAAATATTTGTATATTGAGTTGACTGAGGTAAATGAGATTTCACTCCCTGCTTAAAAAAAGGAATGTTTGTTTAATCTCACTTATGAGTTTAGAAGTAAAATATTAATCTTAACCCAGAAAACGCAACACAATGAAACAAGTAATCTATTCTAACTGAGGACTGTTGGCCTCCGGAAAGTAAAGCTAGCATCCTATGGAAAAATGGTAGAAAACATAATTATCTGAATGGAGGCTAAAAAAGCTATCCAGCATAGTTCAATATTTAGTGTTGACTAAAGGTAACTCATGAAGATTTTCTTTCTTTACATGATACGAAGTTTATATTTAAAATTAGAATTAATAATATAACTAAAGGAAAACATTAGTTACTGTGTTCCTTAAAAAATAGGATCTAGGTAAGATGCCTCATCACCGTTTGAAACTCAGTTTTCTGACCTTTGAAGTAGGGATAATGACGCCTAAGTCACAGGGTTGCTAGATATATGAGCCATTATAAATAAAGCACTTAGAACACTGTACAGATGGCTTTGTCAAATGAACAAATAAAACAAAGTAAAATAAACAAACAGCAGAATATAAAATCTCTAAAACAGTTATGGAGAAAGAAAAACAAATAAATTGCTCAAAAAGTAAGAAGTTAAGAAAGGAAAATATTACATTTGCAGATGATTTGAATGTATTCCTGTGCAAATGAGTTGCAAAACCTTCAGAAACCCCTAATTCAAGAACATTGTCATTGCATATATCTTCTGTAGAAGTGAGGTTCAATGAGACAGAAATATTTTACGTGACTTTATACCACCTTTAATCATTTTACAAATCATTATGGGTTTCTATGAATCCCAAATTGGCGTCCCAAGGTACACTGTGTGCCATGAGGTTCTTAAATAAGTTTGAGAAACACTGAGTTAAACAAAATGAAATGAGTTTATTTACTGTAAGATTTCTCAGAGGCTTTAATGTGTAAATGGTTAGGGCCAGTCCACAAGTTAATGCGTAAATGGTTAGGGCCAGTCCACAAGTGACGGCATTGGGGAATGAGGAATATATAATATCCAGCATTTCCTAAACTTTTTTGGGATCTGTAATTTTCTTTTATCTTCTGCTCTCCCTCCTCTACTGCCTTTCTCTCTCCCCTTCCTCTCCTATTCTCACCTTTTACCTCCTCTTCCTTCTTTTTGTCAGAACTGTTAATATTGGGAATAGTTTTTTGTGAGCATGGTTTGGGAAATATGGAGCTGAAATTTATTATAGACTATCTCTTGCTTAAGTATCTTTAGTAATAGCAGGTGGCTTCCATAGAGGTCATTTTATTTTTTTTTACACAAAGAAATGTGTATCACTTTATGAGAGTTACTAGATATGTAGATAATAAAATTCAATGAATTCATTAAATGAATTCATGTTGAGACACCCATACTGGGTGGTTGGCTGTTTCCCTTCACAAAATGACTTTTTCCTGCACAGCATTCTTGCAGTAGGAGTGATTCTATTTTGAACCCCAGCAAAATGATAAATGATTATGTGTCACGGCCTTTTGGGGTCTCTTGCAAGTTATTGAAACTGTGATTGTTCAATCCATGATTGTCAAGGATTTACTCTACTGGGAAAATACACAGAAATCAATCAAAGAGTTGCACAAATGAAATGAGTTGAAAAATAATTTTCATTACTATGATTTCCTGAATACGTGCTAAATTAGCTGTAACAATGGCAGGAAATCTTTAAATACATGAGAATTAATTTAATCTACCACATAAGAAATTCATTCAAGGAAAATAATGAAACCTTAATAGAATGAAGATGGAGGAAGAAATGGAAAAAGGTAATCTCTCTAGTTGCTGGGAAAGTATAAAAATAACAAAGATGATTCTGCTTTCTTCAGTATCGTAGCTTAAAGTGTCTGAATCAGAATCTGGTGAACTGGTAATGAAAACCATTTGGGAGAAAAACTGGCAAGAATGCACAGATCATGTTAATAAGATGATGGTGATGATGATGATGACAGGAAATGCTTCAAAGTAAAGATGATGGACTCATTTAACTAAAAGATTAAAAAAAATTTTGCAAACTAAAAACCACTTGATGACCTTACTAAATATTTGTGCATTCTATTCACAATAGCAAAGACATAAAATCAACCTAAATGCCCATCAATGATAGACTGGATAAAGAAAATATGGTACATATTTACTATGGAATACTATGAAGTCACAAAAAAAAGAGTAAGATTATGTCCTTTGCAGGGACATGGATGGAGCTGGAGGCCATTATGCTTAGCAAACCAATGCAGGAACAGAAAACCAAATACTGCATGTTCCCACTTATAAGTGGGAGCTAAGTGATGAGAACACATGGACATATAGAGGGGAACAGCACACACTGGAGTCTATAGGAGAGTGGAGGTGGGAAGGAGGGAGAGGATCAGGAAAAATAACTAATGGGTACTAGACTTAATACCTGGGTAATAAAATAATCTGTACAACAAACTCCCATGACACAAGTTTACCTAAGTAACAAACTTGCACTGTATCCCTGAACTTAAAAGTTAAAAAACATTTGTTCTTTGAAAAATGACCATAGACGAGACTATAGTTTCTGGAAGTGGTTCTCACTATCACAATACAGAGTATGAAAAATGGGAAAGTACAAAAATGTTGGAATCAACCTCAAAGCAAGAAATGGTCTTGAGACATTAGCTCCATACTTCATTTTTTTGCTCTGAAAAAAATTCAAATGGTCCAAAGGAAAAACAAGCAATAAAAAAATACAAGTCAGGAAGAGAACAGAATAGCACATTTATCTTAGCTGTGGAGAGAAGATATCTTTCTGTGTGTGCAGGAAATGGACAATGTCATTTTTCAAACATATGACTTAAAAGATAATGGGGTTTTGCTGAGCAAAAAATGATAAAACAAAATCAGAGAGAAAAGAAAGACAGTCAATGGAAATATAAATTTTACATGAAAATCATTTGACCCAATACATGGAAAATATATTAAGAATTGCTACAAATACAGTTCTTATAAATTGCTATAATACACAAATTACTCCAATACAGATACAGAAAGTATAACATTGTGGTAGGTAAGATTCTAAGATGGCCCTTGTGGTAGATAGAATAGTGGGCCCCCAAAATATCCATTTTCTAATCCTCAAAACCCAGGAAAATGTCGTCTTAAGGGACATGAGATGGGAAGATTATCCTAGATTGTGCAGGTGGGTCCAATGTAATCACAGGGATCCTTAGAAAGGAAAGAGGGAGGTAGGAGAGTCAGAGAAGGAGAGGTAAGGATGGAAGAAGAGGTTGAAGGTGTTACACTGCTAGCTTTGGAGATGGAGGAAGGAACCATTAGTCAAGGAAGGCAGGCAGCCTCTAGAAGCTAGATAAAACGAAGAAACAGATTCTATCCTAGAGCCTCCAGAAGGAATTCATCCCTGGTGACCCATTTTAGGCTTCTGGCCTCCAGAGAAATGAGTTAATCAGTGGGTGTGGCTGTAAGCCACTATGTTTGTGGTGATTTGCTATAGCGGCAATAGGAAACCAGTATAGCCCTCAAGCTGACCACTTCCTGGTTGAATCTGTGAATACAATGGGATAAAACGCCTATGATTAGGTTAGTTCACGTTAATCGAAAGGCAGGCTATCTAGGTGGGCCTTACCTAATCAGGTGAGCCATTAAAAGTTCCCCGCCCTTCCTGAAAGGGTATTTGACTCCAGGGATATTCTCCATTGCTAGCTCTGAGAATAGAGGGGAACATGTGGGAAGAACTTGAGAGTGGACTCCAGTTGCTATGATTGATCACTGCCAACAGTCAGCAAGAAAATGGGAACCTCAATTCTACACCCACAAGGAGCTGAATTCTGCCAACAACTTGAACACGTTCGGAAGATGATTAAGCCCAAGCTCCAGGTGAGAATGCAGCAGGCCAGCCAGTACCTTGATTACAGCCTTGTGATTCCCCGAGTATCAAACCCAGCTATGCTGTACCAGGACTTCTGATCCCCAGAGGTATGAGCTAATCAATGGGCATTGTTTTAAGCCACTAAGTTTGTGGTAATTTGTGATGCAGCAATAGAAAAGTAACATAAATGTCATGTGGAAAGATGCATGGTCTGGCTAAAAATTAAAGACATAAACATAAAAACCATTTAGTGATAATACGTTAAACTAGTAACAATAAATCCACCTGTAAAACTACATGTGCTGGCTTTGGGGGAATGAGATGCATGTACCTTTTTGAGGGGCACTGGGAATTGGCTCAGACCCACTTAAGAAATTGCTTATACCTTTGACTCGGCAATTAGTAAGAAATTAGTTCGTTCAAAAATATTCATAGAAGGAACATTTATGATAAAGAAAAAGATGGAAGTAATGTGAATGTCCAGTGTTCAGCAACAGAGGGTGCTAAGAAAGCATCTTATAATGAAAAGAAACACCAAATAGAACAGTATTAATTGTGGCATCCTGATGGGTGATATTGTTGCCTGGACAGCATGCACAATCATGTTAATGGAATAAAGCAGAGCGAAAATTAACTAATACTTCACCACTCACTGGCTGTGTGCCCTTAGGCTAATGACCTAACCTCACTGTGCTCAATTTCCTCATATCTAAAATGGGCATGATTTTAGGATGCACCTCACAGGGCCGTGGAGAGATTTCAAAGAGGCAATCCATGTAGAACCTGGCATAGTCCTTGGTCCTTTATAGAATCTCAAGGAATTGGCCATTACTATAACAATTATGAGTAGTATCATTATATGAAAAGGAAATGGGGCTGGGCGCAGTGCCTCACACCTGTAATCCTGGCACTTTGGGAGACCAATTTGGGAGGACTGCTTGAAGCCAGGAGTTTGAAACCAGCCCGGACAACATAACGAGACTCTATCTCTATAAAAAAATAAAAAAATCAGCCTGGCATGGTGGCATGCACCTGTGGGCTCATCTACTCGGGAGGCTGAGGCAGGAGGATCACTTGAACCCAGGAGACTGAGGCTGCAGTGAGCTATAACTTAATTGCTGCACTCCAGCCTGGGCAACAGAGTGAGTTTCTGGCTCTAAACAAAAAAGTAAAAAAAAAAAAAAAAGAAAAGAAAAAAGAAAATGAGTTGGATGACTTCCGTTCCTGACGCTAAAATCTCTTGATTCAACCTGGGAGGCAATATTATATGATAGGAGGCTATGTAGCATAGTGTTAGGAATAAAAGCTTTGGTGTAATTAATAATAATAATAATAATAATAATAATAATACCTGACTCATGGTTATTAATGAAATGACTCATGTAAAATGTGTAGCATAGTATCTGTCAACTCTCAACAAACCATAACTATGACTATTATTTTATTATTTTGGTAGGGAGTTGGTGGAGGTGAATATGGAGCCACACCTCAAATAACAGCACTTAGTCTTTAGATAACAATTGCAGCCTATCCTTTTACTTGTGACCAGTTCGCATGTCCTTTCTGCTTCTTGTTTTCTGCATCCTTGGTCCAGTTTTTGAGCTTTTATGATATATTCTTCATGCTCCTGCCTTAGTGATCCTCCACATCATCCCTTTGTAATTTGATGTTGACGTGATTCAACATCTGCATGATTCCTGACCACCACGGAGGTGTGTGTGTGTGCATGCATGCCTGTGTGTTCCCGAGTGTGTGCATACATGGGTATGTGCATGCACGCACAGTATGTGTGCATGTGTGCATGTGTGTGTTTGTAGAAGGGGGGATGTGGTTAACTTGGAAGCATAAACAGTAAAATCTAATGATTATCTGTTGCCAGACAACATGCATTCATACATAATGTGAATGGTAGGTGGCTCCAGTCCTGTGACCACCTCCCTGGCAGGGAGAACAACCTCGAGTGGAGGCAAGGCTAGATGGGAAAAGAAGGGTGAGTGGAGCGTAGCTCCTCTTGTCACCCAGTACTCTCTTGGCCAAATCTTTCCTGGAGTCATTGCCACTGTCCTGCAAGCCTAAGGCAGCTATAAGGCTTAGAATTGTCCCCACCAATATACAACCTGAGTTGCCAAGTGCTTATTAAATGTATTTTCCTGAAAAGTTAATGGGAGAACATAATAAAATTTGTTAGGAACTGCAACTCCCTGCCCCTCTTCTCTCGCTTCTGTCAGGAATTCTCAAGGTAATTGTCTGTTTACCTGTCTGTTTCCATTGTTAGGCTGTCAGCATCTTGTGGGCAGGTACAGGTATTTTGTTTGAATCTTTTTCTCCAGTGTCTAGCATATAATAACCACAGAAACTTCACAAATATTTGCTGCATGAATGAGTCAATTCTTGAGCATCAGGTCAGCAGTACCTGCTCATGGGTTCTCTTGGCTGAAAGCCCATAAAACCTCTCTGGCTGAGGCAGGCTGGTTAAATGTCTATCTCGGGACACTGCTGTTGACCACTCTTGATAATGGAAAGAGAGGCTTCTGGGGGTTGCTAGACGAAATAGAAGTGGATATAAAGGGATGAACTAAAAGATCAAAATTAACACTCAATGATAAGAAGTAGAAGTAGCAGATGCTGTTGCTTTGAGGTCCTATTGAGAGAGATCAATTTTACTATAGTAGGAGAGAGAATGGGGCCATAGGGGGACTCTTCATTAGCTGACCAGAAAAGACCACCATGGGAGTGGACAGGAACCAATATATGCTGAATAGATATAATGTACAGAGGGTACAGAGAGGGTGACCGGCTGAAATTCATCCACTTATTTAACACACATTTATTCAACACCTACTATATATCAGACCCAGGTTTGATCTACCTGTACAGCATATATCCCTGCACAGCTTATGAGGCAGACGTCCACTCTGAATGGTCAGTGTCCATGATGCTTGGTTGTTAAATATTTAACTATGCCTTCTGTTAGCAGTGAACAAAAGGTCCCTACTCTCTTGGTGCTCAGTTTTTGGTCAGAGGGGATAGATGATAAGTACAAACACAAACAAATATATGACAGGTGATGATAAATGCTGTGAAGAAAACCAAATCAGGGTACAGGGACAGAGGTTAAATAATTTGCCTGAGACTTCACAGCAAATAAGAGGTGGAACTAGGACTTGATGAATTTGAAAGCTGACTCTAGTCACATCTGAAGAGGGGCTGTGGGAGCAGCTGGTCACAAACCTCACTGTAGTCCTACCTGAGCAAATGTCAGAAAGAGAGATCTTTTCATAAGCGATCATCAAATATTTATTGAGCCCCTAGCTGTATCAGGCAACTTGCTAAGCACTGGAGATACAGCAGCCGACAAACCAGAAAAGATCCATGCTCAGGGAGGGGTGAAGCAGAGGAGATGAATCTTAAATCATTGAAAAATAAAAAGAGATAAAAAGTGTTTCAAAAGAAGACAGAATGGTACAGGGAGATAAAAAGCAGAGCTATCCTAAGGAAAATGAAAGCCAGCTTGTAAAAGACTTACCTGCATTCCCATGTTTATTGCAGCATTATTCATAATAGCCAAGATATGAAATCAACCTAAGTGTCCATTGATGGATGAGTAGATGTAAGAAGTGCCTTTTGCCTCCCACCGTGATTCTGAGGCCTCCCCAGCCGTGTGGATCAGTAAGTCCAATTAAACCTCTTTTTGTTCCCAGTTTCAGGTATGTCTTTATCAGCAGCAAGAAAACAGACTAATACAGTAAATCAGTACCAGTAGAGTTGGGCATAGCTCAAAAAATACCTGAAAATGTGGAAGTAACTTTGAAACTGGGTAACAGGCAGAGGTTGGAACAGTTTGGAGGGCTCAGAAGAAGACAGAAAAATGCAGGACAGTTTGGAACCTCCTAGAAACTTGTTGAATGGCTTTGGCAAAAATGCTGATACTGTTATGAACAATAAGGTCCAGGCTGAGGTGGTCTCAGATGGAGATGAGGAACTTGTTGGGAACTGGAGCAAGGGTGACTCTTGTTATGTTTTAGCAAAGGGATTGGCGACATTTTGCCCCTGCCCTAGAGATCTGTGGAACTTTGAACTTGAGAGAGATGATTTAGGGTATCTGGCAGAAGAAATTTCTTTTCCTTTTTTTTCTTTTTTCTTTTTTTTTTTTTTTGAGATGGAGTGTTGCTCTGTTGCCCGAGCTGGAGTGCAGTGGTGCAATCTTGGCTCACTGCAACCTCTGCCTCCTGGGCTCAAGTGATTCTCCTGCTTCAGCCTCCCAAGTAGCTGGGATTACCACCACATGTGCACCACATGCCTGGCTAATTTTTGTATTTTTAGTGGAGACAGTGTTTCACCGTGTTGTCCAGGCTGGTCTCAAACTCCTGACCTCAAGTGATGCACCTGGTGGAAGAAATTTCTAAGCAGCAAAACATTCAAAATGTGACTTGGGTGCTATTAAAAGCTTCCATTTAAATAGGGAAACAGAGAGTAAAAGTTCAGAAAATTTGTAACCTGATGATGCAATAGAAAAGAAAAACCCATTTTTTGAGAAATTCAAGCCAGCTGCAGAAATTTGCATGAGTAGCAGGGAGCCTAATGTTGATCCCCAAGACCATGGGGAAAATGTCTCCAGGCCATGTCAGAGTCCTTCACAACATCCCCCTCCCATCACAGGCCTGGAGGCCCAGGAGGAAAAAGTGGTTTCATGGGCCGGGCCCAGGGTCCCTGTGCTGTGCAGCCTAGGGACTTGGTACCCTGTGTCCCAGCCACTCCAGCCATGGCTGAAAGGGGCCAAGGTAGAGCTTGGGCTGTGAGTATAGAGGGTGGAAGCCCCAAGCCTTGGCAGCTTTTATGTGGTGTTGAGCCTATGTGTGCACAGAAGTCAAGAATTGAGGTTTGGGAACCTCTGCCTAGATTTCAGAAGTTGTATGGGAATGCCTGGATGCCCAGGCAAAAGTTTGCTGCAGGGGTGGGGCCCTCATGGAGAACCTCTGCTAGGGCAGTGCAGAAGGGAAATGTGAGGTTGGAGCCCCTCCACAGAGTCCCTACTGGGGTACTGCCTACTGGAGTTGTGGGAAGAGGGCCACCATCCTCCAGACCACAGAATGGTAGATCCACTAGCAGCTTGCACCATGCTCCTAGAAAAGCCGCAGACACTCAATGCCAGCCTGTGAAAGCAGTGAGGAGGGAGGCTGTATCCTGCAAAGCCACAGGGGTAGAGCTGCCCAAGACCATGGGAACCCCCCTCTTGCATCAGTGTGACCTGGATGTGATACCTGGAGTCAAAGGAGGTCATTTTGAGCTTTAAAATTTAACTGCCCTGCTAGATTTCAGACTTGCATGGGCCCTGTAGCCCCTTTGTTTTGGCCAATTTCTCCCATTTGGATCAGCAGTATTTACTTAGTACCTGTATCCCCATTGTATCTAGGAAGTAACTAGCTTGCTTTTGATTTTGCAGGCTCATAGGTGAAAGGGACTTGCCTTGTCTCAGATAAGACTTTGGACTGTGGACTTTTGGATTAATGCTGAAATAAGTTAAGACTTTGGGGGACTGTTGGGAAGGCATGATTGATTTTGAAATGTGAGGACATGAGATTCGGAGGGGCCAGGAGCAGAATGATACGGTTTGGCTGTGTCCCCACCAAAATCTCAACTTGAATTATATTGTCCAGAATTCCCACGTGTTGTGGAAGGGACCCAGCAGGGGCGGGGAGTGTGTAATTGAATCATGGGGGCCGGTCTTTCCCGTGCTATTCTCGTGATAGTGAATAAGTCTCATGAGATCTGATGGGTTTATCAGGGGTTTCTGCTTTTGCTTCCTCCTCATTTTTTCTTGCTGCTGCTATGTAAGAACTGCCTTTCACCTCCTGTGATGATTCTGAGGCGTCTCCAGCCATGTGGAACTGTAAGTCCAATTAAACCTCTTTTTGTTCCCAGTTTTGGATATGTCTTTATCAGCAGTGTGAAAACAGACTAATACAGCAGATAAAGAAAATGTGGTACATGTACACAATAGAATACTATTCAGTCTTAAAAAAGAAGGAGATCTTGTCATTTGTGACAACATGGATGAAACTGGAGGACATTTTGCTAAGTGAAATAAGCCAGGCATAAACAGAAATATATTGCACGATCTTATTTATATGTGGAATCCGAACAAATCGAACTCATAGCAGCAGAGGAGAATAATGGTTACCAGGGGCTGGGAGGTATGCAGGAGAGGTATGGAGATGTTGGTCAAAGGATACAATGTTTCAGCTAGACAAGATGAATAAATTCTGGATGTCTATTGTGTAGCATGGTGACAATAGCATGCACTTCAAAATTGCTGAGATAGATCTTAAATGTTCTCACCATAAAAATTTAAGGATGTGGCATGATGGATATGTTAATTAGCTTGATTTAATCATTTCACAATGTGTAGATATGTCAAAACTTCACATCGTATGCCATAAATATATACAATTTTTTTCCTTAAATATTTTTTCTTTTGTAGTGATGGGATCTCACTATGTTGTCCAGGCTGGTCTTGAACTCCTGGTCTCAAGTGGTTCTCCTGCCTTGGCGTCCCAAAGTGCTGGGATTATAGGCATGAACCACTGTACCTGGCCAATATATATAATTTTTATTTGTTGATTTAAAAATTAATAAAAATTAAAAAATGAAAAAGCAGGGCTATTTTCATTTGGTGGAGGATGACCTCCCTCAGAAAGCTGTGTGTTAGCTGAGTGTGCCTGTTCTGTGCTCCCACTTTCACCTATGAGATGGTGTTTGTTATAAGCCTGTTGACTTTGAAGAGCATCACTCCTTTCTGTCTGGCTCCCTACATTTTCCTTCCTTTGTGAATGTCAGTGGGGGCTGAGTCCTTCCAAGCTCTCTTCAATTTGTGATTCTGATGCTGGCCAGATGTGCTTAGCAGGCTCTCATCTCCCCAGCCAGACCACTGAGCTCTTCCAATTACCAGCCAGTCACTTGGAATCATGCCTCTGACCCATTCATTCAGGGCAGATGCCTTCTCCCAGGCATCCTTAGAATTCTGGACAGAGGAAAGTGGGAAGGAGCCCAGATTCTGCCCTGAGATTTTCCAGAAACGGAGAGCTGCAGTGTCCGAGGAGGAAGAGATGAGAGGCAGGAATTGGAAAGAGCTGCAAGCTCTCTTCCCAGGCACTTGGGAAGTAAGAACTATTTATCCTATTTATTGGATGATTGTCAATAAGTCTTGCCAATTGCCTGGAAATATCCTGGCACTGCAATGAGGTCATACTCACCTCTGTGACCTATGCCCTTTGCTCTTTCTTATCTGTCCACATGGATAAAGGTGCAACACCTATCTCTTGGGTCAGGCACAGAAAACTGCCACATGGGAGTGATTTATTCCTGCCTGTGTTTGTGAGGCCCCTATTGCTTATTTCTTCTTTTCTTTACCATTATCAACCTTGCTCAGGTGCTGCTGGGTTGGAACCAGAAGATCCTGGTTGGAACTTTAGCCCTCCTTTTCTGGCTCTCTGATCTGGGGACATCAACACAGAGCTAACAGGTGTTGAGCACCTTTCCTGTGACAGGCAAGAGATTAAGTGCTTTATGTCAACTATTTTATATTGTTCTTATAGCAGGCTTATGAAGGGAGGTGCTTTTTTTTTCCCTTGAAAAGAATCACAAAACAACCGAGGCCGAGATAAATTAGGTAGTTTGCTAAAAGTAACACAGTTAGGTGGTAGAAAAGCTTATGACTGTCACTCATGAAACACTGTGTTCAGTGTTGTACCTGTGCCATCTTTTAAAATCTTTGCAATAGTCTTCTATTTTTTTGAGGTGGAGTCTCATTCTGTTGCCCAGGCTGGAGTGCAGTGGCGTGATCTTGCCTCAACGCAACCTCCACGTCCCAGGTTCAAGCGAATCTCCTGCCTCAGCCTCCCGAGTAGCTGGGATTACAGGCATGCATCACCATGCCTGGCTAATTTTTATATTTTTAGTAGCGATGGTGTTTCACCATGTTGGCCAGCTGGTCTCAAACTCCTGACCTCAAGTGATCTGCCCACCTCGGCCTCCCAAAGTGCTAGAATTACAGGCACGTGCAATAGTCTTAAACCTAAGTATGACAACCCCATCTTTTATACATGAGGAAATTAAAAGCAAAAACATTAAGAAAGTTTTCCAAAGTCACACAGCTTGTAAATGGCAGAGGAAGAACTTCAGCTTAGTCATTCTCCTTCCAAAGTCCAAGCCTACACCATATTTCTGAGCCTCAGCCTTCCCTTCTACGGTGAAGAGAGCCCCATTGTGATAAAGGGCTGTGAGGGAGGACATCTTGGAGTCACACCTTTCTTCTATTGAGTCTGCACCAGTTCTGATGTTTGAAAGAGATGCCTATAGGGACTGGGAGAGGTTGGGTCACACTAGAATCCCTGAGGCTTGGTACAGGGATGATCTTTTTGAGCCACCTTGGGTTTTCCTAAATATTCCAGAGTAGGAGACCTTAGAGAAACAGACGTTGAACAAAGCAGCTACTGGGGCTCCTGCTTGGTTAAGGGAAAGGGTTTTTCAAGTCCACCTGTGGCCAAGAAAGAGAGTGATATGGTTTGGCTTTGTGTCCCCACCCAAATCTCACCATGAATTGTAATAATCCCCACATGTCATAGGAGGGACCCAGTGGGAGGTAATTGAATCATGGGGGCAGGGTTTTCCCATGCTGTTCTCATGATAGTGAATAAGTCTCGTGAGATGTGATTTTTTTTTTTTTTTTTTTTTTGAGACCGAGTTTCACTCTTATCACCCAGGCTGGAGTGCAGTGGCGTGATCTTGGCTCACTGCAACCTCTGCCTCCTGGGCTCAGGTGATTCTCCTGCCTCAGCCTCTCGAGTAGCTGGGATTACAGGCACTCACTGCCACGCCCAACTAATTTTTTTTTGTATTTTTAATAGAGATGGGGTTTCGCCATGTTGGCCAGACTGTTCTCGAACTCCTGACTTCAGGTGATCCACCCGTCTCGGCCTCCCAAAGTGCTGGGATTACAGGTGTGAGCCACCACACCCAGCAGAGAGCTGATGGTTTTATAAAGGGGAGTTCCCCTGCACATGCCCTCTTGCCTGCCACCATGTGAGATGTGGCCTTGCTCCTCCTTTGCATTCCACCATGATGCCAGCCATGTGCAACTGTGATTCAGTTAAACCTCTTTCCTTTATAAATTAACCAGTCTTGGGTATGTCTTTATTAGCAGCATGAGAACAGACTAATACAGAGAGATATTAACATGTATTCCCTGCATGGCAGGCGGTGCAGAGGGCAAAGCACCAGATTGAGGGCTAGCAGCACTGGGCCAAAATGTCTGGGCTGTTCCTTATCAGCTGTGTGAGCCTGGATTAGTCTCCTAATCCCTTGAGGCTCGGTATCCCTCTGTGGAAGTGGGAAAAGGCACTTCCTCACGAAGTGAATTGCTAAGAGCATTTTATAGACTACTGAGTGCTTTATACATGTGATGCTAATTTCCTTCCTTTGGGTAATAAATGAGACATGCTGGGGTTCCCTTGTTTAATAGGTTTCTAGGTCTGGCTCCAGGATCTCATGATGTGCTCTGGGATGTGGATGTGTCAAAGTATCAAAGAATGGAAAGAGCAAGAGATGAAGTAGATACAGAAGATTCTGAGATAGCCTCACTCCGATCCCATGAAAGTGACAAATTGGCTGTACAATCACTCAATTGCTAACTTTTCCAGCACCCCCCACCTGCCTGGTCCTGGACTTTGCACTGCCAGGGGTAGAAGAAAACCCATTGGTCTTGTCTGATGAGAGTTTATGGTTTTAGGTGGGGACAAGGACAACACCAAATCAGAACTATTAGACATGGAATTTAATTCAGAACTAAGCTGGATGGGAAATGGAGGTGTACAGGTTCTGGAAAGAAAGACTGATGGAGAGATGAGAGTAATCAGGGAAGGCTTTGGCAGAACCAGAGCTTGAGAGGGACTGAAAGGAGCAGGAAAGGTAGTGGTGGCTGTAGTGACATCCCCTTCATCCCACAACATGTGGCAATTAACAGCTTCCTACTGCTAAAAAAAGCATCAAGCACTGACTATCCTAGGCACAGAGCCAAATCCTTTATGTCATTCAAGTCTCCCAACCCTTTGAGGTGACACCATTTCACAGATGAGAAAACAGGCAGGGGAAAGAAGGTGTTTCCAGGTCACATACCTAGTCAATGGCAGAGGCGGATTCTAACTCTGGACTGTCTGGTATATCCAGAGTTTGTGCCCCTAACCACAAAGCTGTACACTGAAGGCATGACAGACCTGTGTGAAACACTCTTTGTTGTCCAGCCAGGCTGAGAATGTAGGGGCAATGGAAAGGTTAGTACTTGTCAGGAGCAGAAAAAGAGAAATTTCTTTCTTATTATTCTTTTGTTTTTCCCTTACTCCAGGAGGGACTTTGGGCCAAGATGTTTTTGCCCAACAGATGCTTTTGGTATGGAGAGCTGAGAGGAACTACACCGTGATGGAGAAGTGAAGGCTGGGTGCTTTGGGCTGGTTCAGGCTCTGAATCCAGAATAGAGAGTGGGGCCTGAGGGTGCATTGTATAGTCCTCAGTGGAGCACATGAGGGCAGAGAAGAGGGGTTGTAGCAGGAATCCACACCTGCAGCTACAACATGGCCTTTACTGGGAGAATGTGAGGCATAAAGGTCAAGAGTTGATCTAGCCATGGAAGGCCAAGCTCCAACAGCCCCATGAAATAGAAGGATCATGATCCCAAATGAGACTCAGCCTGCCTCTCAATCCCCAGGGGAAGGAGTCCTGAACTGAGAAATCTGGCAATGCCCAGCTATCCTTCAAATATGCTGTGGGGCCGTGGAGCGAATCATATCCTCTCCCTTGGCCTCAGTTTCTGCATCTAATAGCATGGGGCATTTGGACCAGATGAATTCTGAATAGGTTGGGTGACTGTAGAGTTGTATTCAGGACAGTGACTAAGCATTTTCCATGTTTTGAGATGATAGTTCACCATTTTCTTTAAGGGGCTGAATCCCTTTGGCCTGACTGCCTGACTCTAAAGTCTCAGCTTTCGGACCCTACATCAATAAGGAGCTGGAGAGAGGATGGAGATCTCCCCAATACCCTAGGGAAATGGGGACTGGGAGGGCTGGGGTAATGGAGCAGTCACTGCCTGCATCCTAGAATAGCTGCAGCCTTCCTGGCATCTGCCATCCTGGCTGCAAACTCCCATCTCATTGGCTGCTCCTTGTCCCTGCCGTCTGGCAGGCACTGCTTTCCAGGTTTTTGTGGCACCGACTAAGCAGCCTCCTTGCAAGCTACAGCATGCTGGCTTCTTTCTCCACGTGGTTGGGATCATAATAGCAACTCTCCTCTGGTTCCCTCCATCCTGCCTCACTTCACTTCCCTGATGGGTGTGGACAGAGGGATAGTTTAGGACATTGGAAAGGGGCCTATACTTGGCATCAAGGGTCTCAAGTTCTTCCTACCCATTTTTTATGCACCTGGGCACAAGTCTAAACATCTCTCCTGGCTTCAGCATCTTCACCTGTGAAATGGGTGTGATGAGGCTGTTGTTCTACTGCTGTTAACCAGGGTGTTCATCCCTGTGGTTCACAGCTGGAGTCCCTTTTGCTTGGCCAGTGCCCAAACTATACGGGTTGTTTAATAAATGAAATATCTCCCTGAGGATAATAACGTTGGGGCATTCACATAGAACTTGCTGTGAGAATTCAATGGAGATAAATGAAGGATGGGAGCAAGTGCTTTGGGAACTGTAAAGTCATTATCAAGTAGCGAATACACCTGTCTGTCCAGTACCCATTTGTCTCCTCTGTCTTGAAGGTACGTTTCACCTTGATTTTCCACTCCCTGATTCTTAACCATATAGTTCAATTGGGACTTGCTCCACTCCCAGCTCCAAGTCTGCATGTGAGCAGGCCTGGGCAGGTGAGCATGTCCTCCTCTGGCTGCAGTGATAGGTTCAGAGATGAATCAAACCGAAAAAGCCTTATCCAAGCCAATCCTGGGGTAGGACCCAGACCTGATCAATAAGAACACACATGTTCTCACTGTGATAATGGCTTAGGGATAGTCTTATGACCTGAGTTAGACCAATCCGATGATTTTTCTGAGATTATTCTCACTGGAATGGGTGGGAAAACTCCTTTCTCTTTTAGTTGTTGAGTTTGGAGGCTGTGACTCATGGCTTTTTTTTTTTTTTTTTTTTTCACACAGAGAAAGCCTGCCTGGTAGAAGAGAAAGGAGCCAAGCAAAACCAAAAAACGGATATGAGATGAAAAGGAAAGAGAGTAGAGTCCTGGTGACATCAAGTCCTGGCTCTCTTTGGTCCGTAATGCCCTCATTCCTTTAGCTCCTCCTTCAAGCAGAGTAAAGAACAGAGGGTAACAAGCTGTGGGATACACTTCTACAGTTTTACATTGGTGATCAGGGAAGGCTTTTCTACTAAGGTTAAATATGATCTGAGATCTGAATAAAGTAAGGGAGTGAGTCCTGTAGATACACAGGGGAAGAGAATTCCAGGCAGAGGGAATAGAAGGTGCAAAGGCTCTGAGATGGGAGGGAGCTTGGTATGTTCAAGGAATTGCAAGTGCACCAATTGTGTCTGGAGCTGAGTGAGAAAATAATAACTTATCCTAGAACTTCTCTCTGGGGTGTCTCAGCTATGGAGTTTCTCTCTGCCTGGACTAGAGTTGATGTTGGGACCTGAACTGCAGCCCCACAGGCTTTGGTGCCTGTAGCTGCCGGGGGCTAGAAAGGTCAGAGACTAGCACTGAGGTTTTTTTTTTTTTTTTTTTTTTTTTGCTCTGTAATCCTATATCTGTCAATATCCAAAGGATATGACCTCCTTCTAATTAGCTTCCTCTAATAACTCACTCAGGAGCTGTCATAAACTACTCTTTCTACAAGGATTCAGAGAAGGGAACAATTCTGTGTGGCTAGAGTAGACAGAAAAGCTTCAGTGGGAATGATTCCTTTCATTACAATTGTTGAGGTGTGACATTCCATGAACACATGCCAATTTGTTCCCTGTGTGTTTGTTCCTTTCTTCATTCGTTTAACAAGAATTTATTGAGTATCTGATATCTGCCAAGGTATACAGAAAGGCACTGAATATACAAAGATGAATCAGTCACGGTTTTTGCTTTCAAGGATCTCAGTCTGGGGTGGGTGTGGAGGAGGCAGCCACGTAAACAGATAATTAGAGAGAAACATGGCAGGTGTTGGAACCAAGGTAGGAACGCGGTGCTGGATGGGAGCCCTGAGGAAGGAGGGACAGTTTTACCCAGACAAGCCAGGGAGATCTACACTGACCTCTGAATTGGACATTGAAGACACAGGGAAATTTGACCAGTGGAGGGGATAGCACATGTTAACAGTATGTAGTCATGGGAAAGGATGGGATTAGGAAATGGCAAACATTTAGTATAGAGGGTTTTGGGGTTTGGGAGTTGGTAGGTAAAATAGAGGGGAAGTGTTTGAGGTAAACCCAGTCTGCATTAGACTTTGTTCTGCTGATTTGGAGAATCACTGGGGATTCAAAGCAAGGGAGTAGTAGCAACAGATTAGATTGTTATATAATATAATAATATAATATATAAAATATAATATAGTATTATAATATGATAATAATGGGAGTTAGTCTGAAACATAAATGGTTAGTTGTTTGGGTTGAGACAGAGTTACCAACTCAATGCCAACAGGCGCCAGGCAGAAAACAGAACAAGGAGCAAGGTCAGCAGGTCATACAGCCCTGCAGAGGGTAGGTGTTACTCAACTTAGTCAATTGTTGCCCCAGTAGAAGCTTAGGTCCAGGGCTGTCAGAGCTGAGTTTTCAAGAGCAGCTGGAAATCCGGATCCTTATGTAAAAAAAATCTCACCATTTTTAAATGTTGGCAACTACTTAAAATTCTACAAAATGTTGTGTGGGCCAAGTGTAACACATCTGCCAGCCTGATCTATCTGCAGGCCACTGGTTTGCAACTTCTGGGTTGAGAAAAGAGTTTTCTTTCTTCAAAAGAGAGATGAGATGAAAATAGTTTTGGATCCAATGATTCAGGCCTGAAATGACCTTCTTTCATTCTTGTTCTAGAAAATTCCTAATCATTACTTAAGGCTCAGTTGCAAATCCCTTTGTGAAGCTTTCCTCATCACCTCCCCTCTCTCTGACACCCTCAACGACCTCCCACATCTCCCAAGCATGTGTTCGCTGCATCTTTAACATGCTCTGATACCTGAAAACAAAGGCAAAAACAAAAACAAAAGTTGTGGAGGAGCAGAGAAGCCAGGGCCAGAAAAGACACAGAACTGTTGATTAATGGATGGAACCAAGACTTGCAGAAGTAGAAGAAATTCACAATACAGGCTCCCTCCTCCTAATTGAACTGTCTGGGATGGGAAGAAGCAACTGAATCTGAAAGGAAAGATGAGTTGCTTGAGAAGAGGTTGGACTTCAAGAACTCAGTAGTGAGGCTCAACTTCGAGGCTCAATATTGAGTTTATGTAGGATGTAATTCTTAAGCAGGGTTATGTACCATTTTTGAGTCCGTAATCATATCTGTCTTTAGTTACTGCTAATCCTGAGACACTGAAGACCGATCTGGGAGTTTTCCATGAAGGGATTTAAGCTATGGGGGTGGAGTGGACATCTGTTGTTTTTGCTGTCCAATTGCCTTTCATTTTTCTCTTAATTTCTCTAGGGATCAATTCCTCCCCAGCTTTCAGTCCATGTGCTTCTTCTTTTTTTTTTTTTTTTTGAGATGGAGTCTTGCTCTGTTGCCCAGGCTGGAGTGCAGTGGTGTGAGCTTGGTTCACTGCAACCTCCACCTCCACCTCCTGGGTTCAAGCGATTCTCTTACCTCAGCCTCCCGAGTAGCTGGGACTACAGGTGGCCACCATCACACCTGGCTAATTTTTTGTATTTTTAGTAGAGACAGGGTTTCATCACATTGGCCAGGCTGGTCTTGAACTCCTAACCTTGTGATCTGCTCGCCTCAGCCTCCCAAAGTGCTGGGATTACAGGTGTGAGCCACCGCACCCAGCCTCCATGTGCTTCTTACTTGAGAGTTGGGCATGGGACATATTCATGGCTCATTGAGGCTTCTTATTGCCTGGACACAGTGGTCAGTGCAGTGATGGTCACATAACTCTATTAGAGTCAGTGAAAATCAGGCTCAGAAATTTCCTTGAATTGTTTAGAGAGAGGCATTCTCTCTTGTGTTCCTAGATTTGAACCTGGGAGGGTATAGTTTTTAGAGCAACCTAAGAAGGAAACAATATGGAGAAGAGGAGAGTGAGAGATGGTGAGAAACCTGGATGCAGATGGTGTCATTTGAACCATTGAATCAAACTGTACCTAGAGCTAGTTAACTTGATTTTCTAGTTATTGTAGCTAGTAATTTTTTCTCCCTTAAACCAATTTGAGTTATGAATATGTTTTTGTCAGTTGCAACCAAAAGTGATCCTTCAACCTCCATTAAAGGCGTGAATAATGGTCCCTCCCATGTACAGTTCATGAAACATTTTTACACTTATTGCCCTGATTCTCCCAACTCTCCTGTGAAGTTAGTAAAGCAGGTATTATCATCCCCATATCACAGAGATGGCAGTCGAGGCTTCATGAGGTTAGGATCCATAGTCAGATGGCTTAGGAATGGCAGAATAAAAATCCTGTTCTTGTGAGTCTGGTTCCAGAGTTTCTTTGTACCGACAATGTTATGCTAAATTAAACTCTGATAATGCTGAACTAAATTACTCTAAAGTACCCCTGGAAATAGCCTCTCAGAATCATAATTCATGCTGGGTAATTACAAAATAACTTTCTTCTGATTATTTTCCTACTTACCTACCTCCAAGGGAAAGGTTGGTGATAAATGTCAGGGTTAGGACAATTTAAGTAATTATTTAGATGTCTGGCTGATAGATATCTTTTACCATGGTGCTACTATCTGCTTTTAACTTCTGCTTGATAACAAAGTGGGAACCCTACATTTAATATCCCCAACACAAATAAAGTTATTTTTTAAAGAGATTGTTGAGAGCCTTCCTCATGTGATTCCATCTTTCTGGAATGATGCTCCTACCACACCTAGGTCTTGCCCACCCTTCGGGTTTGGCTTCAATAGCGTGGATGAAGAGCGGTCCTACTTTATAAGAAATAGTTTTTTTTTCCCTCTCTCAGCCTCAATTTTGTCCATTTTAAGCTGTGTTATATTCTTCCTACATTTTTTTCACAATTTAATTTTAATTAATTTAATTTTAATAAAAAATTTAATTTTAATTAATGTTTTTAATTTTCTTCCTTTCCAATTGAATTTCCAGCAGCATGTTTCACTTCTCTATCCCTAGCACCTAGCTCAGTGCCTGGTATGTGGTATCTAGTCACTAAATATTTGTTGACGGAGTAAAGTGGTGAATGAGTGGCTTGTCCCACAGTATCGAAGAGAAGGGGACATGTGAGCCATTAGCAACTTGGGGCAGGGAGGGCTCTGGGTTGGAGGCTCTAGATTGGTGGTTATCAGCAGAGAAGCTGGGCTGGGTGGGGGAGACAAATCCTGAGAAGGGTGAATCCTCTAGGGAATGCAGTATGAGAGCAGAGAAGTATAGTGTCAAGGACCAAGACCTACCGCATGGAAAAAGAATAAGAAGCCAGGAAAGGGGACAGGGATGGGTAGAAACCATGTCCTAAAGGCCAGGGCAGGAGGGGGCTCAGGAAGAAAAGGGAGTAGATAGCAGTGCTTCATACCTCCACATGTTGCCAGAGCACCTGATTGACACCTGACTTACTTTTCCAATTATTTTTACCCTGATTGTAGCAGTTGGCAGATTTCCAAGTGGCAGTGCAATTTTGTTTGCTGCCTGCAATTCCCACCTCTCCAGGTTAGCAGACACGAGTCCTCTGACCTTGCCAGCGAAGGTGACACCTCTCAATTTAGCTCTGTCTGCAAAAGTCAGCTGAGATGCTATGTGCTTTCTCCACTGGGTCTTAAAGTATATTCACAGGGGCCCAGCCGCACCCACACCACACACTTTACATCCTCTGCTCCCTCAGGAAGTGAGGGCATCTGCTGGACCACCACTTTGCAGCCCACCTTTGTGGGGATCCTTACCAGCTTTCAATATTGTGATAAAGGGAATACGAAAGTGATTTGAGTGAGGAGTCTCAAGTCTAAGGAATCAATAACAAGAAGAGAGGCAAAGCTGAGTCTCTGTCATTCTTCTAGGAAGTAGTCTCTAAAATTCTAGGAGCTGAGTTCATCACACTCCAGAGAGTGACACACACCTGGGTCCCTTGTTTCCCTTTGAAGTTCCAAGCCTTCCACAGCCAGGCACATGTTCATGATAGCTAGAGATTTTAATAGATGCTAGTTTGGAGTACTTACAATGGGCTCAGCACTGTGTTGGTCTTTTTGTAGGTGTTCATCTTACTTAATCTTCTCCTGGAATCCTATTAGGTCATTATTACTGGCTCCATTTTGCAGATGAGAAAACTGAGGCTCAGCAAGGTGGTATGACTTGCTGAAAGTCGCACAGAATGTATAGCACGGAACTGGGAATCAAACTCAGGTCACGGTTTTTCCTATGACCCCTACTTGGTGGAGGCACCAAGCCATGCTGGTTACCTGATGGGGACTGACAGCGTCTGTCACTGGAATTAACTAACTGGGGCCTGGCCTTGTGCCTGAATGTTGAGAGAGCCAGCCACCTGGAAAGTCGTGCCAGTTCATGTGGCCCAATGGGTAAAATTTCTCCATCACGCCCACTCCTCTGCTTCCCTCCTAACCCACTCAGGGTTCCTGCTTCTGATGAGGGCAGGGACCTCCAGTTGACAATTTAGCTCCCTAAAGCAAAAAAGAGTCTTTTCCTCCTGATCATTAAAAACTCAAACAGGAAAAAACAAACAAACAAAAAACCTATTTTAAAACAGGGTTTAACAGGATTCTTTGCTGTTTCCCAGAGACATCCTGTGCTTTATATTTTATTGGCAATTAAGTGGGGGTGGAAGATACCCTTTGTGACTCAAGTAAGGAACTGCCACCACCCACCCCAGGTTGCCTGCCCTCCGTGGTTACATCCCAGCTACAGCCAGGACATGTGAAGGATAATCAATGAATCAGCAGGCAAGCAGCATGAATAGGGAGGGAAGAAAGCCTTCCTCCTGGGCTCTTCTCACAAAGAAAATGACCATCTAAAACAACAGGAATAACAAACCAGCCTCTGGAAGCGTGTTGGGTGGGACTGGGCCAATCACCTCCCCCTATGTGTAATTCATTTGGCGGGTCTGGCCTAGTGGGGCTGGGTAGTGATGAGGAGGTGGAGGCGGGGGTGGCAGGGGGGCTTCAGTGGTTCCTTCTGTTCCCCACCCATGCCCCACCCTAGACTGTCTCCTCTGTTGACCTGAAGGCTTTGGTTCAGAAGCCGGAATTTAGTTTGCATACAGCACCCGGGGGCCTGGAATTTATCTTTCCTGTTGTCCTGCATCCCTGGGCTGTGCCGACTGCCTTGTTAGGCAGCTCTAAGGTGACGTAAGGCTTTTCTGCCTAGTCTGTTTTCTATCTATTACAGTCCTCCCGACCAATTCCTTTAAGCTGCCAGGACTGCTCCATGCCACATGAAAGCAGGTTCTGGGCTCCATCACATCCTGTTCCCGGGTCCCCCTTTGCAGTGCATCTTGAGTGGCCCTCATTCTCTTGTTTCTGATGCCACCAACCTTGTTCTGATGCCATCCCCAGGAACAGCCAATAGCCTTGCTACTGTGGCTTTCTCAGCTTGGTTTTCCAGGCCTTTCTGAGGGCCCCCTGATAACCAACTGCATGTCCCCATATTGGGAAAGAGGTCTCTTCATATGGAACCATTAAACCCAATTCAAATTCATTCAGTGTTTCTGTAGCACTCTATACTTCCTCTTTCGCAGTACTTATCAGACTTGCAAATACTGACTCAACTTCTATTTTTTCCAATACACTGAAACCACAACAAAGGTAACAAGGAAGAGTAATCTTTCCTGGACACTCACTATGTGCCAGGATCTGTGATACATGCCCTGTGTATGCTGCCTCATTTAATCTGACAACAACTCTGGGAATTAGGTGCTAGCATTACAGTGATTTTACAGATGAGGCATTGGAAGCTCAGAGAGGGTAGGTAATTTGCCTGAGGTCACAGTAAGCAATAAGCCAGGCATGAGGTAGGAGTTCATTGCCTGTTTGCTGAATGAATTAGATGAATGGGCCAATGTGTTTGTGGCCAGTGGGTGGACTGAAGATGGATGTGCTGGGCAGGTGTACTGGCCCATGTGGGGGCTGGCAATAGATCCAGGCAAGCATAAGGAAGAACTTTCCCAGAGCAAGAGCTCTCGAGTAGGCTCAAGATAAGGTGTTCAGATGAGGGTAAAGGAGAGGGTAGAAGGGAGTTAAGCCTTAGGTGGGGGATAGGCAAGATGACCTTTAAGATCCTTTCCAGCTCCAAGAATCTGCGATTGTTATGTAATTCTTAAAGAAATGAATAAAACCCTTTGCAAATACAACGCACTTTCAGCCCCAGCTCTATGCTGTTATGAACAGGAGCTCAGGGGATATTCATTTTGGTGCAATAAAAGTCAACAACGGTAAGGTCTTAAGCCCTTTGGGGATCTGTGTCTATATCCAGTCTTCCAAGAATGATATTAACAGCAGCTGGCATTTATGGAGTGCTTACTACATATTGGGCAAGATTATATGGAGCAATAGCAGGCAATATTTATGGAGTGCTCACATATTAGGCAAGAGAGTACATATTAGGTGAGGTTTATATCTTTTGCATGTATTAACTCAATTCTCACAGCAAACCTATGTGATAGTGGTGGATTAGTCAGGCAAAGATGCAATAACAAATTAACCCTGAGTCATTAGTGGCTTTATACAATAAAAGTTTATTTCTCGCTTTCTTTTTTTTCTTTCTTTTTTTTGAGACAGAGTCTTGCCCTATCACCCAGGCTGGAGTGTAGTGGTGTGATCTCGGATCACTGCAACCTCCGCCTCCCAGGTTTAAGCAATTCTCCTGCCTCAGCCTCCCGAGCAGCTGGGACTACAGGCATGTGCCACCATACCTGGCCAATTTTTTGTATTTTGAGTAGAGACAGGGTTTAGCCATATTGGCCAGGCCTGGTCTCGAACTCCTGACCTCAGGTGATTCACTCACCTTTGCCTCCCGAATTGCTGGGATTACAGGCGTGAGCCACTGCGCCTGGCCTATTTCTCACTTTCTTAAAGTCCAAAGAGGTTGAGACTTTTTTTTACCTTTTCTGTCTGAAAAGTGGCTTCTATGGAGGCTGTGGTAAGGAAAGAGATAGATAGTGAAGGAAGGTGATGTGTTTGCCATTTGCAACCCAAGACCCTAAAATGGCATTTGACTGCACATGCCCATTGTGATAGTTTAATGAGGAATCAGATGTGAGGCATTTCAAACCATGCCTGCTAGAAAATAAAAGCTCAATAAATGCTGATAATGACAGTAGTGATGATCTATATGATCAGAGAAGTGATTGGAATCCCCACAATGCTATGCACAGAAGTGGGAAGGGGTAGGAAGGTGGAATCTCACATTATCTAAAGCTTGTTGGCTGGAGTCATCCATGCACCCGTCAGGAGGTTCAGCCCAGTCCAAGTTTAGAGGCCATCTGACCAGGTAAGCGAGTGTATCAGCTGCCTCAGCCCACTGTCTGCCAGGTGTCTAGTGCCTGGTAATACTTAATACTGTACCAGCCCATGTCATCTATGTGCCTACCTTTACATAGATTGTTCTGTCTCTGTGGCTAAGCATCTGATAGATCATTCTGGTCCAATATCATTTATATGTATCTACTATCTTCCATCTATCTATATATTTATCTCTATCACTTATCTAATTTCTCTCATCTATTATCTACTATCTTCTATCTATCATCTATCAATTATCTACTATTATCTATCAATCATCTATCTTATCTATCTTCCATCTATCTATGTATCTATCACCTATCTAATCTCTCATCTATTATCTATGTTCCATCTAACTAATCTATTTATCTATCACTAGTCTGTCTATGTCTTTATCATCTATGTATGTGTGTATGGATGGATGTATGGATGTATGGATGTATCTATCTGTCTGTGACCTATCTACCTATCTACTTATGCTGGGATTGCAGCCATTCCTGAATTTCTGACAACTTGCCACTCTGTCTGACCCTTGTTAGTGCCCAGAGCCATGGAGCCATGATGCTGGGACTGTGTCATTTGGGGGACTCTCTGCTGCCTCATAGGCTCTCCCTGAATACCAGTGGCTTCCCAGATCTGTTCATGTGCTTCATGTTATTTGACTGTCCTCAAGATGTCCAGACTGTGTTTCCCATCCCCTTGTCCTCTCGAGAAGTATCTTTCTTCCCTTTTCCGCCAGTCGAGTTGCTTCATGCCTAAGGCCGTCTGAACCAAGGATCTGAGAGATGGGGAAGGCACAGCTATTTAATCAGAGGCAGTTTTGCAGAGGGATTGCACGCTTGGTTGTGGAGTCAGACCTACTCTGCTGTTTTCTTGCTGAATGATATTGGCCAAGTCACTTATGTCTCAGTTTTCTTATCTATAAAATGGGGATAATAATGTTGCTTAATTCAGAGGGTTATTGAGAAGATTAAATGAGGAAATCTACAAAAAGTGAATCAAACAGTGGCCAGCACATGGTAATAATACATATTAGGTATAATAAAAAATTGTCATTATTTTAATCCAAATCTGTCTGTCTCTAAGACTTCTGCTTTCCTACTCGATTGCACATCAAAAAAGTATCCGTTGATGGAAAGCCAATCTGAGCAGACTAACTTTGATTTTTTTCTTCATTCTGTTAAATTCACAGGGGATCCTGGAGAAGAGTATTTTTAGGAGGCATTACTGTGAAGCATAGCAGGTGGCCAGATGGTAATGGAAGGAAACATGGTCCCTTCTATCGGCTACAAGAACTGAGTGGCATTCAGGTGTGTAATGAGATAAACTACATTTCTAGAGACATTGTCTTGGATCCAGGTGGAAGAAGGGGGCACCATGGAATCTTGCCAGAGAGTATGAAGTCTGGGAAAATAGTAAAAAAACAGACTATTGCACCCAGTCCTGTTCCCTAGGTAGTCCTTTCCTTGCCTTAGCTGTGACACCTGGGAATTTACTACCATCCCTTTTGAAAGCTTTCCTCCAGAGGATGTTGATAAGGTCATGTCCGGATGATATTCCCCTACAGCTTGTGTTCCTAACAGTGTTGACTCCTCCTTTTCTGAATCACAGGCATTGCTAGAAAATCAAATTATGCCTCTGGTTATAATATCTCAGCGGGAAAGGAAATTCCCTTGGTTCCAGAGTTTCTCTCTGGAGCCCCACTCTTCTCTTGTTTGATTTGATTTTACTTTTATTTCTTGGGAGGGTGTGGTAGATATAGTGGTCACTTTTCCATTTCTTGTCTGTTTGGCATTCATTGCTTTCCCCAAATCTCAGTGGAATATTAATACACTACCTTTATATCTGTGAGATTTGGTGGGAAAATGATTCCCAGTGCTCACCTCCTATTCCTAGGGAAGCCAAGGAGGACCAGTTACTTCTTTCCCAGTCTTAGGAAAAGCCAAGAGAGGGCGTATGTCTAACCCCCGGGCAAGTGGATACTTCTTCCCTGGGTTTTAAAATATTTAGTCTACGACTGGGGGCGTAGAGATGGTTGGAGGACCTGTCTTTGAAGACTGAACTGGATAACTCAGGGGAAAGTCTACCCTAGGATTCCTAGACTCTCCCTGCAGCCACTTTCTACTTTGATTCATTTACAAAAAAGGTTGTAACTTAATACCTTCTTGGTCTGATAAATGCTCTAAATATGTGAGTTAGTGGAGTGAAGGAGACAAGAGAAAGGTTAGGCCAGCGGGGAGTGCAGGCTTCTCCTAAATAAAGCATTGAACAGCCTGGGCTTTTGAGCGCAGCCCAGCATCTAAGGTAGATAGTGTTCTCGTACTTGTTTGAAATGTCCCAGAAATACCAACGTTTTAGCATCCAAGCTGTATCCCTTAGAATGCTCCTTGTTCCATGGTATATATACGCCACATTTTCTTTATCCAGTCTATCATTGATGGGCATTTGGGTTGGTTCCAAGTCTTTGCTATTGTAAATAGTGCTGCAATAAACATATGTGTGCATGTGTCTTTACAGTAGAATGATTTATAATCCTTTGGGTATATACCCAGTAATGGGATTGCTGGGTCAAATGGTATTTCTGCTTCTAGAACCTTGAGGAATTGTCACACTGTCTTCCACAATGGTTGAACTAATTTATACTCCCACCAACAGTGTAAAAGAGTTCTTAAAAAAAAAATGTTCCTTGTTCCCAAAAGATGCCTCCAAACCCTTTCTCAGACTATGTAGCCTGATTCAAGGACCAGAAAATAAAGCCTCCACAGCAGAAGTAGCAGAGGGCTTCAAGGGGTGTGGCTCTGAGCTGGGATCAGAGCTGAAATCTGGCTACCTGGCCTGAGTGCTCCCCTCCCTCTCTGTGAAGGGCACCAAGCTGTGCTTATCAAATGGCATGGCAGTGGGCACCAGGGACGCCGTTACCTGAGGTGGGGAAAGACATTGATTGCTACATCAAGAGTCAAATAATCCTGGCTTATAATAAGGAAGTTTATGCCTCACCCATGTAACAGTATGAGCACAGGCAGCCCAGGGCTGACACACTGGCTCCGTGGCCCTGGGCAGCTCACTCTTTCTATCCTGTTGCTTTGCTATCCTCCAAATATACATTCCATCTAGTGGCTGAGATGCTGATTCAGCTCCCACTACCACGGGGCTCTGTCCAGCAAGCAGGAGCTAAGGGGAGGTGAGAGCATGCTTCTTCCCTTTTAAGGCCTGACCCATGGCTTCTGTTCATAACTCACTGGCCTCAATCCAAGCATTTGGCCACAGCTAGTCTGCAAGGAAGATTAGAAAAGATAATGGTTAGCTGGGTGGCCACGCATCCAGATAAGAAGTCTGTTTATAGAAGAAAAGGAGAATAGATATCAGGGAGATAACCATCAGTTTCTGCTCTGACCTTCATGTATACTCCCACAATCACCCAATAACCTTGATATTCTGTCATCAGAGCAAAATGTCTATGGCTGACCTTCATGCTTTTTACACGGAAGGAGCTTAAAGGACCTGAATGAGGTTCTGCAGGAATATCAAATGGTAGATCTTCAGGCACTAGGCAGGCGAGCAGAGGAGATATTTTATGACAAGGACCCTGAAGGCTCTTCCTGTCTTCCCATGTAGGCAGTCACTTATTCTTTTGTTGAACTTCTTCTGTCTGCACTGTGTATTCTCTTCTTCAGCTGCGCTTAAACTCAGACACTCTGACCCCCATTCTAGCAAAGGCAGCCCTGAGCAGAGGCCTTTAAGAGTGACCTCCCTGGAGAAGCCACCCAGTGCTCCCTGCCACAGTTTCTTCTATCCCTCCTGGTATGCCCGTGGCCTCTAATTCTGCTGTTTGGACACCTTGTCCTTGTGCCTCCAGGCCACACGTAGGCAAACCAGGGGTGGACATCTGAAAGGCCACCCAAGGAGAACCAGTCCACAGGCTGGGCTGGGCAAATTGCATCCTGTCTCTGGAGAATTGGAACTCAGCGACACAGCACTAAGTCAGTTAGCTTGAACTGAGAGCTCACATAGAATTGGGGTCAGAGTTCCTGCCATGATACATCAAAACTGTGTATAAACCAAAGGTTTTGGAGAGTACAGAGGAGCCTCAAGTAACCCCCAAAACTGATCTGCTCCAGGCTAATGGGGCAGATATGCAGGGAGTGGGGAGAGATGATGTGGCTAATGAGAGATTTCTGTCATTCCTGTTCCCATTCCATGTGCCCAAGCTCTCCTTCATTGCTCATCTTCATGTGCTTGTCTGGTTGGTATAATGTAATAGCTGGGAGTGTGAACTATGGTCTCAGATTGCACTGGGTTCAAATTACAGCTCTTCTCCTAATACCATGAGTATGGGCAAGCAACCTAACCAAGTAAACCTCAGTTTTCTCATCTGTAAATGGGGATTTTATGAGTACCTACTTCATAGGACAACTTGAGGATAATGCAAGTGACAAGTGCACAAGTTAGTTTGGGAAGGCTTCCCGGTTTCCCACCCTTCCTCTTTTCCTCCATCCCTCCCTTCCTCCCTTCCTTCCTTCCTTCCCTCCTTCCTTCCTTCCCTCCCTCCCTCTTTCCTTCCTTCCTTCCTTCCCCTCTTCCTTCCTTTCCTCCTTTCCTCTTTTCCTCCCTTACTCCCTTTGTGTAACCAAAGGTTCAGAACAAAGGGCAAGGCATCTGAAATGCCTTGCTAATCACTTTCTCCTCCAACTATCTTTGAGATATGAGCTTGTCCTATGAATTAATTCATGGAGCGATTTGCTTAACTTGATTCGGCTCCTTTCAGGCCTCTAGCCCACTTTCCTTCCTTTTGTGGATGAGGTAACTGAGGCCTCAGAGGCTCAGTGACCTGCTCAGGGAGATGTAGTGAGGAGGTGGTGGCACTGGTGTCCTGCTGACATTAACTCTGAGTCCAGTGCTGCCTCCTCTGGCACACACTTGAGTTCCAGAGATACCCTTGCAAGATACCCTTGCTGCACGGTAGTTGGCTCTCCTCCTCCCCTTCCCTTTCCTCCACATGGGAAGAACCGGACACGGTGTGCTTGAAGAGCCTTCCAGAAGGCTATACTAATGAATTTTTATTCCTTCTCACATGAGGAGTTGAGACCTTCTGACCTCAATATGCAAGGAGACGCTAAAGATGTAAATCAGCCGCTCTCAGGTTCATAAAAATAGCTCAGCAATGCAGCTCCCTCCTCCCCCTCTCATCCTAGCATCTGAGCTCCTGCTCCTGGTCCCTGCTACCTTTTTGTTAACTCCTTTTTCTTCATTCCAGGTCATCAGTGCTTGTCTCCTTCCCTGTCCCTTTCCCTCATTTGTTCTCTTTCCTCTTCTCCTCCACAGGCCCACTTTTCCCTCCTCCATTTTCTGAATTTCCTTCCTATCTTCTTGCTTTCCCTACCTTCCTGACCAGGGTGTGTGTGGACAGACAGGCAAAGCTCTTCACTGCCCATTGGAGCCTGGAAGCGCAACACACTAACATTATTTTGAAAAATTCCAAGGTCCTCTGGATCCTTGGGTGCCTGTGCTGGGGGTATGGGGAAGGCAGGGAGGCCTGTGGTATGGTGGCCATGCTGCGGACACTGGAACCATCCTGCTAGGACTCAACGCCCAGCTCTGCCTAGAGCAAGTAACTACATCTGTGTGGGTCTCTGATCCATTGTTTGCAGAAAGTTAGCAACAACAGCATCCATCTTACAGGGTTGCTGGGAGGAGAACAGGAGGTAATGCAGGTAGCTAGCTCAGAAAAATCAGCCAGCGATAATTAGCCATTACTATCTTCTCAAAGCCCTGTAGACCACAGGTGGTCCCAAGGCAAGGCCTAGGTACACGTGAACAAGTGAGTGGGGATCTGGGAAAGGCTCTGTGACTGAGGAGTACAGCAACCAGCAAAGCTGAGATGATAGGCACGGTGGCCTAGCAGGCAAGCACAAGCTCTTTGGGGTCAGACAGACCTGCCTTGGGTTCTAAAAAAAAAAAAAAGTGTTCCTTGTTCCCAAAAGATGACTCCAAACCCTTTCTCAGACTATATAACTTGATTCAAGGACCAGAAAATAAAGCCTTTTCATAGCCATGGTACTCAGGTCCTGTGAAAGGACATTTCTAATTCTCAGGGCCTTCACCTGTAAACAGCAGATGCAGAAGTACCGATTTTGTGAGCACAGGGCTTAGCACAGAGGTTGGCAGATATGATAATCATTAGCCATTTAACAATCTATGGTTTGATTCAGCTTATGACTTTCTACAAAGGATAACTTGTATAGAACAGTGTTTCTCAGCCTTATTATGATTCCATGATCATTCCTCCAGGAACATTTTTACGCATTTCTCTCCCTTAATCCCCTGTCCCCTGGATTTTTATTACCACAAATATACTGTATACCTGTTTGTGTACTATACATATATCTATGCTTTATACATAGAGAAGATAAGATTTTTTTTTTTTGTCCTCCGAGAACCAATTTTTGCCCCCACTGAGAATGTATGGCTTAGACCAGTGGTTCTCAAATTGGGGTGATTTTGCCTGCCATGGGGCACTTGGCAATATCTGGAGGCTTTTTTTAATTGTGTGTGTGCATGCAGAGGGTGGTGCTAATGACTTTTAGTGGGTAGAGGTAAAGATGTTGCCAAGAATCCTACAATGCACAGGAAAGTGCCCACAGCATAGAATTATCCAGCCCCAAAAGTGATGTGGTTGAGAGATCTTGCTGTAGGGTTATCATTTTTTTTTTTTAACCTAAATATGCTCAAAAGGGTGCTTGTGTCCCAGTGATTAGACAAGGTGGGAGATGCATCAGGAGGTTTTTTTCTTTTTCCTCTTTGTCAGTGTGGGTGGACGTAGCTTCTTAAAGGCACTGAGGGAGGCTGGACATGAAGGAGGCCCTGTGTCACGAGTGTGACCATGATTTAGCTGGATTAAGTATCATTGCTCTTGCCATTTCTCATCTGCCTTCATTAAAAAGAAAGCCCATACTTTGCAGGGTCATGTTTTAGGTAAAATGACAATGATGTGGGACTCTAGAGTCCTTTGTTGAAGGAGGCCATGCTGTAGTTTGGGCAAGACTAATTCTTAGATCATCACGATGATCGCTAACATGTATTGCACACCAACCCATGTGTCAGAGATTGCATTAAGCACTGCATTTTACATGGATTAATTAATGATATTTTCCTAACAATCCTATGAGACAGGCGCTATTACTATCCTCACTCCCATTTTACAGACAAGGAATAGGACGCCTGGAGTGGTTAAGTAACTTGTTCCGAGTCACACAAGTAGGAGGTAGGGTAGCTGGGATTTGAACTCAGGGCATCAGACTCCAGAGCCCACAAACTTAATATAGACTTACACTACCTCTTAACTCTAATACAAGGTGAACTCTTCTAAGAGTTAGAAGAGGTATTGCTGAAGTACTCCTAGAGTTCAGAGATTCAGAGATGACTCCCAGCAGGAGAAACCAGGGCCACCTTCCTGGAGGCAGTGACACCAAACAGGGTGGGAAGGATGAGTAGGAGTGGCATAAGTAGGGCCAGGGAGAGCATCCCATTCAGAGGGGGACCGCTCGAGCAAAGGCATAGAAGTAGGGAAATGGCAGGAATTATCTTCCTTAGGAATCACTGGGTCACATAGGAGCCCATGGGAGCCAGTGTACCAATACATTTCGTCCTGATTTCAGTTGTAAAGGGCATGTGATGTGCTTGGGAGCTGCAAGTCCCTGTGGCAGTGCTGCTAAACAGAGTTACTCAGTCATGGCACTATGAACATCTTGGGTTGGATAAGTCTTTGCTATAGAGGACTGCCGTGTGCATTGTAAGATATTTAGCGGCATCCTTCCCTTCTAACTACCCATCCTTCCAAGTTGAGACAACCAAAAATGTCTCCTAACATCGTCAAATGTTTCCCCAAGCGGGGGAAAATAACCCCTGATTAGGAACTACTGTCCTAAATGTGAAAGGATGTGGGCAACATAGGCTGGGAAGGCAGAAAATCTGGGTTTTCATACCAGGAAGTTAGTGCTGTGTGACTTTTGGAAAGACATTTTCTCTCTCTGAGCCTTATTGTTCTCACCCAAAAGATAAGGCAGCTGATTGCAGTTTATGGTCCCTGAGGACGTTTTTCCCTAGCGGCCTGAGACTGGCCTCAGACGTGCCACCAGCAGCTCCAGATGCCAGTAGCTGCTCCATTATGCAGTGCAGTGATACCCACCCCTCCCATCTAGCAAACTGGCAGCTGCTGGTTGTGTGTTGAGCCCAGGATGGGGCCCGCCGCTGCCACCGAGAGCAGGTGTGTGAAGGGCTTTTGGTGTCACTTTCCACAGCAACACCCAAGTGACACCCCTAATTATAGTCAGGGGGAGCAGGACTCAGGAGGCGGCAACGAGTTGTTCTTGGTGTGAGAAAATGATTAACACCAGAAAACTGGCCAAGTGGGGCTGCTGAAGTCATTTCCTGAGGTCCTAATGGAAGAAGTTTCCCTCCCATTTCTTTAGAGGGAACTTGGTTCTCACCTTTACTCTGTCCTGGGAACCAGGCAGATGTTCCAGGAGAGGGGAAGCCATTGCAGGTTTCACTTGGCTGTGGAATTTAGAATCATGGCAGACAGTTGTGCAGCGGGGGTGCTGAGAGGTTCCCTCCCATGTCGAGAGCTGCTTCACTGTATAGAAATGGTGGGGAATCCCCTCAGTGCCAACTGGGGTCGATTTTGTGACCTCAAGAAAGTCAGTCAACCTCTATGGGTCTCAGCTCCATCATCTGCAGAAAGTCAACAATAACAGGCTCTCCCTTCTAGGGTTGCAAGGAGGAGAACATGAGTTCACACAGGTGCATGGCTGCAGCAGTGACGAATAAGCCCAGAGGCTCTGCACCGCATTCCCCTTTTGGCCTGCACTATCCTTGGCCTCCAGTGACCCTCAGAGGGAGGTATTCTCAAGCTGTGTTTTATAGATGAGGCTCAGATAGATTAAAACCATTTTGCTAACATCTCTTAGTTAGTATAATGAAAAATGGTTGAAGCTCTGACAGGATTCCACCAGGGGCTGATTCCAAAGCCTGCGTCGAAGTCCCAGCTCTGAGGGCCTGACAATCACTCCCCCAGCCTGTCCATCAGAGCCTGGAATGCAAACTCTCCGCTCTTGCTGTTTATTGTGGGCCTCTTTCCAGAAGGCAATAAAAATAACGGTGCGTGTGGGCAAGGGGATGAGCAGATAAGGGAAGTGTGATGGAGAGAGGGACATCTGATAAGGGGCCAGAGAGCAAAAGGAAGCAGATACAGGGGACCCTGGGATAAGGGCAAGATAAGAGAATGGGGAAGATGAAAAGGTGCCTTCTGGGAGCCGGGTGATGGAGGAGAGGAGCAGATAAGGGGCAGCATGAGCCATGGGCCATGGGGAATGGGGAATGTGGGCATTAAAGGGGGAAGGAGAAGTAGATAAGAGGGCAGAAAGGGGTGGAGGGAGGCAGACAGAGACAGGGGGCAGTCCTGGTGCCTCTGCTCCCAGAATTCCAGGCCTGTTTGTGGTATCTGGCATGATCTTATTCTCTCTATTCTGAAAGTGAGTCCATGGCTTTCCCCAGGCCATGACTCTGAGTCCATGAGATACAAATATCACGGCGGGAGAGGCGGGAGCTCCAAGGAGGCCGGGTCTGGCTGTGGGTCTCTTGAGAATAAAGGCACTGGCATTGGACAAACTCCCTACTGCCTCCTCTGTCCAAAGGAAGGTTTGCTCCCTCCCTTGTACCTTCCTTCCTTCTTTCTTTCTGTACTTCCTCTACTCAGCAGTTCCACTGCTAAATTCTGTTCCAGGCTCGGAGAATACAGGAAAGATTGCTGTACATTCTGATAGGATAATGATTTTTTTTTTTTTTTGAGACAGTGTCTTGCTCTGTCACCAGGCTGCAGTGCAGTGGCACAATCTTAGCTCACTGCAACCTCCACCTCCCGGGTTCAAGCGATTCCCCTGCCTCAGCCTCCTGAGTAGCTGGGATTACAGGCGTGCACTAACTTTTTGTATTTTAGTAGAGACAGGGTTTTATCATGTTGGCCAGGATGGTCTCGATCTCCTGATCTCGTGATCCACCTGCCTCGGCCTCCCAAAGTGCTGGGATTACAGGCGTGAGCCACCACGCCTGACCAGGAGAATGAATATTAACAACCACATAGATAAATAAGGTACTTGAGATAGCCACAACTGCCATGAAGAACATAGAATCATGTACAAGGACAGTGAGTGATAGGGTTGGTTACTTTGGGTTGGCTGGTCAGAGTGGGCTTTTGCAAGGAGGTGGCCATTTGGCTGGGACCTAATGATAAGAAGGAAGCAGTTAGGAGAATATCTGAGAGCAGAGGAAACATCAAACACGAAGGCCCTTGGAGGGCATGTGCTTGGCTTGTGGGGCTGCATCCTCATGACAAAGAGGGAGAGTGATATAATCAGGTCGAAGAGGTGGAGGGGCCAGAGCATGCAGAACTTGGATTGCAGAATTTATACCAAGTGTAACGAGAAAGGCTGTAGGAGGCTCACCTGGATGAGGCCAGGGTGCATTTGGTCAAGTGGAGGGTATGCAGTGTAATGGAAAGAGCACTGGACAGGCCAGGAGATCCAGGTTCCACTTCTGACTTTCCCCCTAACATACATTGTGACTTTGGGTAAGTCAATGTCCTTCTCTGGGCTTTAGTCACTACTAGTCGTGACCTGAGAGAATGACTCAGTGATTCCTAAGGTCCATTCAGTCCTGACATTCCATGGACATTTGAGCAGAGTCAAAGAGGGCATCCTGTGGGCCCCAGTCTGAAAGCCTTCGAAGTCTTTCATATGTGAATATAACTTGCTTTTCCAGGGCCTTCCATCATTCCCTCCTTCCCCCCTAGTTTTACCATGTAGAGCAGCACCAAGTGCACAAGTTCAAATCTTGACTCTGCCACTACATTTGTATGTAACTTTGGGCAAGGGGCTTAACTTTCGTGAACTTCAGCTTTCTCATTTGCAAAATGCCAATAATAATCACACCCACCTCATGGGGCTGTCATGGGGGAGGAAATGAGATAATTATGTAAAGGATTAAATCAGCTCCTGATGCACAATACATTATTATTACTGGTGCCAAGGACTCCCAAATCTTTACTTTGAGGTCAGCTGCATCTCCCAATCATGGGCCAAAATGTTCATCTACTGACGTATCATTTCTACTTGAAAACTGATGTTCCATTGGCACCTCCAGCTGAACATGACCAAAATCAGACTCATTGTCTCCCTTGCTCCCCATTTTCTTCCCCTTCTTTTTCCTGCTCCCAGGTCCCTTATCTTGGATCATGGTACCATGGTTCTCCCAGACACTCATGCTGAGTCTCAGAGTTATCTAAGACTTGTTTTTCCACATCCAATCAATCACCAAATCCTATCACTTAACCTCCATCGTGTCTCATTCGTCTCATTTTCATTCCTAATGCTGTCCCTACCCCTCGCCTAGACTGTAGGATAATCTCTGAACCAGCTTCCTGCTTTGTTTCTTGTTCTTTGTCCCTCATTTCTGCCATCCATCACCTACTTTTCAAAGACTGTTGTCAGAGTGACCTTAACACATACCTCTAAGATGGTCACTTTTCTGCTAAAAAGTCTTCTGTATCTCCCCATCCACTCTAGGCCACAAGATAAAACCCACCACCCCAGCCTGCCTTCAAAGTCTTTCAAATGTGAATATAACTTGCTTTTTCAGGGCCTCCCCTCATCCACCTCTAATACATCTCAAACCTTCCTTGAGTGTGGCTCACTTCTGGAGAACCTCAGTTTAAGTTTCTCCCCTCTCCTAGAATCTATCCCACTCCAGGGCTGCTTGTTCAGGTTCACCCATACTTGGAAACCAAACTTTGAACCTATCTACACCCTATGGAGGCTTCCCAGATGCCCTGCCAATCTATTGGATCCTGGTTACCACACAGGTACATATTACCTCTTTTATAAAGTACCTACAGGTTTTCTTGAATGGATATGTACCCATTTTTTTCTCCCCTACTAGACTTGTGAGTTCCTGGAAGATGGGAATTTTGTTTTGGTCATCTTTATATTGTTGGGTAGACCTAGTAATAGTTTAAGAAGCCTGATAAGTCTCTCAAATCTAATGGAGTTAAAACAGGACCCGTTATTTCACCCCCTTCCTCAACCTCTATTGCATTCCCTGAGCAATCCTATTCCTCCTCCAGACTTCGCCTTCTTGGTAAACAGCACCGCCCTCCACCCAGTTGCACAAGCTCCAAACCTAAGAGTCATTCTTGATTCCTGTCTTTCTTTGCTCGCACCCCATGCCCTGTCCATCACCAAGGTAGCTCTACCTCCAAAATTCATCCCAAACTTTCCCACTTTTCTCCACCTAACCCGCCACCTCTTTCTCCTGGACTGCCACAATGACTCCAAAGTGGTCTCCTTGCCTCTGTTCTTGCTGCCCTGTACTCTATTTTCCTTTCTGAAGTGAGAATGTTCTTTTAAAATGTACATCACATTGTATCACTAACTGACATAAAACCCTCTAGTGGCCTCCCATTACATGGAGTAACATGTGGATGCCCCACTCTGGTCTGCAGAGCCTTGCATACGTCCGTTTCTAATCACCCATCATATTACTCCCCCGATGGCCACATCACACCTTCAGCCACTGCGACTTTTCTCCAATATACCAAGCTCGTTCCTACCCCAGGGCCTATGCACTGTCACCTTCACCTGTACTACTATTTTCCCTGGTCTTCATGTGGTTGTCTTGTGTAATTTATATTTTCATGTAAATAACTTTCTTAACTGGATTACCCAGCCAATTATTCCATCACATTGCTCCACTTTAAATCTATGCATTGTACTTACTACTCTCTAATTAAAATTATTATTATTTTCCTCTGGTTGTTTCCACTCCACTAGAAATAAACTCTGAAATTAAGGAGTTTGTCTATCTTAGTTTCCACTGTATCCTAGTGCCTAGGACAGTGCCTTGCACATAAGAACTTACTGAACAATTAGAAATAATAATAATTACTATAAGTGATGTGTCTGTTATCTACTGAGCTATTATATAGCGGGAAAAATGGGGATAATAATATTAATCTTGTAGGGTTTGTGAGGATTAGAGATAATTTATGTAAAGTGCTTAGTATGCTATAGGTCTTATAACCATTGTTTGCCCAATGTCTCCCAGCTGGTAAGGGGTTGAGCAGGGCTCAGATGTAGGTTTCGCTTTCTCTAGTGCTGAGGCTCTTACCTCTACCTGGGAGAATTGGTAATATTCTGGTCTGTTTTGTCTGCCATTAATAGAATCACAGAAGCTTTTTTGTACCTTGTATTTGTATTGCATATCTTTTTTATCCTTCTCCTTATGAACAATATGCCTTTGTATTTAAAGTGTACCCCTTGTAGTCAGCATATAGCTGAATCTTGCTTTTTTACTAGTCTGTCAATCTCTGCTGCTTAACGGGTTAAAAACTATTTTTTGAGTTACTTTCTTAGTGGTTTATCCAGTGATTAGAATGTAAATTTTTATTTGTCATAATATTAAGATAAATTAATGAAAACTCCAGATTAATACTAACTTAATTTTGGTAAAATACAGAAACTTTTCTCCAATATAACTCCGTATCCTTCCCTTCCTTTGTGGTATTATTTAGACACATATGACATCTATATATGTCAGAATCCATACAGCAACTCAATGTTGTAATTATTGCTATATAAGGACATATCTTTTAAAGAAGTTAAAAGAAGAGAAAAATATATGTATTTGTATTTTTTATATTTTTGTTTTATTTATTTATTTTTGAATTTTTGTGTCTTTTATGTATGTGATTGTATGTCTCTTATATTTGCCCACATACTTCCCACTTTTGGTGCTTTTTTTCTGGTGAATTCTAGTTACCATATGGTGTCATTTCTCTTCAGCATAAAGGACTACTTTTAATATTTCTTAGAAGACAGGTCTTCTAGCAGTGAATTCTCTCAGTCTTAATTTATTGGGAATTGTCTTCATTTCACCTTTAATAGGCAAAAATTGTTCACTTGATTATTGAATTTTTGGTTGACAATTGTTTGTCTTTCAGGACTTTGAATATGTCTTTTCATTGCCTTTTGGCTTCAGTTGTTCTGATGGGACATCTGTTATTAATCATTTTGTTGTTCTTTTGTATGAGATGAGTAAAATTACTTTTCTTGTTGCTTTCTTATTTTATTTTATTTTTGAGACAGGGTTTGGCTTTGTCACCCAAGGTGGAGTGCAGTGGTGTGATCTTGGCTCGCTGCAAACTCCACCTCATGGGCTCAAGCAATCTTCCCACCTCAAGCCTCCCAAGTAGCTGGGGCTGCAGGTGCATGGCACCATGCCTGGCTAATTTTTGTATTTTTCTTTTGGTAGAGGTGGCATTTGGCCATGTTGCCCAGGCTGGTTTCAAGCTCCTGGGCTCAAGCAATCTGCCTGCCTAGGCCTCCCAAAGTGCTGGGATTACAGTGCAGGAGTGAGCCACTGTGCTGGCCTCTTGCTGCTTTCAAGATTTTCTCTGTGTTTGTCATTCAACCATTTGACTATGATGTGTCTGGGTGTGAATCACTTTGTTTTTATCTCTTTGGCATTCCTTGGAGAGTTTTGCCCATTCTTTCTTTTTTTATTTTTAAGTTTATTATTAAATTTTTTTTGTGGGTACATAATAGGTGTATATATTTATGGAGTACAGGAGATGTTTAGATATAGGCATGCAAAGTGAAATAAGTATATCACGAATAATGGGGTATCCATCCCCTAATGCATTTATCTTTTGAGTTACAAACAATCCAATTACATTCTTGAAGTTATTTTAAAATATATAATTAAGTTATTATTGACTATAGTCACCCTATTGTCCTATCAAATAGTAGGTCTCGTTCATTCTTTCTATTTTTTTTTGTACCCATTAGACATCCCCATCTCCCTGCTTTCTGCCTATTTCTCTCTCTCCTTTCCTTCTGGGACTCCTATTACATCTATGTGTAGAGGAATAGCTCTGGGGTGGTGCCCTGCCACCCCAGTACATGCCCACATAGGACATAGAAGCAATGCTTAACTGTAATTTGACCCAAGTCTTGGTAAAACACCTTGCTATTCCTCATGTAATGAGGGGGATAAGCAGTCTTATGGGGAGCTGCCATGAAGAAGCTTATCCGCATCTCCTTAGTTTGCAGGAGAAAGATGTAAGGCTGGTTTTATCCACCCCCTTGTTTCAGAGGAGGACATGACTTTCCACCTTGACCCACTTAGAGTAGAGCTGCTGACTTCTGTGTATGTCTATTAATTTGCTGGCTGTATTTAGAAGGAGCCCCTCAATAGCACAGCCACCCACTGCCTGAGCATCCTGTTATCTGGCCCCTCTCACTTGGTGGTGTCTTGTGGAGCTAGGACATAGGAAGCTAACATTATGCTGACTGATTTTTCATCAGTATAAGTAATAAACTGTCTGAATCCATTTGAGCTTATTGTCTTTTTACTGGCCTAATCTATGAAATTGTGGTAAACTGCAGTAGCGATTCCTATATCCCTGTTAGCCACTATGCTGCTGCTTTGGGACTGTTTTGACAGTATGTTGGGATGCTTGATGATATCCCTATTGGGTTAAGTAGTGCCCGCAGAAGTTCATGTCTACCCAGAACCTCAGAATGTGACCTTATTTGGAGATACGGTCTTTGCAAATGTAAGTCAAGTGCAGATGAGGTTATAATGGATTAGGTTGGGCCCTATTCCAATGACTGCTCTCCTTATAAGAAGAAAGAAATTTGGACACAGAGGCAT
Organism: Homo sapiens; assembly: GCF_000001405.40. Classification (NCBI taxonomy): domain Eukaryota; kingdom Metazoa; phylum Chordata; class Mammalia; order Primates; family Hominidae; genus Homo; species Homo sapiens. Next base: position 57,138,184 of record NC_000011.10, on the reverse strand, counting down.
GCACAGAGGGAAGATGATGTAAAGACACATAGGGAGAAGAACATGTGATTGCAGTGATGAGTCTACAAGCCAAGGAATGTCAAGATTGCCAGCAACCATCAGAAGCTAGAAGAAGCAAGAAAGGATTCTCCCCTAGAGTCTTTAGAGAGTATAGGCCTACTAACACCTTGATTTTGGATTTCTAGCCTCTAGAGCTGTGAGATAATAAATGTCTGTTATTTTAAGCCATCCAGTTTGTGGTACTTTGTTAGAGCAGCCCTAGGAAATGAGTACAGTGTTACACATGAACATGAACATGTGTGACACATGAGACATGAACAGGTCTCTTGAGGCTCTTTTTATCTTTATTCAGTATTTGTTTCTTTCTCTCTATTGTATTGGATCGTTTCCATTAATCTGTCTTCAAGTTCACTGATTCTTTCTTCCGTCATCTAAAGTCTGTTGGTTGCTCACCACAACAATACTAAAAACATTAACTTTTTCATTTTAGAAAGTTACTGAACTTTTCAACTCTAAAATTTTATTTGGTTCTTTTGCATGACTTCCATCTCCTTATTAAGATTCTTTATTTGTTGAGTCATTGATTCATATTTTTGTTGATTTTTTAAACATTGTTTCCTTTAGTTCTCTGAACATAATTATTGGTTTTAAAGACTTTGTCTGCTAAATCCAACATCTGGGCCCACTCAGAGACCATTCCTATTGACTAAATTTTTTTTACTGAGTGTGGATCATGTTTTCCTATATCTTTGCATGTCTCATAGCTTTTTGTTGTTCCAAACTGGATAATGTAGGTAATATATTGTAGCAGTTCTGGACTGCGATGCCTCCTGGGAATGGTTATTGTTGCTGCTTGTTTGTTTAGTAGCTTACCTGGACTAAATCTGTGGATACTGTCTTCCTTGTGATGTGTTGCTACTGATGTCTTTCCTCAGTTTGTAAAAAAACTATTTTATTTTAAGCCTGAATTCCTAGGGGTTGCTTCTATTTTCTTCATAGTTTAGGAGTCAGCTGATGTTTGGTCACAGGTTGTGATCAAACACCTTGTATTAGTTTTTCTATTGCTGACATGTACCACAAGCTTAGTGTCTAAACAAAATAAACTTACTATTTTAGTCCTCTTTGGGAATCATTGGGCTAAAATCATGGCATTGGCAAGGCTGTATTCCTCCTCCTCCTCCTTGTTCTCCTCCTCCTCCTCCTTCTCCTCCTCCTCCTCCTTCTCCTCCTCCTCCTTCCTTTTCCTCCTCCTCCTTCCTATTCCTCCTCCTCCTTCCTCTTCCTCCTCCTCCTTCTTCTTCTTCTTTTCTTCTCCTTTTCCTTCTTCTTCTCCTTCTCCTTCTCTTCCCTCTCCCTCCCCCTCCCCCTCCCCCTCCCCCTCCTCCTCCTCCTCCTCCTCCTCCTTCTCCTTCTCCTTCTTCTTCTTCTTCTTGTCGTGCTCCGTTGCCTAGGCTGGAGTACAGTGGCACGATCTTGGTTCACTGCAACTTCCGCCTCCCAGGTTCAAGAGATTCTCATGCCTCAGCCTCCCAAGTAGCTGGGATTACAGGCACCCTCCACTATATCGGCTAATTTTTGTGTTTCTAGTGGAGATGGAGTTTCACCATGTTGGCCAGGCTAGTCTCCAACTCCTGACCTCAAGCGACCCACCCACCTCAGCCTCCCAAAGTGCTGAGATTACAGGTGTGTCACTGTGCCCAGCTAAGGCTGCATTCCATTCTGAAGGCTCTGGGGAAGAATCAGTTTCCTTGCCTTTTCCAATTTCTAGACGGCATTAACCTTGCTTGTCTATGGCTTATGTTCTCCATCTTCAAAGCCTGCTTTTAAAGAGTCCTGTGACTAGATTGGGCCCACCAGGATAATCCAAGATAAACTATCTCAGGGTCCTTAACCTTCATCCCGTCTGCAAAGTCCCATATGCCCTTAACATAGTCACAAGTTATAGGATCAGACCTGAACATCTTTGTGGGGGGGCGGGGAAGAGAGGACTTTATTCTGCCTACCACACACCTCAAGCTAGTGAGGCTTCCATACACTTCTATCAGATCTGTGTGGGTTATCAAAGTTCAGGAAGTTTTCAGGTCAGCCCTGGCCGTTACTCTCAGGTAGGCCATCTTTCATCTTCTCTGCATGTGCTCTGCATCCTCGTGCACCAGGGATCTGTGAAGCCCCTTTAGGACTATCTGGTTTCCTGAATCTCCTTGTTAACTTTCTGGTTAGTCTTCCACCAGGACTGCAATCTCAGGTTAGTAGAGTTGTTGGCTTTCCCAGTTTACTGGTCACGAAGATTGCTAGCATTACTGACAGGGATGATGGATATGGATTTTTTTTTCCCTCCCATTCCAAACCAAGTGAGTCCTCTCTGCAGCAAGTTGCTGGTTTTCACAGCCAGTCCCATTGGGCTAGAACTACCCTGCCGACCAAGCTGGATGGGGATGGGGAGGATGAAAGCAGCTTCAGTCTGAAGCTTGAATACCACAAACTCCTGCAGTTCTTATCCCAAATTTAGCAGTTTTTCATGAATACAAACTTTATTTGCTGTATGGCTCTGTTTGATTTTCAGAGCTCTGAATCATTGTTTTTGACAGTTTTGATTTTAGTATATATAGTTGCTTTTTGGGGAGAAGATTTGCTGACCTCTTCATTTTGCCAAACCAGAAGTCTCTCCTGCCTAATTGGAGGCTTTAGTCCCAATATTATTACATTTAGAATAATTAATAATATTGTCAGTTTCTCAATATACTTTACTGGTATTTGACTGCTTTCTGTATCATGTGTTTATTTGTCCCTCTTTCCCTCCTTTCCTGCCTTCTTTGGGATAATCAAATATTTTGTAGCTGTCCATTTTAATTTCTCTATTGACTTTTTAACTATTTTTTTTGTATTTTTTTAGTGCTGCTCCAGGCAATATACATATTCTTAATTTATCAAGTCTACCTTTAACTAATATTGCATCACTTCCTGTGAAATGCAAGAATCTTACAACAGAAAGACAGCACTTATCTAAACCCATCTTCTATGCTATTACTGACATACAAGTATACCTTCTTTCATTGCGCTTCGCTTTATTATGCCTCTCAGATATTGTGTTTTCATTACAAATAGAAGGATTGTGGTAACCCTGCATCAAGCGAGTCTATTGGTGGCATTTTCTCAACAGCATGTGTTTACTGTGTGTCTCTGTCAAATTTTGGTAATTCAATATTTCAAACTTTTTCGTTATTGTTTATCTGTTACGGTGATCTGTGATCAGTGATCATTGATGTTATTACTGTAATTGTTTTGGAGCACCACAAACCATGCCCGTATACAACACTAATCCATACAAGTCGTGAGTGTTTTGATTACACCACTGACTGGCCATTCAACATCTCTCTTCCTCTCCTTGGACCTCCCTAGTCCCTGAGACACAACAAAGTTGAAATGAGGCCAATTAGTAACCCTGCAAGGGCCTCTAAGTGTTCAAGTGAAAGGAAGAGTTGTACGTCTCTTACTCTATATCAAAGGTAGAAATGATTAAGCTTAGTGAGCAAGGCTCACTAATGTCTTTCATGAATGTCCAAAGCTTTCACTAATGTCAAAAGCTGAGATATGCTGAAAGCTAGGCCTGTCATACCAAACAGTTGGCCAAGTTGTGAATGCAAAAAAAAAAAAAAAAAAAAAGTCCTTGAAGGAAGTTAAAAGTGCTATTCCAGTGACCACACGAATCATAAGGAAGCAAAACAGCCTTATTACTGATGTGGAGGAAGTTTTTGTGGTCTGGATAGAAGATCAAACTAGCCACACAATACTACCTCAAGCCAAAGCCTAATCCAGAGCAAGTCTCTTCCATTCTGTGAAAGCTGAGAGAGGTGAGGAAACTGCAGAAGAAAAGTTTGAAGTTAGCAGAGATTTGTTCATAGGTTTAAGGAAAGAAGTTATCTCCGTAACATAAAAATACACTGTGAAGTAGCAAATGCTGATACAGAAGCTACAGCAAATTATTAAAAAATCTAGATAAGATAATTGATGAAGGTGGCTACACTAAATTTACAAATTTTCCATGTAGATCAAACAGCCTTTTAATGGAAGAGATGCTATTTAGGACTTTTATAGTTATAGAGGAGAAGTCAACGGCTGGCTACAAAGCTTCAAAGAACAGGTGGACTCTGCTGTTAGTGGCTACTGCAGCTGGTGATTTTAAGTTGAAGCCAGTGCTCATTTACTATTCTAAAAATCCTAAGGCCCTTAAGAAATATGCTAAACCAACTCTGCTTGTGCTGTACATAAATGAAACTGCAAAGCCTAGATGACAGCACATCTGTCTATAGCATGGTTTATTAGATATCTTAGTCATACTGTTGAGACCTATTGCTCAGAATAAAGACTCCTTTCAAAATATTACTGCTCACTGACAATACACCTAGACACTCAAGAGCTCTAATGGAAATGTACAGGGCAATTAATCTTGTTTTCAAGCCCAGTAACACAATGTTCACTGTGCAGTGCATGAATCCAGGGGTAATTTTGACTCTCAAGGCTTATTATTTAAGACATATATTATGTATGGCTATAGCAGCCATTCATAGTGATTCCCCTGGCGGGTCTGGGCAAAGTAAATTGAAAACCTTCTAAAAAGATTCATCCTTCCAGATGGCATTAAAAATATTCATATTCATGAGAGGAGATCAAAATATCAACATTAGCCGTAATTTGGAAGAAGCTGATTCCAACTGTCATAGTTTCCTTCGAGGGGTTCAAGATGTTAGTGGAGGAAACAACTGCAGATTTGGTGGAAATAGTAAGAGAACTAGAAGTGAAAGTGGAGCCTGAAGATGTGACTGAATTGCTGCAATCTTATGATAATATTTGAATGGATGAAGAGTTGCTTCTTTCAGAAGAATAAAAAAGTGAGTTTTTTTTTTTTTTTTTCTTTGAGACAGTGTCATGCTCTGTCATCCAGGCTGGAGTGCAGTGGTGTGATCTCAGCTCACTGCAACCTCTGCTTCCTGGGTTCAAGCAATTCTCCTGCCTCAGCCTCCTGAGTAGCTGGGACTACAGGCATGCACCACCACCAAGCCCGGCTAATTTTTGTATTTTCAGTAGAGATGGGGTTTCACATGTTGGCCAGGCTGGTCTCAAACTCCTGACCTCAGGTGATCTGCCCATCTTGGCCTCCCAGAGTATTAGGATTACAGGCACGAGCCATCTCGCCTGGCCAAAAAAGTGAGTTTTTGAGTTGGAATATACTCTTGGTGAAGATGCTGTGAACATTGTTGAAATGATCACAAAGGATTGAAATATTACATAAGCTTAGTTATTAAAGCAGTGGCAGATTTTTAGAGGATTGACTCCAATTTTGAAAGAAGTTTGACTGCGGGTAAAATGCTATCAAACAGCATCCCATACTACAGAGAAATCTTTGTGAAAACGAAAGTCAATTGATATAATTGATATGGGAAACTCCATTGTTGTCTTTTTTTTTTTGAGATGGAGTATTGCTCTGTCACCCAGGCTGGAGTACAGTGGTGTAATCTCGGCTCACTGCAACCTCCGCCTCCTGGGTTCAAGTGATTATCCTGTCTCAGCCTCCTGAGTAGCTGGGATTACAGGTGCGTGCCACCATGCCCAGCTAATTTTTGTATTTTTAGTAGACAGAGCGTTTCACTATGTTGGTCAGGCTGGTCTCGAGCTCCTGACCTCGTGATCCACCCACCTCAGCCTCCCAAAGTGCTGGGATTACAGGCCTGAGGCACTGTGCCCAGTCATTGTTGTCTTATTTTAAGAAATTGCCACAGCCACCCCAACCTTTAGCAACCACTATCCTGATCAGGAAGCAACTTTTAATTTCTTCTGAGAACTTTTTTTTTTCCTTTTCTTTTTTAGACATGGGGTCTCATTCTGTTGCCCAGGCTGGAGTGCAGTGGTGTGATTATAACTCATGGCAGCCTCAAACTCCTGGGCTCAAGAGATCCTCTTGCTTCAGCCTCCCAAGTTGCTAGGACTACAGGCATGGACCACCATGTCTGGCTAAGAACTTTTCTTTTGCATTCACAACTTGACTAACTGTCACAAATCTTTAATTCTTAAAAATGTGATATCTATGAGGTACAATAAAGCAAAGTGAAATAAAATGAGGTATGCCTGTATACTATGATTTAGTTAACCAGTTCCCAGTTGATCTATCCCTTTTTCTTAAAGTTCTCTAGATTGGAAAACTGAAGCTCCCTCGAGAATCAGGGACATCTCTGGCCATTCCTCAGACAGAATTTAACCTCTTATTTTGTACATGCATTGAGTAGTTATTGTGAACAGGGCTCACATCCTGAATACTCTATGGCAACACTGAGGTAGAGTTTCTGCCCATGTATACAAATCACTGACACATAAGGTAGATGGTAGCAAGTGGCCGAGAAAGACAGAGAGCGAGTGAGCTTAGTTCTGTCTTCGTGGAAAGTAGGTCAGGAACGGCTTCATGGTGTTGGCGACATTTGAGTTAGATCAGAAATAGGGGAGAGGTCTTTTGAAAGAGGCTGTTCCAGGTGGAGGGAACAGTGTGGACAGAGGCACAGACGAGAGCCTGGATGGGGAAGAGAGACTGGCGTGAGTACCAGCATGTGGAGGAAAGCAGGCTGGGGCTAGGCCACAGTGGATATTAAGCACTAGTCCAAGGAAATGATCAAGGACTGAGAACTTTCATGGAGTTTTGCTTGTCAAGGGCCTGTTATAAGATTGAAAGGACTGGATTCATGGATTAAAGGTATGTCCTAGAGGGAGACCTCTTATATTAAAGCACGTTTTGATAAATTGGTTGTAGAAAATGCCCCTCCCTTTTCTCGCACTTGTGTTATCTGGGTCCATTCCCTCTTTTGTCTGCCCTCAATCACCTGCTCCAAGGTGTCCAGGCTGAGGCTGACCATGAGCTCACACTGCCTCCCTGTGCCAGGTTCATGCATAGCACTTGGCATAACTGCTGCCCTGAGGCTGGAAGGGATGGGATCAGTCTTTATTCTGTGTTGCTCACTGATGCTCACCATCCACATGCACTCATTGTTTTAGATGGGGAGACTGACTGCATTTGCAGTGATGTCTGGATGAGCACTCACATTCATTTCAATACAGAAAGTCACAGGGAGGGTAGTGGGGAGGGTCTGTCTTGAGGACCTGCCACTACAAGTCTCCTGGGCTCCAGGCAAGGGGCGGAGACCTCTGCCTACTCCTGGTGGCACCCTTCTCCATGGGATGATGCATCTGTTCCTTACTTTTTTGACCAAGGGAAGTGATACTTTTTCTCTCGTCTTTTATCTTCACTTTCCTATCTAATTTCCATGAGAATTTCTGGATTAGTTTCTAAGTCCTGGGGAGGACTTGGTATGAGAGGAGCAGGACAGCAAAAATGGGGAGCTGCATTTAGCATTCAGAGTTCCCTCATTGCCTGAAAGATAAAGTCCAATGGCTTAGGCTAGACTTCAAGGCCCATCAGGATCTGGCTGTTACCTGCTTTCTAACTTCAGCTCTGTGCATCCTGTGCTTCAATCAAAAAGGTTACAAATCCTGCCCATGTTATTCCCTCTGCCTGGAACACTCTTTTCCACACCTTGATTCTGGCCCAAATCACCTTCTGTACCAAAGAGGTACCAAACAGGTACAACTTCCTAAATAACTAGTCCTAAGCCTGGGCATAGGGTGCAAGCAAAGAGAAATACATGTCACATCCAAAATAGCCTCTACCCTTACCTATGGTTCCAAGACCAGACTGGCGTCAACTGCTAGTCTTTAATTTTGATCTGAGACCTCCTGCATACCAGTCCAGACTCAGCTCAAATATACCACCTCTGCAGGTCTTTCCTGAGCCTGACTCCATCACATCTTCCCTGGATTCAATGATTTGTGTCTATTACATCTCAGTGTCTGTTGTGCCTGATTCAGTGGCCTGGCACCATTGTAGGCACTCAATGAATGCATAAACCATCCCAGGTCCATGATTTACGAGGTGGCTAAGATGGTGGAGAGATAAGTGACTTGAAGAGGCAGAGGCTTAGTGAGTAGGAAGCAACAAAAGAGCAGGTGCAAAGAAAGCACCTTAACCCCCTAATGCATCCTCCCGCTTCCTCACCCCTCTTGCTGAGGTTGTCAAGCTAGGTTTCTCTTCCTGGCTCCAGGCTCTCCATTTCCCTCTGAGTTTACACCTATATCTTCACAAACTCTGACACTCCCCACCCCCAATCTGGGGCCAAATTTGAGAGCCAAATGCCCTGGATCAGGTTGAGCCCTTGAGTACTTCCTAGCTGAGATCCAAAGACAAGGTTCAAATACAAGATCCACAATTTATTTATTGGTGTGGAGTCTTAGGCAAACTTCCTCACTTTTTGTAGCTTGTTTCCTTGATTGTAAAATTGACATGGCAATTTTTTTTCTGTGCCTCTCATGTGGCTTGGGTGAAAATCATATCCAATGATGGATAAGAAAGAACTTCCTAGAAATGCTGTAGATGACTATTGTTATGATGATAATTGATAAAAATAAATGCATGGAATGTTGCTATTTCCTGCATTCTTTCATGAAAGCTGAGGGTAAAAGAAAGGTGCAGTCAAGGAATTGAGAAATATCACATTGGCCAACATATTGAACCAACTTGAAGAAATTAACTAAGTTTTTAGGGCTTTTTATTATCTCTTAGCAATGAAACAGAGTGGGCTAGACTGAATCCAAAGCGTTCCTGTACCTCATGTGTAAAGGCAGTGTAGACTAATGGTTTGGAGTCAAATTACCTGGATTCAAATCCCATCTCTGGCAACTAGGTAGAGCTACTTAAGCAGTAGCTTAGTGTCTCTGTGCCTCAATGTGTTAGTAAAATGGGAACGATTTTAATAATGATACTTATCCAATGGTCTTGTTTCAACTAGGTACAGCAATCCCTATTAATCATTCGGAAATGTGGCTGGCACACAGTAAATGTCATCTTTGATCATTTCCTCTATTAGCTTCCTGCTTATTGGGGGTTGACAGTTTTGCTTTTGCTCCCATCTTGAATAAAATAATGAAGTTCAATAATAACTAGGCAGAGGGCAAGGAAAAAAAACACCTACTGAAAGATTGGCTCATAACTGAGGATAGAAATGGTCTTAGCAACCCTCTAGTCCAATTCTCTCATTATAGAAATGGGAAAACTGAAGCCCAGGGAGGAAATATTTTTCCTGAGGTTATATAACAAATTCAGTTCAATTTATTGACTCTTTTCTCATGCCTGTTATACACCGAGCATTATCCACATTTCTGTGGATAAGTGGATGAATGAGAAACAGTTCTTTGCCTTTGCAGAATATTTCCCAAAATGTATCACTTGCAAAACGAAGTTACCTTGGTTGAAATTTAACTCAGAAAATTCTGGATTAAAGAAAACAAACAGGGTTTTTGCCTTGTGCACTGCTCATCCCGGAGGCAGTCTGCCATGCACAGTGTAGGACATGAGTCTTCTGTTCCCTTAGGGTCCATCTGGTGGGATTTGTGCTTTGTGGCCCATCCAATGGACATGTGACTCTGGCTAGAAGTTCACGGAGTAGTTCAGGGTGGGGGATATATGGAAAGAGATTTAGCAGTTCCTTTATGGGATGTATACCAGAGGAATATAAATCATTCTACCATAAAGACACATGCATGCAAATGTTCATAGCAGCACTATTCACAATAGCAAAGATGGACTGAACTTAAATGCTCATTGACAGATTGAATAAAGAAGATGTGGTACATATACACCATGGAATACCTTACAGCCGTAAAAAAGAATGAGATCATGTCTTTTGTGAGAACATGGATAGAAATGGAGGCTATTATCCTTAGCAAACTAACGCAGGAACAGAAAACCAAATACCACATGTTCTCGCTTATAAGTGGAAGCTAAATGATGAGAACTTATGAGCACAAAGCGGGACACAAGAGACACTGGGGTCTACTCAAGGGTGGAGGGTAAGAGGAGGGAGAGGAGTGGAAAAGATAATCATTAGGTAATGGGCTTAATTCCTGGTTGATGAAATAATCTGTAAAACGAACCCACGAATTTACTTGTGTACATACCTTCACATGTACCTCCGAACCTAAAATAAAAGTTTAAAAGAGATATTTATTAGAAATTTACTGGTGATGAGGAAGAGATGGGGTACACAATAGTGTTCAGGTAGACCACCCCTGAGGGCACAAAGCCCTCTTCCCTCTGCCTAATGTTTTTTGAGGATGAAATCTCCTTCCATGGACCACGTAAGAACAGTCTTAGTCAATGCCAAGCACACACACTTTAGGAGTTGTAGTAAGCAACTGAGATGTTGAAGGAGGGAGAAGCAACAAGATGACAATCATATCAAGACAATGACGAGGGCAGGATGAGGGTGCTAGCCACTACTTACATGATGTCTACTGTGAGCCCGGCCTGCCTTTACTTGTCTCATTACCTGTATTAACCCATTCAATTCTGATATCAACCCTTTGAGGTAGGTACCATTATTACCTACGTTTTGCATATGAGGAAACAGACACAGGTAGCTCAATGACTTGCCCAAGTTCATGTAGCAAGTAAGTGGAGGAGCTGAAGTTTGAATTGAAGCAATGAGCTTTATTGTGGTCTTGGACCCATAGGTAGGGGTGGGAACTGCTTTTGATGTGATGTGTATTTCTCTTTGCCTGCATCATATGCCCAGGTGTAGGACTAGTTATTCAGGAAGTTGTACCTGTTTGGTACTTTCATCTATCATTGTGGTCACAAATATTCGGGTGGAGGGATTTTGCTTCGTATGGGCAGTGCAGCTACCTGGGTGTGGGAGGGGAGAGGAAAGGTCCTTCCTGCTCATGTCTACCTTTCTCCTGTTCCAAAGATTTGCCCAGATGCCAATGTCCCCATGTTTACTGCCTTTTCTATGCTCAGTACTTCATTTACACTTGCCTGAGGCACCTCCTGTGTACCTTGTTTACAAATTATTGGCACAGATCTGTGGATGTTCCCTAGATAAGTCATAGCTGCTTGAAGGTAAAGGTCAGTTCTTATTCCTGTCCCTAGATTTCCCACTTCAGGGCTTTGCTCAGTTATTACTGTTAAATGAATAAATGAATGACTTTGGAACCAATGGGTAGAACTAACTAAGAAACCTCCCTCTAAAGTGGAAATACCATATGTGGTAATCAGTTAGTGCTACCAGACACTTCCATCCTCCCGCCTTCCAGGAACATGATAAAATGACATTTCTTCATCTCCTTTGAAATTGGATATGGCTGTGTAACCTGCTCTGGGAAATGAAATGTGAGTCGAAGAGATATAAGTGTTGCTTCTGGGAAAAAGGTTTGAGAGCCAGTGTGCGATTTGTCATACTCTGACATGATGGTGGTAACACTTCAGATAGTGGCTGCCCCACCAACCTGAGTCCAAGTGGCTTGGAGCAAAGCCCCTCAGTGGACTTGTGGCATGGACAAGCAGTGAATTTTTGTAATTTAAACCTCTGGGATTTTAATGCCATTTGTTTCTAGAGTATAACCTAGCTCATCCCGACTGATGTATCACAGAAGATCTTCTGGGAGACCATTCTGAAAATGAACACCACTCTTGCCAAGCATAAAGACAAGACAGAAAGTCCACAGGGAGCTTGAATTAGAGGGAAAGTCCTGCTGTTATTGGTTTAGAATCCAGTTTTTTTAATTTTTTAAATTTTTAAACTTTTTATTTTTTTGAGATAGAGTCTCCCTCTGTCACCCATGCTGGAGTGCAGTGGCGTGATCTTGGCTCACTGCAAGCTCCTCCTCCTGGGTTCAAGCAATTTTCCTACCTCAGCCTCCTGAGTAGCTAGGACTACAGGTACATGCCACCACGCCCGGCTAATTTTTGTATTTTTAGTAAAGATGGGGTTTCATCATGTTGGCCAGGCTGGTCTCAAACTCCTGACCTCATGTTATCCACCCGCCTTGGCCTCCCAAAATGTTGGGATTATAGGCATGAGCCACCGCTCCTGGCCCAGAATCCGGTTTTAAGAATAGCAGAGGAGTGGAAATGAAGCTGTAAGACTGAGTGCAATAGAAATGCTAAATGAATCTGGAAGGGTCACTTGGTCTATAAGCCATGGCTAGGGAGGTGGCAGGGAGCAAGGATGACTGACATCTAAAGCGGAGGATGGATGGGGTTGTGCGGGGGCCACAACTTGTGGTCTGTGTTCTATTCTGATCATATAATATTTTTTAAAATTTTGCATTAATTGCCATTATTTAAAAGTCCAGATTTTTGATGTGTCTGGAACAAATCAGAAGACCAGAATGATGAGATATGCTACTGCCTTTACTGTATACATGCTGCAGGTGCCTAATATCTGTGGTCAGGCCTGCTTCATTTATTGACCTGCCTAAGCCTGGAGCCCTTAGGATCAGAGACCCCTTTATGATTTAGAGGTGGGACATCTCATCTCGATCTACCTTATAGCTATTAAATGTTATTACAGGCAAAACAGTGCACTTTCCTCCTCTGGATTTTGAGAGCAATTGCTCTTTCCGGTGCTAAGACAAGAACTGTCTTATGGTCAGTTTTGAAAGAACAAAGATGCCCAAGACTTTGACACGTCTACGCACACATAAGACAAAATGATTCTGAGATGTGCGACTCAAGTTAGACATGTCAAAACCAGGAGCCTTTAAAAGTAAAAATGGCAGACAAGATCGAAAAGTCTTTTGTTCTGGCTGTTTGCAAATTGGCCATGCCAGTTTTCCCTTTTTGCAAATGGACTGGATTGAGAGAAGATAAAGGTGAAACTTGCTGCAAGAGAAAGTGAAAAGTGGGCAGAGAGAGGATTGTTGGAGAGGTCTGAGCATGGAGGAGAAAGTTATATAAGGCTTCAGAGAAACTCTTTGGTGAGATCGTTGGGCTCAGCAGATGAGAGACATGTGGAACAAACACAGGGAGAACAAAGGCAGTAGAGGAAATCCAGGCAGGATCAGCAGATAAGTCAGAGGAAGAAGACAAAGGCAGCTAAATTTAAACAGGAGAGAAAAGATGCCTCAGCGGGGCCAGGAGCAGTCTATAAATACCTTGAAGGCAACAACCTCCAGAAAGAAAGGAAGGATTATTCACTGTCTCCCCAGATGTAGGACAGAGACAGGGGCCAGAAGGAAGCTGAGCTGGCGTCAGGCTGTTCGACCCAGGGAAATAATATGATGTTTGTACTGTGGTAGGAACTGGGCAGTGAGTGGGGACACCAGCTCCTGGGTGGCTGCTCAAAGTGGGATCGCCTCCAGGCTAAGCCAGCCTGGGACACTTCAGAGACCACCAACCCCTTGCACAGTTGATCTCTGCTGACCAGGAAAGCATCCTCTTGTGGGGAAGGAATCCCCTCGGCTCTGAATGCCGAGACTCGCTGGTGCTCTTTCAAGTCACTTAACTTCTCTAGCTTTTGTCTTTCCTCTTTGTAAAATGGGGGCAATTGTTGTTCGCCTAACAGGGATGTATGAGGATCAAATGAGCTTTTGTGTATGAATGGGTTCTGAAAGCTGTAAAGCCTAGGACTGATCGAAGAAGTATGCTCTGTCCGAGAACCACCTGCCTTTGTTTTCACAGCTGGTCAGGGACATTGTTAAGGGGAAGGAAGATTTCTTCCTTCCCTGTTTCTTTCCTGTTCTTCTCATTTGCATTCTCTCTTGTGTTCTTCCTTCAAGCATTTCGTGATGCACTAACACTCCCCTCAGCCCTGGATATATGGCCCTGAGCAGAGCAGAGTCCTTGCTTTTAAGGAGTTAAAAGCTCAATACAGAGAGCAGACATGAACCCAGATAACTTCCTCCTGGTGCCATAGTGCCACCGCAGAAGCAGGGGCATAGCCATGAGCGGCTGAGGAGAAGAGGTGCAGTTCAAATGGGAGGAGGAGCATGTAGCAATGTGCAGAGATGGGAACATCATACTGCGAGTTAGGGAACTGCAGACAATTCAGTGAAGGCTGAAACATGGGCTATGTCTACTGTAGAGGAGCCTGAGACAAGTCTAGTGGGATATACAGGGCTGTGTCTGCAGGACCTTCTAGCCCAAGTCAAGGACCCATGTCCTGTTGATAGAGGGGATGCAGAGAAGGGTTTGGAGCAGGGGAGTACCACAATGACCTTTTTTTTTCATTTTATTTAATAGAAAGTCCTCTATGTAGGCAATGTGGATGAGGGACTCAGGCGAATGGCCTGAGCAGAGCCCTGTTCCATTCCCGCTACACATTTGTGTGTGTGTTTGAGGTGGGCAGGGGATTTGAGAAATCTGAGGCACGAGGATTGATGGAGGCGGGTAAAGGGTTAACTCTGGGGCTGAGCTGAGGCTGATGGGTGAAAGTGCTAATTAGCTGAGGGCAAGGTCCAGGAAATTGCCGAGGTTGTGCTTCCTCGCTTAGGCTGAAGATAATACCACTTCCATCCCATACTTCTTCTGGGAGGAAACGCCACCCTAGGGCCCAGCTTCCGTAACTGAGGAGCAGAGCCGGGCACTGCCTCGAGTTCCTTTCTCCTGCCTATTTGCATTTGCGTTTGAGAAATGGAGGGGGTGGGCAGGGTGAAGCCAAGTCATCATTAAAACTTCTTGAATAGAGAATTTCATGGTGGAAGAAAGCCCTAAAGATCACGTGCAGCAGACAGCCTTTGGGGAACTCACCCAGCTCCCACCGTATAATCTGAGAACAGTTGTTCTGCCTTGCTCTCCCCATCCCATGTAAGCAGAAATGGACTCTAGTCCATGTTCTTAGGGAATATTTCTTATTCTCTAGTCACAGCTGATTGGGCAAGTAGTGGGTACCTGGCTCAGGAGAACAACCCAGAACCTGGGCTGGCCCAATCATACCCTCCCCAGAAAATTTGGAATTGGGTTGCAGAGATAATTGTTTAGCTTGCTGTGTGTCTTGACCTTCTCAGATGATCTAGAATTGAGATCTGAAGGGGCCATCTTGGGTAATGGGATGTATGTAGTACAACAGGAAGAGCTCATTTGCAGAGAGAATGCTTTGAAAACAAACTGAATGACAATGTAATGAAAGAGAGTGAAAAAGAGAGAGAGAAAGATAAGCAAATAAAGAAAAAAAGGAAGCAAGAGAAAGACAGGGAGGGATGGCCTTGGCAGCTGAATGACTTTTGTTTTTGGTGTTCCTGTGCTTGGCTTCTGTAAGATACTCCTATATCATTCCAGTAAACTCTTTTTATTTAAGTTAGTTTGAATTTTTTTTGTAACCAAATGGTTACAAAAAACAAAAACAAAAACAAAACAACTAGTCTTGCTCCTTCACAATCAAGAAAGTTTGCACCTAAAATTTCCACACCCTTTTTTTTGGGAGAAACTCTGTGAGATATTTCATTATGTGCTTTCTGGTTAACACTTTCAATATCTTTTACTCTTCTAGTTAGAAAGTCCTGCTTGAGAACCTGCCTAAATGTCTTTTGTTACATCTCAAGATCAATAACTTTTGTTCTGTGATAGATCATTTCTTTTTTATGTTCTGTCCTCTTTTCTTTACAGTAATTTTTACATAATAAATATTTATAATTTTTTTCTATTGAATAGATAAAAAAAACCTTTAGCAACCTCCAACAGTTAGCTGAAAAAAGAGAGAGGAAGAACAATGTGACTTTGGACTAATAATAAAAATCAATGCCTAATTGCACATTGTTTGGAAAATAGTGCAATCTCTTAAAAAAAGATGGTAGAAATTAGCTGGGGATTCATCATCATGATTGAAGAATCCAAAGTATAGCACAAGAATTCAAAGGGCTTATCAGCCCTTCCTAACATTCTGGCAGCAATTTAGAGTTTCAAGGAGTTTAAGAGATTCTGAAAAGATAGATTTCTCAAATTGAGGCTTTCTGAATGATTAAGGATTTCTATCCCTGACCCTCAGCAACTTTCTGGCTGATTGGAAAAATTTCTGTTTTTTTTTCTCAGAGTTTCTGGTAGAGAGTGGGTAAGAGCAAAGATCTCAGGTCAGACAGGTTTCACATTCTGGGCTAAGCCACTCTGTTGTCTCAGATTACTTAACCTTTTAACCCCTGTTCTTTATTTAAATGGGCCTAAAGATAGTCCCTACCCATATAGGAAAAACAAATGGTTTTTCCTTCTGTACTCACAGAACGCTTCACTTTCCACACTGGATGTGTGGTTTTCTTTTTTTCCCAACACCAACCAGCTCTCTTATTCTCCCAACACCAACTGGGTGTCCTAGAATTCAATAATGACACAACCTACCTGAAGTTGGAACCAGATCCCACAAGTTAAGGGCTCAGTCCCACAAGACTGCCCCCACCTCAGATGCCAGTCTCACCTCCAGGCCTCTTTTATTCTCAGCTGCCCATTATAAATGGAGGATTCCCATAACCTTCTCCTCAGGGTGGATAACTTGCTATGACAGTGCCACAGAACTCAGAGAAACACTTGCTTATAAAAAGGATAGAGGATGAAAAGGCCCATGGGGGTTGGAAAAGCCCCAAGAGCAGGAGCTTCTGTCCCCATGTAGTTGGGGTACACCACCCTCCTGGCGTGCGATGTGTTCTTGTTTATTGACCCTTCTGCTCTCTGAACCTCATACTTTAGGAGAGTTTCATCACATAGGCATAATGTGGCTTTATTATGCAAGGTAATTTGTGGAAACTTCATTATGTAGAAATGATCATTATTAACTCAATCTCCAGCTCCTCTCCCCTCACCCAAGGATAGGAGCAGGGGGTTGGCTAAAAGTTCTGAGCTTCCAGTCATGGCTTGGTCTTTCTGGTGACCAGCCCCCATTCAGGAGCTACCAGGAATCATCTCACTGGCTGGTAGCAGTAGCTCATGCCTATAATCCCAGCACTTTGGGAGGCTGAGGTCGGCAGATCATGAGGTCAGGAGATCGAGACCATCCTGGTTAACATGGTGAAACCCCGTCTCTACTAAAAATACAAAAAATTAGCTGGGTGTGGTGGCACATGCCTGTAGTCCTAGCTACTTGGGAGGCTGAGGCAGGAGAATTGCTTGAACCAGGGAGGTGGACTTTGCAGTGAGCCGAGATCACGCCACTGCACTGCACTCCAGCCTGGGTGATAGAGTGAGACTCCATGTCAAAAAAAAAAAAACAAAAACAAACAAACAAAAAAGAATTATCTCATTAGAACAAAAGATATTCCTCTCACCCAGGAAATTCCAAGGGATTTAGGAGCTCTGTGTCAGAAACAAGAAATGAAGACCAAATATGTATTTCTTATTATATCACAATATCTTACTACTTCTTAGAGATGTGGGGAGCTCATGTTTGTAAGGTTCTCTTTAACACGTTTACTGTTGCGAGTGGCCTTAGAAATATAGCTTCTAGGAAGTAATGGGGCTGGAAAGGATGATGGAATGCCTCTGATTGGATGCTTTCAGCTGTGATCACAGAAAACTGACTGGTTTAAATAAAAAGGAATTTTAAAAATCAGCCATCCCTGAAAGTCCTGAGGTGGGAGGTGCTGCAGGTTAGCGTGAGATAGTAGACAGAGATGTCATTACTCATCTATCCTCTTTGCAATCCTTAGGAAATTGTCTTTGCCTTCAGCCAGGCTCCCTGTTGGTTACAAATTAGCTGCAGAAGTTTCAGGTGTCTCAGTGAGACACAAACATTTTTAGAGAAACAAGAGGCCATACCTACTTTGCCTTTCCAAAAGGGGTGAGAAAACTCTTCCTAGAAGGCCCCAAGAGTCTTCTTTTAATGTCTTCTGGTTTGATTTTGGTCATATGCCTGTTTCTCAGCCACTCACTGGCAACAGGGATAAACTGAAACACAGTTGCTTAGATTATTCATGCTGTGAATTTTGAATAAAGGTGGTTTACATTAGTAAGGAAGCAGGAGGGAAGGGGTGTTTGATAGGCAACTAAGTGCTCACTCTGGAGACTTTATTCATCTGTATTTGTTTACCAGGCTGTCATAATAAAATGCTGTAGGCTGGGAGGCTTAAACAACAGAAACTTATTTCTCACAATTATGGAGGCTGGAAGTCCAAGAGGAAGGTGTCAGCAAGTTTGGTTTCTTCTGAGGCCTCTCTCCTTTCAAATGACTGCCTTCTCACTGCTTCCTCACATGGTTGTCCCTTCGTGTTGTGTCTGTGTTCTAATCTTGTCTTCTTATAAGGACACCAGTCATATTGAGTAAGGACTCACCCTAGTGATCTCATTTAATTTTAATTACCCCTTTAAAGGTCCTAGCTCCAAATATACTCACATTCTTAGGTACTAAAGGTTAGGACTTTACCATATACATTTTGGGAGACACAATTCATCCTATGTTATCACCCAACCCACTCCTTTTATACGTTGGAAAAATTGAGGCCTGTTAAAGGAGCTGCGGTCTGTCTCGAATCACGCATACTCTCTAGACTCACGCAAATTTTTCACAATTTTAATAGTGAATTTTTAGCCCCTTGAGCTATGGTTCCAAACCTTAAGAATTAAATCTGTGCTTGGCCAACCCCTAACATACAACTTGCAACAAGCTTGTTTCTGGCCGCTGAACTATTGGTTGGAGGCATGTGCTGGTTTGCCAGCAGGAGACTAGGCCGGTAAGGACACATTGATTGACTTCTTTACCACCTATTGCTTGGCCTGGAAGATGGCCATCTAATCTTAGAGACTGCCTGTGCTTCAGCAAGCATCACCTGGTAGGAGAATTAGCACTTCCTGAAAAGAAAGAACGTGCATTTGGGCTGGGAGATATAGGGTTTCCCATCCTTGGCTTTATTGGATTTAAGGATGTAAGTTAACCAGCTATATAGTCTGATACTGGAAGGCCTAAGCAAAGTTAACAGGTCTCCTACCTTGTTCCCTAAACTGAGAGCTTCTCAGAGCCTTTATTATGCTGCTGCATTTTGTGAGTATATTCACAAAGTGGTATACAATACACAGCATTTTCTAAAGTGACTGTGGAGCCCTCTTTTCACACATTTGGGAAGTTCTGGTCTGCAGCAGTGCTCCCTAACCTTTTCCATGGCCTATCTATTCCATGAATAGAATTAACATTTGTTTGGCATCCTGGTAGATGCTTCAGGACTTTGGCTGCTCAGATCCAGCCTGGCTGCTTTAAGGTAGGCAGAGTGGTTGGGAAACTCTGGTCTAGACTCTTTATAAATTAGATATCCTCAGGCCCACAGACAAGAAAATCAGCCTTGCTTATAGAGCCTCCTGGATTCCTCAGTTGCCAGGCACCTGACGACTATACAAGGATAAGGGTCTCTGCATGGGGTCCAACCCCATAGATCTTCATTCCCTGGATGCCCCCTTCTCTCCCTCCCTCCCCTTGTGATTCTCATTTTTATTCTCTCTCCTCCTCTCTTTCTTTAACATAATTTACCTCTCTCTCTTTCTTTCTTTCTGCTTACCACTCCCAGATGGATAGATACATATACACTCATGCACACAAGTTATAGAGGATGGTGCTGATGTATAGAGAATAAGTAGAGCTCATTAATGATGGGAATAGGCACACCAGTTTATTTATTTCTTTATTAACTTTTAAGTTCAGGGGTACAAGTGCAGGTTTGTTACATAGGTAAACTTGTGTCATGGGGGTTTGTTGTACAGATTATTTCATCACCCAGGTATTAAGCCTAGTAACCATTAGTTGATTTTCTTGATCCTCTTCCTTCTTCCACCCTCTACCCTCCAAAAGGCCCCAGAGTTTATTGTTCCCTTATATGTGTCCGTGTGTTCTCACCATTTAGCTTCCATTTGTAAGTGAGAACATGTGGTATTTGGTTTTCTGTTCCTGTGTTAGTTTGGTGAGGATAATGGCCCCCAGCTCCATCCATGTCTCTGGAAAGGACATGACCTCATTCTTTTTTATGGCTTCATAGTATTCCATGGTATATATGTACCACATTTTCTGTATCCAGTCTATTATTGATGGGCATTTAGGTTGAGAGTATGTCTTTGCTATTGTGAATAGTGCTACAATGAACATATGTGTGCATGCGTCTTTATAATAGAATGATTTATATTCCTTTGCATATAAATCCAGTAATGAGATTGCTGAGTTGAATGGGATTTCTGACTTTAGGTCTTTGAGGAATTGCCACACTGTTTACCACAATGGTTGAACTAATTTGCACTTCTACCACCATTGTATAAGCATTCCTTTTTCTCCACAACCTCGCCAGCATCTGTTATTTTTTGACTTTTTAAATAATTGCCATTCTGACTGGTGTGAGATGGTATCTCATTGTGGTTTCATTTGCATTTCTCTAGTGATCGGTGATGTTGAGCTGTTTTTTCATATGATTGTTGGCCACATGTATGTCTGTATGTCTTCTTTTGAAAACTGTCTGTTCATGTCCTTGCTCACTTTTTTATGGGGTTGATTTTTTTTTTTGTTTTTTGTAAATTGTACACCAGTTTTAGAGAGAAGCCATGAGCTGGCTGCTCCTACAGCAGTGAAATGACTTTCTTCGTTCTCTGCCCAGTAGCTCTGGTGCCCACACCCCTGCCTCCTACTGCAGGACTGCAGGGTAAGACACCGAGGGCATAACCTCCAGCCTCAGCACACTGAAGGCGCTCTCGATCATACAGTAGGTGACTCAGGGCAAGCCTGCTGCTCACTCTCATCTCACACCCCTACTCCATCATCTCCACTTTCCCACTGGCCAGAACTGGTACTCTAGTTATAATAAGGTTGCATCTTGACTTCCATTTTCTCAATCATCTCATTCCTCTTCCCGAAGGAACTGGAGTTCTGTTACCTGCTGTTATAGACTGAATTCTGTCCCCCTAAAATTCATATGATGAAGCCCTAACCCCCAGTGTGACTTTATTTGGAGACAATGCCTTAAAGGGGTAATTAAAGTTAAAGGAGGTCATAAGTATGGGGCCCTAATCCAATATGACTGGTGCTGGCTGGGTGCGGTGGCTCACACCTGTACTCCCAGCACTTTGGGAGGTGGAGGTGGGCAGATCGCTTGAGGTCAAGAGATCAAGACCAGCCTGGCCAACATGGTGAAACCTGTCTCTATTAAAAATACAAAAATTAGTGAGGCTAAAAAATTACCCAGCTACTTGGGAGGGTGAGGCAGGATAATTGCTTGAACCTGGGAGGAGGTGGAGGTTACAGTGAGCAGAGATCACACCACTGCACTCCAGCCTGGGCAGCAGAGCAAGACTCAGTCTAAAAAAAAATAACAACAACAAAGAACAATATGATTAGTGCTGTTATGCTGTTATAAGAGGAGAGAATGACACCCGGGGGCGCATGTGCTGAGGAAAGGCTGTGTGACGACCCTGTGAGAAGGCAGCTGTCTGTAAGCCAAGGAGAGAGGTCTCAAAGAAAGCAAACCCGCAGACACCTTCATTTTGGACTTCCAGAACAGTGAGAAATACATTTCTGTGGTTTAAGCCATCCATTCTGTGGTTTGTTATAGCAGCCCCGGCAGACTAATACATTTGCTGCCACCTGCTGCCATGTTCTTGACACTGCTTTCCAGCTGGGATCCTTGTTTACTGACCTCTATACAGCAGGTTATTTAGTTTAGAAGCAAGACATTTGGGTTTGAAACCCTGCTTGTGTTTGAATCCTGTCCCTGCCACTTGCTGGCTGGGTAACCTTGAGTAAACTCAGTAAACTCCCTTATCTTCATTTCATTTTTGATGAGAAAGGATAACAATACCTTCCTCAGAGGCTCAAATAAGATATATGCAAAGTGCTAAGAACTTGGCCTGGTACATGTTAGTATTAATAACAAAGTTATTAAAAATTCTGGCTTGTTAAGTTGATATAATGATACCATAGGTGAATAAGATAGAAGGCAAATGAGACAACTTATGTTGTACATGTTGTGTTTGGCACAAAGTCAGGGCTTAATACTGGTTGGGTCTCTTTCCTACAAGTCTGCCATGTTCCCTTGGTTTGTATGCACTCTGTGCCTGGTGCTGAGCCCCTGACTGTTATAACTGCCTGTAGATCCCACATTCCAACTGTTGGACTAGTCTCCTGCCCATGCTATCATAGCTCTCTTACCTGTTTAATTTTTTTATCCTTAGCATTGATTACTAGCTTGCCTACTGTATATATATATTTAACTTATTTAATTTATTCATTTTTTCTTTCCTTTGGAATATAAGCTTCACGAGGGTATGGCGTATTGTAGACACTCAGTCTAGAATTGTCAAAAGAGTGAATGAATGAACAAATGGTAGATGCAAAAGCAGATTCCAGTGCATGGAGGGGGAAATAATGTATTATTGTGGCTAAATGCTCAGGGTCTGAAGCCAGAGGAACAGAATTCAAATCCCGACTTTATTACTTTCTAGCAGTGGGTTTTAGACCAGTTGTTTAGATGTAAGAATCAAATGAATAAATACAAGTAAGTGCAGAGAATGGTACCTGTAAGAGCCTAGTAGACATCAAGTGGTGCTCTCGAGAAGTTATAGAGAAATTGATGGGAATCAGTAATGGGGAAAACCTATGACTCTTTCTTGATATTTGAATAAGAAAGTGTATTAGTCTGTTCTCATGCTGCTATAAAGAACTTCCCAAGACTGGGTAATTTATAAAGAAAAGAGGCTTAATTGACTTACAGTTCTGCAGGGCCGGGGAGGCCTCAGGAAACTTACAATCATGGTGGAAGAGGAAGCAAACACGCCTTTCTTCATGTGGTGGCAGGAAGGAGAAGAATGAGCAAAAAAGGGGGAAAAGATCCTTATAAAACCATCAGATCTCATGAAAACTCACTCAATATCATGAGAACAGCAGCATGGGGGTAACTGCCCCCATGATTCAATTGCCTGCCACCAAGTTCCTCCCATGACACGTGCGGATTATGGGAACTACAATTCAAGCTGAGATTTGGGTGGGGATACAGCCAAACCATATCAGAAGAGAGTGAGGGGGTAAAAATTAGATAAATAGGCTCTAGAGTACAAAAATAGGATTTCTCTTCTCTATGATGAGAAATTAATTCTCATCCTGACTTTGCAATTCCACTGGACCACATTCAAGTCCAGAAGAGGAATTCAGGGCCAGGCATTCCTACCTAGAATAGGTTCACAGGAATAACGAAGTTCAGTTAGCCCCACTTATTGTCAACTCTTAACACTGGTGTGGTATATGACAGGTGGCAAAGCCCTTCTACCTGCCTCTTCCCTGGTCCCTTCCTCACTGCAGCCCTGGGAGGAGGTAGACTTTCTTCTTATTTTATCCATGAGAACACTGAGGCTCTCAACAGGTTCTACTTACTTGAGATCATGGAGCTTCAAGAGCAAGGGCCAGACTGCAAACCAAACTCCTCTGAGTCTAATGCTAGGCGAGTCTCTCTGTTGTCATACACTGATTAGTTGTAACAGTGGGGAGGAAAGTAGAAACTTTGGTGCCATTTTTCTCCAGAAATAAGATCCAGTCTTCTTTCTTTGTATAAGTGGTACTTTGTTATCTCCTGGAAAAAAAATTGTTCTTCCACTTTTGCAGAGTTTTGTTTTCTGTTATGTGAGATCATAAGAGTTACCATAGCCTGTGTGGGAGCTGAACTTAATGCAGTGGGGGGTCGATCGATTCTAAAGCAATTGGAGAGCTGAGTGTCTCTCTTAAAAGGCAATTGTGTTTTATTGAATTTTTCAATTCTCAACTACAGGGGGATTACAGGATTGCCTGAGTGCTGGTTGTTGGAACAAGGGAAGGTCTCTCCATAGGTCTGGGTTGTGTAGAAAGAAGCAGCTCAGTGCAGTGTGGAGATGGCACACTGGGGCCTTAGAGTCCATGCCTAGTATATGAGTATTTTGTTTAGGATGCCCAGTATATTACATCAAATACATTTTATTTTGCTAGTATTAAAATCCAGAATATTTCACATAAACTTATGGGTTTATTTTTCTTTTGAAAAAAAGAAGATCTGGCAACACTGGACCCCGTTCTATGGCAACAATTGGCTAGGTCTGAATATCGGATGCTCCCCTCAAATGAGGCATGAGTCCTTCAGTTTGTCACAGCCCCCTCCATCACCTATGGTCTTACATCCCTTCCATTTCACTGATGACCCTAGAGGATATTTTGGTTTGTAACCATAAATAATATAATAATAAAAATGGGAGACTTGAGTAACAGTTCTGATGCCAAAATGCTATAGCGGTGTTGGACAAATCTCTTAAGCTCATTAGAATTTGGTCAATTCATATGTGAAAGGAGATATTGTCTTAACACGTGAAGGTGATTGAAACAGCTGATGCATTCATCAATATATGTATTCAGCTAATGTTTACAGAGTATATATATCATGCATGTTCCTGGTGGCCGAGATAGATATTGTGAATCTTATTGTTCAGTGGAGAAAGCAGATAACTCCCTAAGTGGGGAAATACAGGGTGCTATGAGGATACATTGCAGCAACATCTTACCGGGCCTAGAGTTTAGAGAAGACCTTCAGGGAGAAGTGAGATTTAAATCTAGACTTGAGCAATGAGGAGTAATGGGAAGAACAGTGTCCCAGGCAGAGAGAACAGCATATATGAAGGCTGGAAATGAGAAAGCAAGGCATGTTTGAGCAACTCAAAGGAATATCATGTCACTAGAAAAGGATGGGAAGTGAGGCTGGAGAGATGAAGAAGCATCAGATTATGAAGGGATTGGAAGCCAAGAAGTACTATGGTTGGTTTTAGTTTAGGACTTTATATTTTAAGACTTCAATATATAAACTTGGTTTGAGTTTACTTCTTCAGCTATTCAAGGAGAAGCAAGTGGAATGTGAACAGATCCAAAGCACCAACATGTGAGATGGAAAGCCTTTCCCTAAGAGTAAATAAGGAAACAAATAATTAATTTATTAATCATGGATCCCAGTTGAGTCTGGTGAGATGCAGAGCCACTTGACATTTAGGTGTTTGCATTAAGCAAAATATAGTTGACTCCTTTTTTTTTTTAACATTAATTTATTTTTTTTTGAAACAGAGTCCTGCTCTGTCACCCAGGCTGGAGTGTAGTGGCACAACCTTGGCTCACTGAACCTGTGCCTTACAGGTTCAAGCGATTCTCCTGCCTCAGCCTTCCAAGTAGCTGAGACTACAGGCATGCACCACCATGCCTGGCTGACTTTTGTATTTTTAATAGAGACAGGGTTTCACCATGTTGGCCAGGATGGTCTTGAACTCCTGACCTCAAGTGATCCACCCGTCTTGGCCTCCCAAAGTGCTGGGATTGCAGGCGTGAACCACAGAACCTGGCCACAAAATACAGTCGACTCTTGAACAATGTGAGGGTTAGGAATGCTGACCCCTGTTTAGGCAAAAATATGCTTATGAATTTAAACCCCTAAAAATGTAACTACTAATAGCCAACTGTTGACAGGAAGACTTACTGGTAACAAACAATTGATTAACACATATTTTGGATGTTATATGTATTATATACTGTATTCTTACAATAAAGTAAGCCAGAGAAAAGAAAATATTATTAGGAAAATCATAAGGCAGAGAAAATATATTTACTATTCATTGTGGAAGTGGATTATCATAGAGTTCTTCATCCTCATTGTCTTCATGTTGAGTAGGCTGAGGAGGAGGAAGAGAAAGGGTTGATCTTGCTGTTTCGGAGGAGGCAGAAGAGGTGGAGAAAGGGGAAGGGGAGGCAGGAGAGGCAGGCACATTAAGTATAAATTTTATTGGAAAAAGTCTGCTTACAAGTGGACTGGGGCAATTCAAACCTGTATTGTTCAAGGGTCAACTGTAATGCTTTATACCTTGCAAATAAAAAGCACAGCTAAATAATACCTATTATAAATTACATTTTAATAGAAAACCAAAACTGCCTGCATGAGGTCTTTTGGTCTAACGTAGCTTGACAACTGCACTATGTGTTGTCAATCAACTGAAGTGCTGAGATAGGACATCTGAAAAATTAATCAGTTTCCAAATGGGTTTCCCCCAAAATCCATTCTTAATAAACTTGTAGTGGTTACTGTAGAAAATGTTGCTTAGATGACATTTAAACATAAAGACAGTAACAGAAAGAAATGATCCCTCACGACTCTTTTAACTATAAAATTTGACCTTTTTAAGTTTCTGTAATTCTAGGTCAAAATAACACAAAAGTTATTTAAATAACACCAAATTTCAGTTGGCAGTTACAGGTAATTGAGTGAAAAAACTTGTAATCCAAATACATACTTCAGTTCTATTGCAGAACTATAGGGGTACAGAAACAGAACCAATCTTGCCCTGGTAATTGCTAGTGGGCATGGGGATAGGGACATCTCTCTGGCTGTTTTTGTGATTGAATGCACTCTCCTTTCTCAATTCTCCTTTTGGGTTGTTATCAGTGTAAAGAACATCGACTTCTCCCTCTGTCTATTTCTACAGGGAAATGAGCCTGCTCATTTCTTCCTCCATTAATGTCAGAGTCCTTGGCTCCACTCCAATCCCAGTGCTTGTTTTAAATTGGAGCAAAGTATGAGGCATGTCTTCCTACACAGTCTAAAAATTCCTGTTTAAAGGGATTATCTATATTCTGGAACATAAGCTTGCATAAAAGAGCAACTATCTCTATTTTTCTGACTATTTCCCTTCATCTGGGATCTGGGTCATCCGGATTAATTATAAATTGTCAAGAGGCACAGGTTGAGCTTGGTTGGAATAATTGTCCACATGATGTTACTGAAGAGACTTCAG
Organism: Homo sapiens; assembly: GCF_000001405.40. NCBI lineage: Eukaryota > Metazoa > Chordata > Mammalia > Primates > Hominidae > Homo > Homo sapiens. Next base: position 57,111,582 of record NC_000011.10, on the reverse strand, counting down.
GAAAACACTCTGCTCCAATATCACACTCAACGACTTTCTCTGAGGTTAGGTATGTCTCCAATGGTTTTTTTTCAGATGAGTAGTATATATTAGAATCAAATGAATGTATTCATCAAGCATTTATTGCCCATCCACTATGTTTTATGTAATATGATAAATGTAAGGAATGAATAATAACTATGGCAATAATTACTACTTATTGAGCATTTACTAAGGGATAGGTACTCTGCTAGGTGCTGTAGAGGCAGTATTTCATTTAATTCTTTCAAACTCCTTGAGAGGTAAGTATTATTGCCTTTATTCTGTAAAAGAAAATACTGAGTTTTAGCAAGGTTAGTTAGCTTGCCCAAAGTCAAGATCACCCAACTAGAGTGTTTCAGAGGTGGATTTGAACCCAGTTGGCTTACATCAAAGCCAAAGCTTTCAGCCAACATACTATCCTTGAGGAGACTATAGACTGATGTGAGAGGAAGGCAGGCAAACTAGCAATTATGTTGAGCAGGGCTTTAAAAAAACCCAGTGGGAAGTCAATAGAAGGGGACAAGAAAACTCCAGATTGAGGAAGTCCAGATGTGCAAAGAGTGAGAACATGGTGTGCACAAGAGAAGGTGGAAACTCTGTGTGGCTGGAGAAGGGAAGGTGGGAGAAGGTTGGAATGGAGATTGGAAAAATGCTCTAGAACAAAATTGTAAAAGATTTCAAATGCCATGTCAGGGAATCTGGATTTTATTTTATGGAATGATAGTGACAGCTTTGTATACCGACTCCCTCCATAACAATTTATAATTAACTACTGTCTTGAAATAAAATTTACAGATAGCATAACATACCTGCAAATGTACTTTTAAGAGATAATATATCATTCTAACTCTAAAGAAAAGTAAAAGTAAAAGGAAAATAACTTAAAAAATAAGTAACATTTAAATGCTAAGTGCAGCTGCTGTTGTAGTTAGATGTTTGCATCTGCATGTTATCACGAATGTATCAGCTACAAATGCAGATTGACATGATGATTTCCATGTGTTAAAGACTCAACTACAATGAGAGTGTTGCTTTTGGTTATGTGATTTCTCCAAATGGTAAAAGTTTCTGGTTAAATTTCCCAGCAAAACAAAGTCTGACCTTTCCTCCATTTATGTGGTAGTTGCAATTCAGGTAACCCATTGTATGTTCAAATTGTGCAAAAATACTTTGTTTTTTTGTAACACAGAGTTAGGTTCTATGTTCAGTTAATCATAAACAAGGTTTCCACTTACATGATATCCGATGGGATATTTGAAAATCATGGTTGATGTTGACTATTCTTGCCTGTGAGATACCATGCTGTGGCTTTAGTAATCTCTGCTCCCTAAATACTAGTAGTCTCCCACCAACTATTGGGACAACTAACAGTGTTCCTGCAAGTAAAAAAAAAGTCTCTAGAGATCTTTACCATTCAGTTAGGAGCAAAGTAAAGGAAATAAATTAAGAATAATTTAAAAAGCCCTCTCCTAAAGGAGGTCCAAATATAATGAGGAAGATTGACAAGAAAACAGTTATTAGGAAACTCCGCTAAGTGCTAACACACTATTGGGAGATAGAAGAGGGAGACCCAATTCTGCCTAGCGCCAGGAAAGGTCCCATAAAGGGAGTGATACCAAAGCTGATAAATGATAACTTGGACTCTGCTGAACATGGTAGAAGGAGGACCTTCCAGAAGGAGGTCACAGCATGTGCAAAGACATCAGGGGACGCCAGGAGAACCTGGCACAAAGACATCAGGGGAAGCCAGGAAAACCTGGCACAGCCAGGGTACTGTGTGAATAGCCCAGCACAGGGAGTTCAGGAAGGAGGGGAAAGGATGCTGGAAAGACTGACCAGGGTCAGCCCAATCCTGAAGATTACAGATCTCTGGATCTGTCCAAGATTATTAACAGAGAAGTAACTCTCTGATTTTTGTTTTATATTAAAAAAAAAACATTAGCCACATCGTGGGGCAAAATTGCAGTATGCCGGTGTTCTCAAAGTATGGTCCCTGACAAGCAGTAATAGCATTACCTGGGAACTTGTTAGAAATACAAAGTTTTAGGCCTTGCGCCAGAGCTACTGAACCAGAAATTCTGAAGTTAGGGCCTAGTTAGATGTGTTTTAGTAGGCCTCCTACCTCCACTTTGATGTCTAACAGACATTTCACACTCAACATGTTAAAAACTGAACTTTGGAGTAAGAGCAACTGGATTGACCCTCTCACTTTGGACAACTGAAGCAAATAACTCAACATAAGAAACAATGGTTTTCAGATATTGGACACTAGACAGCATAGGACAAAGATCCCTAAGAGAAGGGAAATGAGTGAGGTGACCCTTCTGATTGTCTCAAATTAATGCCTGGAGAGAGTTTCCAGAGCATGGCACCAGGAATGGAGAATTCAAACAGAACTGTGATTTTCCTGAGTTGAGGACAGAGTTAAGAATTTAGGGATCCCAGGGTGGCTAGAATGAACAGAACAGAGTACTGGAGAAGAGAGAGCTGCACAGAGAGAAGTTGCATACATGTGCACATACACGCACACACACATGCACGCAGAGGGAGAGACCTTTGGAAATCTGTAGATTCTCCTGTGTTTTCAGCTGAGTATTGATGAACACATGCATGTAAAGAAACTACCTGAGGCCTTGGAAAGAACCTTTAGAAAGCAGTAGGCAGAACAATCTTAGAAGCCCAGCTAAGACCAGGAATAGTTCATGTTTCCACCAGCCAGAGTGGGAAAACTTTGTAATAAATGGGGTAATGGGAAAAATATTCAGAAGGGTATTGCCTCAGTAATAAGTTAAAATTAACTTCAGTGTAAAGGCTACATTAGTCCCACTGAACAAAACTTAAAAGCAAGCCTCAACAGGATTAAACACATTCTGAGTAATTTAACTGCATCCTCAAACAAAACTCAAAAATATTTAAAAGAGTATAAAAATATCCAGCACTTGAAAAGCTAAAATTCACAAAGTCTGGCATCCAATCAAAATTACCAGGCATGCCAATAAATAAATAAATACATAAATAACATAAATACATAAATAAAAAGCAGGAAATAGGACCCATAACAAGGAAAAAATATCAATAGAAATAGGCCCAGAAATGAATAGATAACATAATTATTAGGCAAAGACTATGTAACAGTTATTAGGACTAAATATCATAAATTCAAGAAAATAGAGGAAGCAGTATATGCTAAGGAAAGACACAGTCCTTTTCATTCAACCCAAATCTAACCTTTACAGGTGAAAAATACAATGTCTGAGATAAAAAATACATTAGATGTGATTAAGAGATGATTAGGCACTAAAGAAGAAATTTTTATTTTTTAAATTTTATTGATTGATTGATTGAGACAGAGTCTCACTCTGTTGCCCAGGATGGAGTGCAGTGGTGCAATCTCAGCTTACTGCAACATCTGCTTCCCTGGTTCAAGCAATTCTTGTGCCTCAGTTACTCGTGTAGCTGGCATTACAGGTGTGTGCCACCATGCCCAGCTAATTTTTGTATTTTCAGTAAAGACAGTGTTTTGCCATGTTGGCCAGGCTGTTCTTGAACTCCTGGCCTCAAATGATCCACCCACCTCAGCCTCCCAATATGCTGGGATTACAGGCGTGAGCCACTGCACCTGGCTAGTAAAGAAGAAATTTTTAAACTTGAAGACATAGCAATAGAAACCATCCAAAATGAAACACACAGAGAAAAATGATTGAAAACAAATGACAGAGCATCAGTGAACTTTGGGACAATTTGAACCAGGTTAATATATGTGTAGTTTGAGTCCTCAAAAGAAAGGAGAGAGAAAGGGAACCAAAAAATAATTAGAAGAAATAATGATGGAAAACATTTTTTAATTTGATACAAACTATAAGCCTGCAGACTTAAGAAGCTCCACAAACTCTAAGGAAAAGGAAGACTAAGAAAATGACCATGAGGTCATATCATCAAGTAGCTCAAAGCCAGTGATAAAGACTAATTCTTAAAAGCCACCATAGATTTTTTAAAAGAGACATTGAATGCAGAGAATTACAGCTGATTTCTCACTGGAAACAATGGAAGCCAGAAGACACAGAATGATTCCTTTAAAATACTGAAAGAAAAAAACTGCTGAATTAGAATCCTATACCCAGTGAACATATCTTTCAAAAAGTAAAGCAAAATATAACAAATTTCCAAGACAAACAAGCTGAAAGAGTTAATCACCAGCAGTCCTTTCTTGTCATACAGGAAAATTAAAAGGAATTCCTTTAATGCCTGAATTCCTTCAGGCAGAAAAAATATAATACAAGTAAAAAGTATGAATCTACACAAAGAAGTTTAGAACACCAGAAATGGTAAATATGTATATAAATAAAAAATTAAAGCCTGATCTTAATCCCCAAACCTACTCTATTTATAGCCTTTCCCAGCTCAGTTATTGTCATTCTATTCTTCCAATTGTTAAGTCCAATTAACTGCCCCCTCTCTCTCACACTTTATATTTAGTCCATTAGGAACTTCCATGGCTCCACCCTTAGCCTATATCCAGAGTCCAGCTACTTCTCACATCTACTGCTATGGTTGTATTCCTAGTTACCATAATCTTTAACCTGGATTATTGCAATAGTCTCCTAAAAGGTGTCCCTGTATCCCCCATATTCTATTTTTTTTTTTTTTTCCGAGATGGAGTCTTGCTGTGTCACCCAGGCTGCAGTGCAGTGGGGCGATCTCGGCTCACTGCAACCTCTGCCTCCCGGGTTCAAGCGATTCTCCTGCCTCAGCCTCCCGAGTAGCTGGGATTACAGGCGCCCGCCACAACACCTGGCTAATTTTGTATTTTTAGTAGAGACGGGGTTTCACCATGTTGGCCAGGCTGCTTTTGAATTCCTGACCTCATGATCTGCCTGCCTTGTCCTCCCAAAGTGCTGGGATTACAGGCATGAGCCATGGCACCCAGCCTCATATTCTATTTTTAACAGGGCAGTCAGAGTCATCCTTTAAAGTATAAGTGAGTTCATGTCACCCATATGCTCAAAATCCTGCAATGGCTTTCCATTTCACTTAGGGTAAAAGCTGAAGTTACTAAACAATGGCCTACAAGGCCCTACGTGATTTGCACCTCCTACCTCCACCTCTCTGAACCCACTTCCTGCTACTTTCCCCGTTGCCCAGTCTGTTCCAATCATACAGGTCTCCTTGCAGTTTCCTGAGTGCATCAGGTACATGCTGGCCTTAGGAAACCCTAAGTAAGTCCTTCTTGCTGGACTCTCCTTTCCCCAGACACCTTTTTGGCTCATGCCCTTGCCTTTTTAAAGTCAAATGTCACCTCCTTCACGAAGCCCAGTCTGACTGCTATTTCATACTATCCTCTTCCCCCTTTCCTCCCTTTTTACAGAGCATTTCTTGACTTCTAATACATTCTATAATTTACTTTCGAGGTTTATGACTCTGTCTGAGTCCATTTAAGTTGCTACATAAATTACCATAGACTGGGTAACTTATAAACCAAAGAAATGTATTTCTTACAATTCTGGAGGCTGGGAAGTTCAAGATCAACGTGCTGATAGACTCAGTGTCTGGTGAGGGCTGTCTTCTGATTCATAAAAGGTATTTTCTTACTGCATCTTCACATGGTGGAAAGGCTAGTTAGCTTTCTGCAGTCTCTTTTATAAGGGCACCATTCCCATTCATGAAGGTGGAGCCCTAATGACCTAATTATTTCTCAAAGGTCCCACCTTCTAATACTATTACAATGAGGACTAGGTTTCAATGTATGAATTTTGGGAGACACAACATTCAGACCATAGTAGTCTCTTTCATTAGAAGGTAAATTCCCTGAGGTCAAGTACCTTTGCTATTCTGTGTACTGATTTATCCCAAGTACCTGGATCTGTGCCTCTCACATGATAGGTGTTCAGTGTCTGTTGACTATTGAACAAGTAGCCTGTTCTGGGTTCCACATGAGCAACTGACCTGAATTCCGAACCTAGGTCTTAGGTGATTAGGCCCATGAGAGCTCTCCTTTACTAATGCTGTAACACAAACATCATATACATGCTCAGTCTTTTTAAAGATAGAACTCTTGTGTTATTTTCCATTAGCTTTAATATTACATGTCAACACATTCAATTATGAAATTAAAAGAGATAATATGAAAAAGTATTTTGTAAATGATAAAAGTGCCTATAATTTTTAGTTGTTAGTATTATTTATCTCACTGAGTTAGTCTATTGATGCAGTTGGCCAACGTCATTTTTAGAGTATTAATTTCATCACTATAGAGTGAATATCATAATGTCTCCTCAATCTGTCTTGCAATTATTGTTGAGTTTCCCAGTTTCAGTCATTTGCGTTACCACCTTAACAACTTTTCTCGTTTCCTCTACTACTCATGTTTTTCTCTAAACAGTCTTACTTTTTATTTTCATAAATTTATTTTAAGAAAAAATATACTACCTCATTGAGAGGTAGAGTCACTTGCCATAAATAGAAGGCACATTAAATACACATTAAAATGCCATTTAGCTATTTAATTAAAAAAAGTTGTGTCCTGCCAAAAACATCTCATCTACCATTCCTGATACCACACTTTTGGAAGCATAAGGTGCTGGAACACTCTAAATTGTGACAGAACATGTAGAAATGATTGTGATTCATAGGAATATTACTATTGTACTTTTTGTGATTAATAAAGAAGGCAAGCATTCAACCCTTGATTCATCAAAAGTGCAAACTAAATTTTATCTGTGGAAAACACACATGTACATACTTAGAGAAAACTCTTAAGATTAAAGGTTAAGAGCACACTTTTAGTATGAAGAGTTTCTGAAAGTATAGGTTTCTCAAATAAAGTAAGTGATTATATGTGATGAAGTTGGTCACCAATCAAGCCCTTCTGAGATGGCATGGGTCCCTAGCCAGCTTGGAATTATCCAGTTGGAATTATGCGGAGGGTGGGGAAGTTAAACTGCTATGACAAGGGGACCCCAAAATGCAATGGCTCATTTTCTCTTCAGGGTGAGTTGTTGAACTCTGCTCCCTGCGGTTGTTCAGGCCAGCTGGAGAACACCTTAGAGGCTGTCTGGCATCTTAGAGGCTGGCTGTGGTGCTCAGGAGGGACATCTCTTGTCTTAAGGGCACAGAAGACATGCATAACTTCCACTCACATTCCACCATCAAGAACTCAGCCACATGGCCACCCAGTCTCCAGGCAGTCCCATGCTCGACTAGCTCTCCTATCACGGAAGGTATATTCAAGTCCCATTAGTCATTTGTTCTATTAGCTTTTTATTCTTTAGCTCCCGGTCAAGACCTTTGAATTGGCAATTGCTGTTAATGGAAACTGGCAGCTTTCTTTCAGGATCAGAATTTTGAATTCATCCCAAATGAACAGTGCTAGCAAACAACTAGTGATTATTAGGTGCCTGATGTGACAAGACTATGATGTCTTAATTTAGTTCCCAGTGGGAGGATACATGTCACACAAACTGCCTCGCACCACGAAGGGAAAAGAGAGCTGTACACAGAGACAGTAGGTGACAGCCTGGAGGAGGGGAACAGCCCTGGAGGCAGAGAGGGGCCCTGTATAATATGGAGGAAAAGGAAATGATCTAAATAAAAAGGAAAGTTAAAGGAAAAGAGTGAAATAAAAAGGAAAATACTTATCAGCTTAAGGAGGATAAGTCCCTATCACAGAGTATAAGCTCAAACTCTCTGGTTTAGAGAAATAACATTCATAAAGGATTGTGTGAAACTTATGTCATCCACTTAATTAAAAAATATATATTTTAGGTATTAATTTTTAGGTCTACCTAGATTATAAAGAATTCAAATGTTATTTTTTCCACTTTGAGAGAAGTGTTTTTACCACATTGTGCTCCAGGGTCACAGCCTCAGGTTTCTTCCAGAGGCACCATCAAGAAACAGCTTTAAGGCCCACACTATTGTATTTACTCCAGGGATTCTTGTTATGGACGCTGTCTTTAACAGTGATCAGCGTCTCCACAAGAGCAATTCCTTTCAGGGCTAAGTGCCAGGAGTTTTGCTCCTCTGAAGAACTGAAATGTTTTCTTCTCTTGACCTTTGAGAATCTTGTGACTGATTGCAGTTTCTCTTTTCACTTTGGCAACCAGGAAGCTCAGTGCCAAATCTGTCATTCACTTAGGAACTGCACAGAACCTTGGTGACCTGCCTTTGAATATAGTGCCTTAATCTTTGCTCTCAGAAATGACATTTTCTGATTTACATTTTCTTTGATCTAGATTATTATTAACACAGACATATGTGGTGTGAGGTATGAGGGAGTATGAATAAATGAAGAAGGAACCTAATGTGCATTTACCTGTCAACTGTTCATATCTTTCCATATTTGTTCCCAGGTTTAGTCTTGCACACACGTATTTTCACATACTTGAATTGAAAGTGGCATAAACACTAGAATAGGATAGAGAAAGAGACTAAAAGGGATCTCAAGGGGCATCTGCCTTCCCATCACCGTGTGCTTATGAACTTCCTACTACTTTCTGTCAGGGGATTCTACAGTTTATGCTGGAACACCTCCATTGAAGGTGAACTTTCTATCTACCAAATGTGATTTATCTCTGGGAAGTTCTGATGATTAGAAATTCTCTCTATATTGTCATCTTGCATCACCTTCTACCCTTTGAATCTACCTGATGGCTTACACAATAAATGTTACTTCTTCGTCCATTGTTAGAAGCATTTGAAATAGGTGATCATATACCCCAGTGACTTTTTTTGACTGGATCCTTCAAAAATTCTGTAGATGATGAGGTTGAGAGTCCTCTCAGTAATCATCCTGGCCCCTGTCTTCCAAACACATAACCTATTCTACCTAAGTCCTTAAAAAAACTAAACTCAAACTCTCAATATGTCCTTGCCTCTAATTCTAAATGCCTGGGTCTTATTAGCATTTTGCAGATTCAAATTATTATATAGACTCATAGTAGACTTTCTGCTAATCAAATTCCCTGAATCCCTTCCATACATGCTAGAGTAAGTTATATATTCTCCAACTCATTTTTGGGAGATCAGTCTTTGGGATCTAAATGGAAGGTCTTACATTTCCCTATTTCCCTGCAATACCTTTCTTCTTCTTCTTCTTCTTCTTCTTCTTCTTCTTCTTCTTCTTCTTCTTCTTCTTCTTCTTCTTCTTCTTCTTCTTCTTCCTCCTCCTCTTCCTCTTCCTCTTCCTCTTCTTCTTCTTCTTCTTCTTCTTCTTCTTTTTTAAGAGATGAGGTCTAATTATATTGCCAAGTCTGGCCATGAACTCAGGGGCTCAAGGGATCCTCCTGCTTCAGCCTCCTGAATAGCTGGGAGAAGCGTGTGCCACCACACCCAGCTCCTTGCATTCACTTTCATCCTGGTATGTTTAAACCATAACTCAGGACTTGACCAAATTATCCTAGATTTTTATTTTATGTTCTAAAATATTTGCTCCCCTTCTTGGCTTTTTGCCACTCACAAATTTCATGGTCTAACTCTCCTGAGGCAGGGCTAAAATTCTTACGGCAAGCAAAGCCAGGATCTTTGATGCTTGTTAGCAGAAGTGTCCTGCTAGGTAAACACTGTTCAACTTGTAAAGCAGTATTCTGTGTGCACCATTATTTGTTGTTGTTAATCTACATGCTAGCATCCAAAATAGAATTTAGTAAACCCCGACTGAGGACAAATTATGTTTCAGGCATTGTGTTCAGAGCTTTTGCATACATTTAACTTTATTATTTACTGGATCTGTGACATAGAACAAGGCCAGGACTGCTGTTGCAAAAGTTCTGAACACAATGCCCGACTCGTGGTTTACTAGATTTGTGTGGGAGCTGAAAAAAATATAAGCTCTAATATTGGTGATAATGAACTTAACATTTTAATAATACTCAATGCAAACTGAGACTAAAATAAAACTTATTGGGAATACCAAAAGTGGTGAATTCTTTTTGGACTTAAAGCCTTTATACTTTGGTTTCAACTGGAAAGAAAAGGGCCAAATTAAAAATTATATACATTGCTAGAAGCAAATCCAAAAAGATTGTCTCAAGAAGGCAAGATGTATTAGAGGTCTTACATTTTTTTTTTTTTTTTGTCTTTGAAAAATCCTGTGACATGTAATTTCCTAACTCAGGCTTTGTAAAAAAATTTTGAAGTCAGAAATGCATTACGCATATAAAAAGGGAATTGCCCCTAACCTCTCTAATGCTATTTAGCTAGTTTCTGGAAGAGCCAGATGTTGATGTCAGCTCTTCTCTCTAATAAACAATGAAGTTCTCATTTCTCCATCTTGTCTAAGAAGCTAATGTGATGGACCTTTTAAAATGCCTTATTGAAGTCCCCAAGGCGCTATTTTGTGTTTCATTTTTTTCTTAGTTAACATGAGGTCATACAGACATTTCCAGTATCAGCTCAGTCTGCAAGCTCACCATTGTCTCTCTTTATGAAGTATTCCATCTGAATTAATCGACCACTGTTTGTTTAGCCATTCCCCTATTGTTGCCCATTTGGGTTCTTTCCAATTGCTAATTATTATAAATGGGCTTGGAAAAATGGTAAGTGCTAGACAGATGTAAGGCTTGATCATCATTCTTTTGTTATCACACTCCCAGGATGCAGGCGTTTTCTGTCTTCCTGACCTTCTTCTTCCTAATGGCATTTTTATAAAAGAACCAACGATTTGAAAACATATGCTTTAGTACGTCATCCAAGGCTGTGTTCTTCATTTCTTTTTCTCTTCAAGGGTGATAGAGTAGTTTAGAAATTCTAGGTCTATCTCTATAATTCTTTACAGAGTGGCTAATCAAGCACATTTTTCCTTCCTATCTTTACTTTGGTTCACTTCCAAGTAAATTTATTTAATTTCCCCCACTTATCTCCTTTTTTAAAAGTAAGGAGCCAGGAAAAACAGAAATTAAGTGGGTTAATGTTCTAAATACAATGTCCACGAAACTAAAATATAAAAATAAATATTAAGCATAAGGTTTACCTTCAAAGATGTCTTACATAGAATATATATTTATTGCATGAAAATCAGAAAATATAAAAAAGCAGATAAAAGTGAAAAGATGGTTACAATTCTGTTTTCCAAGAGACTCTATTACTAATATCCTGGCATATTCTCTTCTAGTTTTCTCTATGTGAAATTTCTTTCTATATGTAGCAATTTTGAAAAGTTTTAAAAATTTAATTTATTTGAAAATATTTTTAGGTTGTGCACAAAGTGGAAGGAGAACTCACTGGAGTTTGGACTCTGCAGGCAGAGTCATTTCTTAAGGCCAATCCTGTCTTGGTCTCTTTTACCTGGGTAACTTTGAGCAAGTTCCATTAAGCTGTGATTTTCAGAGTATAGTGGCTCCTTGCATCAGAATCTCTCGGAAAGCCTTATTAAAAATTTATATCCCTGCATCCTGCACCAGGTTTAATGAATCAGAAGCAGAAGGGAGAACTACTGCCCTGACCTTTTGGGAGTTTTCCTTCTAAATCAATACAGTGTGGGAGTGAGGTTTGGGCAGGGTTCTCCAGGGTAGAATTTCTTACCAGAGGACTCCCTGGATGGGGAGGGCAATGCTCAGGGATCCAAAAACCTTGGACTTTTTTTTTATAAGTTTATATCATTTCACATGTGTGCATCTTTTTGTGGTGAGGATGTCTTAACTTTAACCGCCTCCAGATTTATCAAAGAGGTCCTTACCCAGTAAGTCTTCACTGATCTAAGATCTCTTTAGACCTGCCTCTGTAATGGGCCTCTGGTGGCTGTGGGAAGTGTGGCTACTGACCTCGGTAAATGTCCACCTTCTTCCGCCTTGGCCAATAAAGGTGTGAGCCTCTCTTCCACCTTTTCCTTTAGTCATGTGACCTTGGGCAAGTTGCATAATGTCTTAGCTTAATTCCGCTCTTGAAAAAGCTTAATAGTACCAATAGTATTTTATTTAACACCTACAATTTTCCAGGCACTGCTCCAAGCACTCACACCTTACTAACTCATTTCAATCCTCTTGACAACCCTATGAGAGAGGCACTATGATTATCCCTCTTTAATAAATAAGCAAACAGGCAGAGAGAGATCAACTAACCTGCCCATGATAACACAGCTAGTGGATGGTACAGTTGGGATTCAAAAGCCCACTAACTGCCTCTGAAATCTATCCTAATAGTACTAACAATATTAGTATTATTATATTATTTGCAATAATAATACTATCAATTATTAATAATACTAGTTAACACTAACAACAGTAATAATATTGTAACTAATAGTACTAATTGAAGGCATGTACTAGATGGGTGATTCTAACCAAGTGAATTACTTAACCTCTGGAGCTTCCATTTCTTCATTTGTCACCTGGAGATAGCACTGCCATCTGCTTCACAAGGCTGTTGAGAGGATTTAAATGAGCTAATGCATTTAGAGCATTCACATGCCACACAGTACCACCTGATAGATTTCTTTTTATTGTGGTATAATATATATAGCATAACATTTATCATTTTAACCATTTTTAAATTACAGTTCATTAGCATTCATTATATTCATATTGGGCATTTACCTAATAGATTTTGTTTGTTTTTATATTTCTAGGATCTGTAGAGTGCTTTGCACAAAAATTTGACCCGTTGTAATTATTTAATAAGCTCCTTCCCTGTCCCTCCACCAGCCTTCATAAACTCTAAAATGCTGCAGAGGTTTCAGTTACTATTCTGAGAATTAATGAGGAATCCTAAGTGACCTTGGGCATTTTATGACTTAACTTCTCTCTGGCTCAATTTCTTCATCTGTGAAATGGAGATTACAGTACCAGTCACTTGTTGGGGTGGTTGGAAATGACATAACCTGTGTGATGCTTTGGATAGTTCTAGCCATGTTAAACACCCAATGCATGATAGTGATAATGTTCTTATTTTATCATAGTCCTTGTCCCTGAGAAGGCACACTTGCATGGGTGCAGAGGGATTGGAGGCTGGCTCTGGTTCAAGACGGCTGCTTTTCCTCAGTTCCCTCCCTGCTATCCCGACAGTGGGGGCTCAGGAGAGACTGAACAATTGTGCAAACAAGAGGAGTGAGCCTTTCAGGAGACCACAGAACTTTTTGTTTTATAAAAAGCTTCAAATCAGGCTGCCATAGTGGCCTTGGTATTTTTGTATCTATCTTTTCAGCTTCTATTTAGAGTGCAGAGTTGGCGTGGGAATGTTTTCCTTTATTTCAAGCTTTAAGTAGTTGTTGGGTAACAGCTGTTTTTAAAGATAATCTTTGAGGCACTGAGATGCTGCTGTAAAAACAAATTTCTTGAATACAAAAAAGTCTTCCTTATTTTATGTGCTGGATTTTATTTTTCTGCATGCTTTTGTTCATGCTGTCACTTCTAGAATTCTCTTTCTATCCTAACTCTTGCTCCTCTGCTATTGTCAAAATCATCCCCATTCTCTTGCTGACATTTGTCTCGTGCAGCATTCCCCATTCCCTCATCGATGACATTCTATGGGCCTCGTATGAGTGCTCTGCCTTGAGTGTTGGTTAGTTCTAAATAAGGCATTCGTACCTTGATTGCAGCTTCTGGAGACTATAAGGTCTTGTTCTATTCATAACTATTTCCTGCTTGTCATTAAGTAGAAAACTACTGTATATCTTTCTCTTTGTCAAATTAATATCCAAACACTCTACTTGTTTTGGTGGGGGGGACCCTAAATAAGTATATAGAATGTTCTCTCCTCTTGCCACAGATGCAAGATGAGACACAAAGGGATCCATCTTCTCTGTCCTCTGGCTGGTGGAACACAGCAAAAATCATGGCCAGTGTTAGCGTTAGCATTGCTCATTCCTGCTTAAGCCTGATTTCCAGCCTTCCTTTCAGCATTGCAAGCTACCAGAAACCCCCTAAAAATAATTTTCTGTTTAATTTAATTAATCCTGGTTTCTGTTGTTTGCAATTGCAACCAATAAGTTTTACTAGTATAGTATTTTGAACACAGTGGAAACTGCAGGATCTACAGATCCTGTTTATAAACTTCAGTTTGCTAAAATCCCATGTAGTAATCTGTTTTTTAGGCCTCTTCAGTCTTCTGATGCCTGATGTCCCTTCTGATACTAGCAGCCTGATTTTATTTTTCCAAACCACTTATCTCTATTCTTAGTCCTTGTGGTTCAAGTGGAGTTGACTCCAGTCATGCCTACAGGGTAGGCATGTCTGGACAAAGCTTTGAAGCCCTCTGGCTACCATGATTGGTTCAGGGATGGGCATGTGACTTCATCCAGGCCAATGAGAGTCAGTCCCAGGACTGTTGCGGGATCTACAGGGAAATAAATGTGTCCTTTTGCTGTAGCTGCTAAGTTGGTTGGCTGGAGTTCCCAGGGACCACCATGAGGGAGGGTCGACCTGAGAATTCAGCAGTGTCAGAGGAAAACAAGCTGAGAGAGGAAGAGAAAGAAATTTCTAATGACATTGCTTGAGGAACTGGATTGGAATGTGCCTGAGTTGTAATAGTAACAGCTAACATATATTAAATACATACTATGTACCAGGCATTGATGCAAGCATTTCTTATATTGTATTAGTTTCCTGGGCCGCCATAGCAAAAGTACCACAAACTGGGTGGCTTAAAACAACAGAAATTTATTTTTTCATGATTCTGGATTCCAGAAGTCCAAATTCAAACTATTGGCAGGTTCATGCTTCCCCTTATGAACTGAATTTTGTGCCCCCCACCCCCTTGCCATTATATGTTGAAGTCCTAACTCCCAATGTGACTGAATTTGGACATAGGACCCATAAGGAAGTAATTAAGGTTAAATGAAGCCATAAAGATGGGGTCTGGGCCGGGCGCGGTGGCTCACGCATGTAATCCCAGCACTTTGGGAGGCCAAGGCAGGCGGATCATGAGGTCAGGAGATTGAGACCATCCTGGCCAACATGTGGAACCCCATCTCTACTAAAAAATACAAGAATTAGCTGGGCGTGGTGGCACGTGCCTGTAGTCCCAGCTAGTCAGGAGGCTGAGGCAAGAGAATCGCTTGAACCTGGGGGGCGGAGGTTGCAGTGAGCCTAGATAGCGCCACTGAGCTCCAGTCTGGCAACAGAGTGAGACTCCGTCTTTAAAAGAAAAAAAAAAAAGAAAAAAGAGAAGGGGTCTGGATCTCACAGGATTAGTGTTTTTAGAGACAAGACACCAGAAACCCATCTCTCCTCCACCACCCCACCATATAAGGACACAGCAAGAAGGTGACCATCCTATCTGCAAGCCAGACAGAGAGCTCTAAACAGAAACTGACTCTGCCAAATCTTCATCTGGGACTTCTAGCCTCCGGAAGTGTGAGAAAATAAATTTATGTTGATTAAGCTGCCCGGTTTATGGTATTTTTTTTTTAAATGGTAGCCCAGACTAATACACTTCCTCTGAAATCTGTAGGCCAGAATCCTTCCTGGCCTCTTTCAGCTTCTGGTAGACACAGGCATTCATTGTCTTGCAATGACAGCACTTCAGTCTCTTGCCTTATTATCACATGGCATTTTCCCCTTGAGTCTGTCTCTGTGACTCTTCACTTCTTAAAAGGGTATCAGTCATGTTGGATTAAAGGCCCATTCTACTCTAGTATGATCCCATCTTAAGTAATTATATTTACAAAGAACCTATTTCCAAATAAGGTCACGTTCTGAGGAACTGGAAGTTAGGATTTTAATACATATTTTTGGGGTACTCAATTCAACCCATAACACATGCATTACCTCACTAAATTCCCACAACAAAACTATAAAGTAGGTTCAGTACAATTATTATTCTTGTACCTTCACCCAGATGAGGGAAGTAAGGCTCAGAGAAGTTAAGTAAGAGAAGTTAAGTAACTTGCTCAAGGTCCCACAATGAGTAAAAATTTGAAGATGGATCTGAACTCAGGCAATTTGATGACCAGTCCTGCAAGTTTAGCCGCTGTACAAACATGCCTAAGTTTAGCTCAGAGACATCATCCAATCACTTCCTTAATTTGTTTAAGTCGGTTTGAGTGTAGTTTCGGTCCCTTGTAATTGTTTCCTTCTTTTACCTTTTGCCTCATTCTTTCCTGTGTCTGAGCACTCAGGACTCCACTCAGACCTGCCCCTTGGGGTCTACCCCAGGTTCTAGAATTACTTCTTCCTCTTTCTTCCCCCCTCCTCCCTCCACATCAATACTCTTGTGCATCAGATGCTAGCTCTCAGTTGGGTTAGGAAGAAGCCAAGTGAATAGATCAATACGAAGTGAGTTGTGATTTATAGGTTGTAATTTTCCTGGGGCTTTTAGCTTTTAAAAGCAGGTTGTTAACCCATTGATTATCAGCCAGACAGAAGCTCTGTATGAAGATAAGAAGATTGGAGGACTTCAGGACAAGTGGAGGGGAGCCTTAGGGTTGGGCACTTTGCCTAAAATGCCTTTAACAATTCCAAGCAGATAACATATGTAAGAGTTTAGTAGTTGAGTTTCCCTTTTGGGGTACAGTTATTGATCTCTTCTGGAGAGTGAGGATGTTACTGTAGCTTCAGAGTCTTATACTTATTAAGGTTGCTGCTTTAGTTCATTCAAGATTTTGTCTTTTGTCAAGTAAAATCTCTTCCACCTGGAATTCCTTTTGGTCCATATCAACCTCTTAAACCTTACCTATAATTCAAACTTGATTCAGATACCTCATACATAGAAGATTATTAGCTAACTCCTTTTAGAAATGATTTTTCCTAATTAGTATCTATGATTCCAGTATTTTTTAAAGCCAGAATTAGGTGTTATTCCATTTTTCTGGTGAGAATCTGAATTCCTGAAGGCAAGAGATAAGTCTGAGTCATCTTCTTAAATGAAGGCGGTCTGACACATTGGTTGAGACTTCAAGTCAGAGGGATCTGGTTTGGAATTTTCCCTGTGAGATTTGTTAGTTCTAGGGCTTTGGGAAGATCAACTAAGCTAGCATTCTTAGTCATAATGTGGAAATTGTACCTTTTTGCAGAGCTACTGTAAGAATGAAATGATATATTGTTTCTAAGACCCTTAATTCAAACCCAACAGTACTATTTGCTGAAAAAATGATGTTATTTTTAGCTTCACATCCATCTCTCAACAGAAGAGAGTAACTTGCACACAGTTTAGTGCTGAGCAAATGTGTAAGTTCTATTCATTTGAATACACAATTTCCAGGCCAATCAGAACACTGAACTTCTAGGTAATTGTGCCTTGAAGAGGAGGGTTATATTAAGTTCAGTGTTCATGAATGAGCTTTTATTTCCCAATGGCCCTGTGAGCTTAAATAAGGCATGGTCTTCTTAGTGTCCTTAAAACTTGCAGCAGAGCCCAAAATGAGCTATCTTAATTTATCTAAAATCCCTTTGCTCTGTGGAATTGCTAATTGCAACTTGAAATTTAGGGAGCTGTTTATTTGCTTCTCTATTAATAGATCAGCAGCACATTTTTTTGTCCTGTTTGTTTAGATTGGCTAAATTAAAGATGAGGGGGAAGTCACAGCAGTGGCACTGGGAAATCTTATTTAATGTAGGATTATAAATATTTTACAAGAAGTCAGGAAGAATGGGAACCTTGAGAAGCCTCTCCAAACAAGGATGAAGAGTTTTCTGAGTTGCCATCTTGGAAGCATGGGGGCACTAAAAAGAGGGTTGAGTTCTGGCTCTGACACTTATTAGCTACCAAATTTGCAATTGGGGGAAATTACTAAATCTCTTGGAGACTCAATTTCCTAATTCATCCGTTCACTTAATGCACGTATTAAGCTCTTATTGTGTACTAGACACTGTTCTATGATCCAGAGAGATGGTGATAAAGGAAACAGAAAAAATTCCTGTCTTCATGAAGCTCCATGTTTAATACAACTAAAATATACAGCAAGTGATAACAATTTTCCTCTGAGGAAAGCGAATAGGAAAAGTATGTGCAGGAGGGTGAATTTTAGATAGAACATCTGGGAAAAGCCTCCTTGAGAAGTCAACATTTGAATAAAGTCAACATTGCTGGAAGAGTGAGGGAGAGGGAAAGTGCTGGGTCAGAGAAGTGATGGTCTTACTGTGCAGCATCCTGAAGCAGAAGGTGAGGACCTTGGCCTAGGACTCATTGGAGAGTTTTAAGTAGTGGGAGACAAGACCTTACTTTTGTTTTAACATGATCCTTTGACTTTTGTGTGGGGAATAGCTTGTAGGAGGACAAGTACAGAAGCAGGGAGACCAGTTAGGAGGCTGTTTCAGTAATACAGGGGAGAAGTGATGGTAGTTTGGCTCAGATAAAGGACATAACAATAGTGAAAAGCAATAGAATTGTATTTATATCTTGAAGATATAGGCAAAAGAAGAGGATATATTTGAAGGAATTTGCTGACAGATTAGATTGGAGAAAGCCAGGACGTAAGGATGACTCTAGGGTGTTTCACCTGAACAAATGGAGGGATGAATTCACCATTAAATGAGATGGAAAATGCCGAGGGAGGAGAATGTTTTAGGGGGGTATTAGGAGATTTTTAGTAGATATGTTGTTTGAGATGTCTATTAGACAAGCAGAGATGTAGAGTAGGCCGTTGGGTATTAAGATGTAGACTAGCCGGGTGCAGTGGCTCACGCCTGTAATCCCAGCACTTTGGGAGGCAGAGGCGGGCAGATCACCTGAGGTCGGGAGTTTGAGACCATCCTGACCAACAAGGAGAAACCCCATCTCCATTAAAAATACAAAATTAGCCAGGCATGGTGGCGCATGCCTGTAATCCCAGCTACTCGGGAGGCTGAGGCGGGAGAATCATCACTTGAACCCGGGAGGCAGAGGTTGTGGTGAGCCGAGATGGTGCCATTGCACTCAAGCCTGGGCAACGAGCGAAACTCTGTCTCAATTAGAAAAAAAAATCTAGACTAAAGGGAAGGAAAGGGAAGTGGTCAAGGCTAGTTATATAAATTATATAAATTTGGAAGTCATGGACATCTAAATGGTATTAAAGCCAGCAATGTAGATGGGTAAAATAGAGGTCAAACGACTAACTCTCAGGACTCTCCTTCATTTAGAGGTCAGGGTCATATGGAGGAACCAGCAAAGCAAGATTAGAAAGAGCAGCCACAGAGGTCAGAGGAAAACCAAGTGAATATGGAGTCCTGGAGGCCAAACAATGCCAATGTTTAGAGGAAAAGAGTCACCATCTGTGTTACATGATAATGAAAACTGAAGTAAGATCAGGACTGAGCACTGACCATTGGAATTATCTATGTAGAGGTCATTGCTGTGCCAGATCGTGGCCAAACTGCTTTCTTAAGTGGGACCCCAGTCCATTCCTCCTCACTGGGTGGGGCCTCCCTGCGGGAATTTCAGCAACACCAGCCAGGGTTACGTGAACAAAACTCTGATCTCTCCCTGGGATGGAGACCCAGTGGGGCGGGGCAGCTGATGTCTCTGTGGTTCTGTCGACTCAGCCTTCCCAGACTGCTGGCTCTGGAGAGTCCAGGCAGTCTGGACAAGGAAACGCTACCCCCAACACGGTACACCTGCTGTACAGAAAAGCAGCCAGACTGCCTCTTTAAGCGTGTCCCTGATCTTGTCCTTCCTGATGGGGTGAGAACTTCAAACAGGGGTCTCCAAACACCTTCTACAGGAGCATCCAGGCTGACAACAGGTCGGTACTCACCCTGGGATGGACCTTTGAGACCTATGACAGGACAGGAGTTGTGTTTCAAAACAATAATGGCACTAATCTAGGAGCATCTTTGAGAATTGGGGGCAGGAACTTGACTTTGGAGGCGTGGGTAAGGGAATGAAACAAACAAGCGTAGTAGGAGACAGAGTTTCATGATGTGATATTCAAAGCTTTGATTTTTTTGTTGGTGAGGAAGGAGGAAGGATGGTCTTACAGCATTATTAAAGTAGTAAGGAAGGTCTCTACCCCACGTCCAGGTCCAGTGGAAGGAGGAGTGAAAGAGAACATAGAACCACTTTAGAGGGCTATAGCGTCCTCGAGGAAGAGCCAGGGTTTTCAGCTAGTTCAAGAAGGTGAAGGAAATGTTACTGGAAGAGCTTGAGGACACAGGGAAATGTACTGAGAGACCTTAAGCTCCAGAGTTACAGTGAAATGATTTCAGGAGAGGGAGAAAAGTGGAAGAAGAGTTCATAAAATGGGATGGAGCCATACAGACACCAGAGCTAGTGAATTCGTGAATGGAGATGAGCTGGGAGTCTTGGGCTTCATGGGGTGATGGACATAAACAGGGGTAATAAGATGCTCTTACTGGTTCTAAGGCAGGAATTGAGAGAGAAGCTATGAGTGTCAAAAGGAGGAAAAAAATGATAAAATGTTTTTTCAAACTTGATATCCAGTCTTGTCTCTTCTTGTCACCTAGAAGGTTGGGGTGGGGATGGATTTGAGTAATAACTACTATGCTAAACTTAGAAATGTGACTTCATGCTAATGGATAAGACTTTTTTCTTAGTTGAGTTCTTCAGAACAGGCTCCTTCTTACCTTTTAAATATCTCTCTCTAGCATTCTCTGCAGCCCTTCTGCAAAGAGACTGCAATCAGATGTTCTACCAACTTCACAGGTGCACCTTCTGCCAGCCTAGGCTCAACATGAAATTATGGCTACAATTAAGTCCTGGCATATGCCACAACATCCTTGTCCTTTTTGTCATGTCTCCTTTGGCATTCCCTCCACCAATTACTGATCTAGAGACAAATGGTTTTATTCTGTTGAGGTGTGCAGCTACTGAGAAGAGAGAAGAAAGATATTGTTGCCAAATTTTCAGTGTCAGAGTCCTCCAGTTTTCAGGTAACAGTGCCATTGTGAGGAAATGCCTTCTAACCACTAAAAAAGATAGTAGAGAGGCCCCAGGAACTTCCACAGAAAAGGCTTTGGTGCTAGGTTTGGGTTTGAAACCCTACCCACCACCTCCTTGTTGCATAAACTCAGGAAAATGACTGAAAATTTTAAGCCTTAACATTTTTTTCTTGATGAAAAGTGTGCAATTCTGAGCCGTTGAATAGCAAATAGATCTGTGATTTATAACACTCAATTTACATAATTCTCAGCAGCATTTAATAATGTTGACTCCAAACTTTCTATTCCCTTGACTTTTGTTACTCTACATTTTTTGTGTTTTATTCCTATCTTAGAACATTCCTTTTCTCCCTTTTTTTTCTTTTTCTAAATTATTATTATACTTTAAGTTTTAGGGTACATGTGCACATGTATCCTTCACTGCTTAATCATTATGTTGAAATTCCTTAAGCCTTTGTTGTAAGTCCTTAAAACTTTCTTTTTAAAAAAGTTTATTCTATATTCTTACCCTATTTGATCTAACTCATGCTATCTATATGTCAAAGACTCTTAAATACATATCCATACCTTAGATCTCTCTTTGAGCTCTAGACTACATGTCTGCATGAACCTTCTATCTAGACATCTCAAAGGCATCTTAACCTCAACTTAGCCACAAATGAATTCATATATTATCTTTCCCCTAAATTGAGACATCTTCAAGTGACTGGTATTTCCAGAAACCTGTGAGACAGTCTTGATTCTCCCATCTTTCTTAACCTTCATACCCAATCCATCCTAAAGCCCTGTCAACTCTACTTACTAAACAGATCTCAGATTCCTTTACTTTGTGCCATTTCTTCTATTGCCGTATTAAGCCATCATTGTCTCTAGCCCAGACCACTGTAACAATGGCAAAACAATTCTCTCAGTATCTGTTCTATCTTTTACTTCTCATCCATTCTCCACACAAATGGCCAGAACCATATTTTAAACTTCATGTGAACATGCTATCCCTCTCTTCCTCACCTTTTGGGTTAGTCAATTCCAATAGAATGAAAATCATTTGGCAGCTTCTCATCGATTCCCACTGTGGCCCACAAGGGGCTGCTCCTGCCTATTCACTCCTCTTTATCCTATCTTCATTTTGAGCTACTCTTCCTTGCTATCTTGATGCTTCAGCCACACTCATTGTCCATCTCCTAGACTGTGTCGTGCCCCCTCCTATCACACTGCATTTAAATATGCCAGTCCTTCTCCTTAGAGTGCTTTTTATTTCTTAGCCTCTATTCATTTTTCAGATCTCAACTCAAATTTTGCTTTCACAGGTAATTGTTTCTTGATCCTTCCTGCACTAAATCTTTCTAAACTAGGTTAGCTTTTCAAACATTTGGCACTGTGAAATTTTGTAGTTCTTAGAAATGAATTCACAAATAATATTTACTTTAGCAATTATATCATTATTGCCACTGTACCCCACTAAAGTATATGCTTCATGAGAACTAATACAATGTCTGTTTTTTGCTGAACATTGTATTCCTGAGCTTGGACCAGTGACTGGCTCGAGATAAGCACTCAGTAATATGTATTGAATACATGAATGAGTAATAGCTTCTAGTTATTGAGCACTTACTATAAAAACAGGCATTTTAGTAAGCATGTTATAAACATTTACCTTTCACAGTAACACTATGATGAGGCTATTACTATTCCATTCTGCAGACAAGGAAGCAAGCTTAGAATGATTAATTGACTTGTCTAAGTTCCTGCTAGCTGTTTAGACTTCAGTTCCAATTGTCTCTAGAGTCTACGACCTTAATATCCATCTTATATTGCCTGTTGGGTACCTCTAGAGTTAAAAGTGCTTTCTCTTTGGGTGAGCAGCTGGCCGTGGCCTCTCTATCTTGAGACTTGAACCCTCCCAGCCTTTGCCCTGTGATGCCCCTTCCCTTCCTTCTCCTCCGGCATGTTTTATGATTTTAATACCAATTTTACAGGATCGTTGTGAAGATCCCATGATTTTGTGGTTGTAAAAGCACTAGCCTTGTAGGCTGTAACACGGTTGTCAGATGTAAAGTTTCTTTTTTTAAAGTTTTAATTCTTCCTTTCATGTCTGTAAGCCATTTTGATTAAGATTTGTTCTTTAGCATTTCAAGTTGCTTGTTGTTGTTAATGTCTTCGTATTCCTTTCTTCATTGCCCTCTTCTTCCTTTGCTGCATGCTAACATCCAGTCATTCCTCAACCTCGAGAACGTGTGGTATAACGTCTCTATGAAGATCTTATAGCAAGAGAGACAGTGTTTGGGTCAAGTTGCCTTGGCCAGAGGGAAAAGAATTTGAGTTTAAAGAATTTGAGTTTAAAGAGTCATGTGCTGACTCTGAACATTCCCAGAGCAGCACTGTAAACATTTAATTTAAAGATGATGGGATGTTATGTTCTTTTGCGAGTGATGATCTTTCCCAAGCCCAGGGGATGCTCTGATGTGGGAAGCTGAGCTTGACAACATTTCTGCTTTGAGGCTCAGGGCTCTTGGTTTTGCTCATAAGAGATGCTCTCACCATCTGCACCTCCCGTGCCTTTGCTTGCTCATCTTGTGTATTGTTTAAGCCTGTTCAGTTTTCCTCTGGAGTCTGATGAAAGAGAATAACCACTGCAGGGCCATCTCTTAGGGTTGTGCCATTGTGTTCTGCACAAAGGTCCCTTTCTCAGTGTGTGAGTGGTGCTAAAATCCAGCTTGCAGTCTGCTGGCTGAGCTGTGTGCCCTGTCACAAGCTGTGCCTGTTCTGGAGAAGAGGTGCCTATTTCTAATTCATAATGGGGTCAGGTAGGCAAGTTACCCCTTCCTGACTTACTCCTTCCTGGTAGCTCAAGTAGGTTTTTGCCCCATTCATATGTAAATGTGTATTTGTGTGTATGTGTGTGTGCATGCATATATACACTGCCTCTGACATTACTTTTGATAATTTAGATGAAATAACCTGATGCCTCATTCTACCAGCAGGGATCTGACCCTTTCAGAATTTCAGATGCAATACATTGCTGGCAAATTCTAACATATTCTATGTTTGGTCTCTTTGTTCCCTCCCTCCCTCCTGCTTTCTGCTCTCCCTTTCTTTCAGATCATGGTACATTATCACCATTGGGAGTGATGGTCTTTCTCTCGCTTTACATTTTAATTATGCTTTTAAAACATGATTCTCAGTTAAGAATCAACTATAAATATTCAGACATGTATTTTAAAATTACAGATTAAAAGTGACTCCCAAAAGAAAATCAATTTCTTCATAAATGAAATATAGTATATAAAAAGCTGGAATGATAATTAATTCAAATACAAAAGCTAGTACCATTATCCCTTTTATACCTAAGAAGGGCATGCTAATAATTACCACTGTCAAAGAGGCAAAGGTGTTGATTTTTGTATATGAAGTTAAGCCTCAGTGGAGTCTCATTTGTTAGTTTTTAGTGGTAACTAAGGGTAAACTCAGGGTTCCCTGAGCTATATGCACACTCACACCTCTTTGCTTTACCAGTGGTGTTTGTGAGTTGCTCAGTAGTAAAAACTGGCCCTTACCTGACAGAGCCCTGGCTTTGACCTGCTCAGCCCTGTGTGTTAATCCTCTAGTAGCCAGTTAACTACTCTGGGGTGGCAGGTTCCAGAGAATGCAGTAGACCTTTTGCCACTCATCTGTGTTTTACTTGAGACATGTAAATATGATAGGGAAGGAACTGAATTTCTCCATTCATATTTATAACCATTCTAGTTTTATCTTCCTTGGCTTTAAGAGTGTGCCATGGAAAGTGATAAGAAATGAACTTCTAGGCTAAGCAAAAAGATGCTGGAGATATTTGATACTCTCATTTAAACTGGTGCTTTATGTACATGAGATGTACTAAAATAAGTAATATAGAATTTTTCTTGCTAGGTAAATCCAGTAAGCCAATAATTTTAAAGATTCTTTATCTGCATCACTGCTGTTTGTTACTATAAATTAAATGAACCTCATAGAAAGGTTGAGGTGTATACCTTTGTGATTTTCTAATGAGTTTTCCATGGTGCTACAAATAATCCAGACTACCAGGTCTGGTAGATATTAAAGCTGGGTACTAAGAAATGTTATTTGCATCCTCTCAGTTACTCCTGAATATTCTGATTTCATACGTACCCAGGGAGCATGCTGTTTTGTCAATCAATATAAAATATTTATGAGGTCTCCCCCACCCCCAGGAGGTTATATGATTGCTCTTCTCTTTATAATAAGAGAAACAAATTCTTATTGTGAATCTTAACATGCTTTTTAGCTGTGGCTATGATGGATTTTATTTTTTCCTAGGTCAAGCTGTGTAGAAGTCATTTATGTTATTTAAATGATGTACTGTACTGCTGTTTACATGGACGTTTTGTGCGGGTGCTTTGAAGTGCCTTGCATCAGGGATTAGGAGCAATTAAGTTATTTTTTCACGGGACTGTGTAAAGCATGTAACTAGATATTGCTTTGGTATATAACTATTGTAGCTTTACAAGAGATTGTTTTATTTGAATGGGGAAAATACCCTTTAAATTATGACAGACATCCACTAGAGATGGGTTTGAGGATTTTCCAAGCGTGTAATAATGATGTTTTTCCTAACATGACAGATGAGTAGTAAATGTTGATATATCCTGTACATGACAGTGTGAGACTTTTTCATTAAATAATATTGAAAGATTTAAAAAACAAACAAACAAACAAAAAAAAAACCATGATTCTCCACTGTCATTCTGTGTGTTTTTTATAGGTGTTTTTGTAAAATGTAGCTTGTCATTTTGTGTGCAAGGCTGTATGTTTCAGAAATTGTGTAGTGTTATAAATCTATTACTTTTTTTTCACTCAGTGGAATGCTTCTAATATATAGCTGCTTTTAATTTTTCTATTGCTTTACTCGCAGACCCAATTTCCTTTGCCCTTCTTGTTTAAATGGCTTATCAGCATAAGGTGCAGTTTAAATATTCCCCTCTGTGAAGCCTTCCCTATTCTTCCAATGTTAGGCTCCCTCTTCTGGGCTCCCATAGCATTTGTTCATTCTTCTATTGTTGTAATTGTGATCTCATTTTGCAATAAAAAAATCTATTTATGTGTTTGTGTTGAGCTCTTCCATGGAAGATACTGACATATATACATTTATGCAATTCTAGCATCTAACATAGATCTTGGAACATATATTTTCAATAAATGTGTATTGGATACATGCATAATAATAATAGCAAATCTTTATTGAGTGCAAACAATGTGTTACACACTATTCTAAGTGTTTCACATTTACTAAACTCATTTAATCTTCGCAACAACCCTATGAATTAAGGACGATTATTGTCATTGTCATTTTACAGAGAGAGAAACCAAGACATGGAATGTTCAAGTAACTTAAAATTTCATGTAACTTGTAAAATTCCAGCCACTTAACACAGGAAATGATGAAGCTGGGATTCTAACCAAGGCAGTCTGGCTCCAGAGTCCAAGGTCTTAACTGCTCTGTACAGAAGATCTTGAATAACCAATGGACTGTGCCTACTACGACTCTCGACTTCCAGTCTAGTGTGCTTTCCATGCCACAATGCAGGCTCATTCTGCATTAATTCTCTTCATTCATAGGTGCCTGTTAGGTATTGCCATCTGTGCTGTTACCTCACTCAATCACACATGGACTAGTAGGTGGGTATCTTATTCCAGTTTTTATAGATGAGAAGACTGGAGCTTTGAGGAATATGGTAAACTTCCTGTGGTCTTACACAGGATTAGGTAGTAGCAGGGCCAAAATTAGATAGTGGCAGAGAGAAATTAGGGAGTGGCCAAAATTTGCACCTGTGTCTGACTGATTTTATGTTCCATGCTCTTTCAATCATACTGTGTAATCACCAGAGAGGGCACTTTGGGGCTGAGATCCTTGCCACTCTGATTCCTTAAATATTGAGGAAATGGATGGGCATTTGTTGGAAAGGTAGGGGTCTCTTTGGCTTTGATGTAGTAGTCCCAGGAATGTTCTCCCATTATCTGTGACTTCCTCCATGATCTTGCCATTGGGGTATTGGAGTCTCTTTCCCAGAGCCTGAATGTCTATACTCCTCTTCCTTCCAGAAGTCTATGTGTACCCTAAATATGTGCCAAACCCTATGTGCCAAATAAACGTGGCCCATAGAATTATAGCCACAGGAAGGACAGGCATGTTTTCAGGATGATTTTTACGATGTTGGGTGTAGGGTAGATAGAGGTTCTTGGGGAACATTGCCTTCTGCTTTTTAGATTGCTGCATCACTTGATTTTTTTCTATTACATTGAACGTATATTTCATTTGACATTAGAAATCAATAACATTTAATAAAAATACAAGAATATGTAGTATTCAATTTTAGAATTTTAAAGGACTTTAGGGATCATCTTGCATCCAAAGACCAAACATGTGGTGAATTTTTAGCCACTCTTCACTCCTTTTCTGTGGTGGATGTTGATTATTTTCTGTTTCTCTGGTGGCAGGACCCTGATAGCTTACTCAAGAATCATCTCTTCTGCAGTCCCAAACCAGGTGCATTAGGTGGAGCCAACTTCATTTCCCTCTTTGGGGCTGAAGAATTGAGCCAGCTTGACTGATTAAGTCATTCCTTTGTCCAGGACATAGTGACTGGTTTAGGGGTGGGTGTGTGACCTGAGTCTATCCAATCAAGATCAGTAAAGAGGGAGTTTTCTTTATTGCTTTAGGAAGCAGATATAAAAAATAACGTTTTTCCACGGGATGTGGAGCAGAAAGGGTGCAATCTTGAAGCCTAAAGGAGCTATAACACAGAAATAGTATATTGAACCCTTGGATTCAACCATTGCCTGAAATCAACTCTATCCCTGGAATTTTCATTTCTATAAGCCATGGACATGGGAACTCTGAAGGCAGGGATTTCATTGTTGTTCTAACTTCAGTGCTTAGAACAATGTTCAGCACACAGTGGAGGTTCAGTAAATATTTGCTGAGTAAATGCCAGATCTAACAATCCTTCCCCATTGTAGGTTCCCCCAGTTCCCCCTGCTTTCTTTCTGTGTCCTTCCTGAAAAGTCACAGAGTGCTTGAACATTCTGTGACCCATCCAGCTGCAGATTTCTCTCAGCAGGCTCAAACCCAAACTGGGGCCTTGAAAATTTCTAGGTGCTGACATAGGTGTCTAGGTTGTTGCCAAAACGCTGAAAGAAACTAAATAATATGGTTTGGCTGTGTCCCACCCAAATCTCATCTTGAATTGTAGCTCCCATAATTCCCATGTGTTGTGGGAGGGATGTGGTGGGAGATATTTGAATCATGGGGGTGGTTTCCCCATACTGTTCTCATGGTAGTGAATAAGTCTCATGAGATGTGATGGTTTTATAAGGGGTTTCCCTTTTTGCTTGACTCTCATTCTGTCTTGCCTGCTGCCATGTAAGATGTGCCTTTCGCCTTCCACCATGATTGTGAGGCCTCCCCAGCCATCTGGAACTGTCAGTTCATTAAACCTCTTTTTCCTTATAAATTACTCAGTCTTGGATATGTCTTTATCAGCAGCATGAAAAAGACTAATACACTGGCCCTGGCCCTGAGCCAAATTTCTTAAACCTTTGTATAAACTCCATACCCTGACACCCTCATGGCAGACATACGTAGGTAGAGCACCTCTTTTCTCTTTCTGTCCATCTCAAAGGTTGCTGCAGCATTCTGTAAGTTCCCCTAATAATTGCTTTGGACTGATCACCCTGACATTTAGTACTACTTTCTTTGGAATCCCAACCAGCCCCATCTCAGGACAATTTGGGGAACTCCTTTGTGGAAATTCCCCTGCTGCTGCTTTTGGGGCGATTCCAGCTGCTGGCTTGGCAGAACGAAACACTCCTCCCTGCTTAAGTCAATTTGCGTCATGTTTTCTGTTGCTTGCATTCAGAGGAGTCCTCACTGAAAAATATTCATGATAGATATTATTAATCAATTATGACACTTTTTGTAACTGAGCTTAGATGCAGACTTAGAATTCTTTTCAATATATTGCTCCAAGCAGATATGATCAATCATTAGAGTTAGTGGGCAAGATGGAATGTATCTAGAATCTATATCAGTTTTTTATTTCTATGTAACAAATTATCACAAATTTTGTGGCCTATAACAACATATGTTCATTATCTCACTGTTTCCATAGATTGGGCATCTGGGCATGGCTTAACTGGGTCCTCTGCTCAAGGTCCCACAAGACTGCAATCAAGATGTTGGCTGGGCCATGTTTCTTTCTGGAGCTTGAGTCCTCTTTCAAGCTCATGTAGTTGTTGGAAGAATTAATTTCTTTGCAGTTTTAGGACAAGGGTTCTTGTTTTTTTGCAGGCTGTCAGTTGGGTGTCATTCTGAGCCCTAGAGGCCACTGCTCACAGATCCTCATCACACGACTGTCTCATAGGCCCTCTCATAACATGGCAGCTTAGTCCTTCCAGGCCTAAGGAGTATCTCTCTTCTCAGGAGGGGCCCAGTTCCTCTTTTAAGAGCTGTTAACTGATGAAGTCACATAATCTCCCTTTTATCTCAAAATCAGCTAATTTGGGACTTCACATTTGCAAAAATCTCTTCACTTTTGCCACATAATAGAACTCAACAATGGGAGCAAAATCTCATCATATACATAGGCCCAAGCCACACTCACAGGGAGGAGATTACACAAGGTGTGTACATCAGGGGGCAGGAATCTTGGGAGGACATTCTAGGATTCTGCCTGCAGCAGCATCCTGTTCTAAATTTAAAATTCCCTATTGCACAGATGAGACAACTTAGGCTAAGAGAAGAAAAATAAGTTACCCAGGCATATGCAGTGTTGAGTGACAGAGTTGGAATCAGCATGCTAGGTCTTCAGTGTCCTGCTCTAGTGATAGTTGAGGTCTTTGAGCATAGAACTATTTCTAAACCTTTATTCAGGGCTATTCAGACTCTGACTTTGTAGGAATCATCTCATGTTTTAGTCATCTTTGTGTCTTTTCCTCCAACTCCCACTGTACCTAGCATATGTATACACAATAAGTGCTTTTAGTGTTGATTTGACTAAAAAAAATCCATAAATTAATTTTCAGGAAACTGAAGGCCAAAATGAATTGACATAATGTCAAACCAAACCAATGAGGAATTCAGACACAGGAGAAAGCCTTGCAGGACTTGGATGAAATATTAATAGAGTCAGTGTCAATGACAATAGCATCTCTTCTTCCAGAAGCAGTCGTGACCTTTAAGAGATAAATGTCACCACAGGGGCCATTCCTAAAGGGCTAGGCCCCCTGCTTTTCAGCAACTGAAGTCACTTCCTGGTGATGCTCATGCTGGGGCTTGTGGAAGAACATGATGAATAGGTGAAAAGGATGTTACAATTGTCAGCTAATACCCCCACCAAGTGATTCTCCTGAAAGATTTTTGGCTTTATGACAAGATTTACTTCCCATTCAAATTAGGACATTTGAACAGACTTGAATAGACTTTGTTCCTCTTCCCATAGTTCAATCTGATTAATATGAAATATACATTTATCTGAATTAATGGACCAGCAAATAGAATCATGGGGGTACTAAATATATAAAAATATAAAAAGTATATCTTGTTACAACTTCATTGGGACTACATTTTAATGGGAGAGTTTTCTGAAGTTTGGATATCTATACTATTTCTTGGAAAAGAGCTGAGTTCATTGGAATAATGAAATTCTGAGCTTCTTGGAAAAGAGTTGCATTCATTGGAATAATCAAATTCTGAGCTTAATTCTCTAGCATATTGCCTAAAAAATAGTAGGTTGTTGAAGAATAACAAAGGCTAATAAGTGGTCTATGGCATGATGGGCAGATACTGGGAAGGAATGGATAAGGAGCTTCCAAAAAATGTAGGAATCTGAAAGGCGTTTTTGATTGGTTACTATATTAGTTGTCTATTGCTGTGTAATAAATTACCTCAAAATTTAGTTGCTTAAAATAGGAAATATTTATTGCCTTTCCATGGGTTAAGAATCCAGATGTGGCTTTGCTGAGAACTTCTGGCTCAGGGTCTCTCACAGGCTGCTGTCTAGGTGTTAGCCAGGGCTGTGGTCTCATCTGAAGACTCTTCTGGAGGAGGATCCTCTTCCAAGTTCACTTACATGGCTCTTGGTAGGATTCCTTGAGGGCTGTTGGTTGTAAGCATCAGTTCCTTGCCCCATGGTCATGGGATAACTTACAAAGGGCAACTAGCAATATGGTAGCTGGCTTCCCTCAGAAGGGTAGTGAGGGGGAGAGAGTGGGAGACAAAAAGGGAGAGAGACAGGTTATAAAGAGAGAGAGAGAGACAGCGACAGAGAGAGAGAGAGAGAGATTGATTGATTCATTCATTCAGAATGGAAG
Organism: Homo sapiens; assembly: GCF_000001405.40. NCBI lineage: Eukaryota > Metazoa > Chordata > Mammalia > Primates > Hominidae > Homo > Homo sapiens. The sequence continues at coordinate 57,080,452 of NC_000011.10, read as the reverse complement.
CCAGAGACTTTTTGTATTTTAATCTTACTAATCTCTTGGAAGTGGCATCCCATTACTTTTTCAGTATTCTATTTACTATAAGGGAGTCACTAAGTCCTGCCCACACTCAGGGCATCAAGGGGAGTGGATAACACAGAGCATGCACACCAGGAGGCAGGTATCACTGGAGATCATCTCAGAGGTTGCTACCACAGTTATAGAAAGAAATAGAATATTCCCTGTTGAGTTTGGACATTACTGTGTTATCATTTGGGCAGGCATTAACCAGGCCCAGTTCATAGCAAGGTCCAGAATGAGGCAGCACCCAAGCCTTTATGTGAATGTGCAGGGTTTGAGCAGAGGCTTTTTTTTTTTAAAGGAAGCTAATTTCTTGTTGTCATAGTGGAGATAGAGGTAGCATGCTGTGGGAGCTAAGAGGCGGCTCATATTTTTTCCAGCAGAGAGATCAGGAAAGACTCCTTGGAGGCAACAATGTTTAAAATAGCTTTGAAAAAAAGAGAAAATAGTAGAGAAAGCAGAGCTGGGATGGGAGGAAAGGACATTTAAAGAGGCGGGGCAGTGTGAAAAGAGGCCCAGAGGTGGAGAAGGCCAGAGCATGCTGTGAGAAGGCCATGCTGAAGGTCAATGCTGAAAGTCAAAGAGATATTGTAAAAGTGACCTAGGATGAGTGTTCCCACCACATCCCTTCTACCATTTCTTCATGAGCTTTCAAAGCCACACCAGACAATGTGTCGTTGTGGAAGCACAACCTGTAATTGCACGCAGTTCAGTGTCTCCACACTTGTTTCAGGGAAATGGCTTTAGAGCTAACTCAGAGCTCCTACGTCAAGGAGAAAGTTCAAATACTTGTACAAAAAATTTTCAATAGATTTGTTGCTTTACGTGTTGTAGGACTATTTAAGTCTGAAAAGTTGGCGTCTTCAAGTCTGCTTTTCCCTAATTATTGTAGCGCTGACTGTATGTGGAAGTAGCCAAGTCCGTGAAATGTTTTTGGAGCGGCCCTACTGCCTACTTGATTTCCATCATTCTAATACATCTGAGGTGTTAAGGGAAGAAATATAGTATTTCCTGTTGAGATTGGACATTACTGTAGTGTTTTATCATTTGGGCACGCATGAATCAGGCCCAGTTCTTATCAAGGTACAGAATGAGGCTTAGAGTCATGCAGCACCCAGGACTTTATGTGAATGTGCAGGGTTTGAGCATAAGTTCTAGAAGCCTTCTGTCAAAATGCAAATAACCACCCTATGGCAAAGGTACTTTTATCACTTAGCTGGGAGATGGTGGGCACTCAATGGCTGCTTGGTGTCAGGGGCTGAACCAGAATCCAGAGAAGGTAGGGCCAGCTGAGGCACCACAGCGTGAGGGGTACATGGTTATCAGGGGACCCAAAGACAGCAGGAGGAGGATTCCAGAGGCCAGAGCAAGAATCCTACAAGGTTAGAGTTGGAAAAGCCTGAGAGTTTAAGATCACCACGTTATTTTTTAGTGAGGAATCTCAATGGAAAACTGAAATGGTAATATATGGCATGATAGCTCACTGCATGGAGGTGAAGCTGGAATTTAGGGCCCCCAAAATAAAATTGAGTGACGAGCCCCATTGTGCTAGCAGCAGAATCAAGAATAGTGCACAAGTCTACGTGACCTTCCAAGATCCTTCCTTTCAGTTCTAGCCTCTTTCTGCCATAAGCCCTTGGTTCCACACCTCTTCGTAGCCACTGCTGACCTACCTCACATTAAAGTGATAAGCATATGAATCTTTTTTCCCCTAAATAACTGAGCATTTATCGTTTGTGATTCAATGCACAGTCTCCCTCCTTCTGGTAGCAGCACCCTAAATTTCCCCTAGGAAACCCACTCTGCTCCCTCAGTTTTGTGATTGGGTAGAATTGGCCTCATCTTCAGATTCAGGGGCATGTGCTTCATTACCTCACCCTCTGCCACTGTTTCAGAGAGGGGAACACATCCCAAGCGGAATCTCTGTTGAGATATATCCTGGGACTTGTAGAAAGAAAGGCTTTCTCTTGTTTACCTGGCTTTGGTTGTGCAAGGCTTAGAGCTGTTTCAGTCATTTGCTACCAGGAAGGGGACCATCCTGAGGCTGAGAATAACACATAAAGGAGGCTGAGCTGAGACATGCAAAGAAACTAAGCTTGGATGTTATCATTTGAGTCTCTGGAACAACTAAAGCCAGTTTCAACCCTTAGAGTGTTTGGCTACTTGAGCCAATAACCTAGAGTGATCCTGTTAAAACCGAAGCCAGCGACTGGGCGTGGTGGCTGACACCTGTAATCCCAGCACTTTGGGAAGCCGAGGCCGGTGGATCACAAGGTCAGGAGTTCCAGACCAGCCTGACCAACATGGTGAAACCCAGTCTCTACTAAAAATACAAAAATTAGCTGGGCGTGGTGGTGTGTGCCTGTAATCCCAGCTACTCAGGAGGCTGAGAGGCAGGAGAATTGCTTGAGCCCAGAAGATGGAGGTTGCAATGAGCCGAGATCACACCACTGCACTCCAGCCTGTGACAGAGTGAGACTCTATCTCAACAAAACAAACAAACAAACAAACAAATGAAACACATAAGCCAGAAAATGGTACCTATCGGCTCAAAACTCTGCAACAGCTGCTTGTAAGACTCTAAGAACAACCAGCATCCTTATAATGACTTGCAAGGCTTTCTGTGCTCTAACCTGCAGTTATTTTCCCCCACCCAACCTGCTCATTCCACTCTGGCCACACAGTGGAGTCTTGGTGTTTTTTAAAACAAATAAGAAATGCTCCTGCTGTGGGTCATTTATCTTACTATTTCTTTTGCCTGGAAGTCTTTTCCTCCAGATAGCTGTACCTCCTTCAACTCTCTCACTTTCTTCAAGTATGTGTTCAAATGTCACCTTCTCAAGGAGGTTTACCCTGGCCAGGCTAATTAATTTTGCAACCCCACTCTCCTTACCCAAACTTCTGATTCTCTTTGACCTTACCCTGCCTTTTTTTTCTTCTTCTTTTTTAAAATATAACACATACACCTTTAACATATTATATATTTTATTTATTTATTGCCTTTAATGTTTAATGACTGCCTCCATCTTCTTAATTATAACTTCCAAAGGACAGGAATTTTTTGTCTGTTTGTTTACTTGTGTTTTCCAAGTGCCTAGAACAGGGCCTGGTATAAAATTATTTGTTGAAGGAATGAAAGATTGGGACTGTTTGCTAAGAGACTGTATCAGAACCAGTAGGAGATATATAGGTATATATATCCTAAAAATACATATACATATATCTACTAATATATATATAAGATAATATATCTAATATCTATATCTATATATCTCTATATATAGATATAGATATATATGCAGGGTTTGAGCATAAGTTATAGAAGGCTTCTGTCAAAATGCAAATAACAGCCCCATGATAAAGGAACTTTTATCACTTAGCTGGGAGATGGTGGGCAGTCAATGGCTGGTTGGTGTCAGGGGCTGAACCAGAATCTGGAGAAGGTAGGGCCAGCTGAGGCACCACAGTGGGAGGGGCACATGGTTATCAGGGGACCCTATATCTATATCTATCTCTCTCTCTATATATATATGTAGATATATATAAAATCTATATATAGATAATATATGTATATAATACTATATATATATATATATATATATATATATATATATATATATATAAAAGATGAGGCCAATTCTACCCAACCACAAAACTGAGGGAGCAGATTGGGTATATATATATATATATATATATATATATATATATATATATATATGTGTGTGTGTGTATATATATATATGTGTATATATATATATGTATATATATGTATATATATATATATAATATCTCATATATATCCAATACCTCAAAATGAACCTCTTTCTATATTCCCACATATATGTGTGTATACACACACACACACACACACATATATATATACATTGGGATATAGAAAGAGACTTATTTTGAGGTATTGGTTCCTGTGATTATAGAGGCTGGAGGCTCGGAAATCCAGTGGTGTAGTTCCAGTCCAAACTAGAAGGCCTGAGAATTAGGGGAGCCGATGGTGTGAGTGCCAGCCTGTGTCTGAAGGTCTGAGAACCAGGAACACCCATGTCTAAGGGCAACAGAAGACAGATGGCCCAGCTCAAGCAGAGTGAGCAAATTTACCCTTCCTCTGCCTTATTTTTTTCTATTTGTGCCCTCAGTAGATTGCATGATGTCCACTCTCATTGCTGAGGGTGATCTTCTTTGCTCTAAGTACCAATTCAAGTGCACATTTCTTTGGGAAACACTCTCATGGACACACCCAGAAATAATATTTTGCCAGGTGTCTGGGCATCATCCCTTAGCACAGTCAAGCTGACCCAGAAAATTAACCATCACAGAGACAATGGAAGTTCAGAGCATCATGTAGAACTGCTAATGGCTACTCTTTGACTCCATTGGTCTAAATCAGACCTCACAGCTGCTAAATGTGTTGCTCCTTACTTAGATCTGAGTCTGCTTCCCTATTGAACCAAATAGTTTGTATCTATCTCTGGGAATATTCCAAGTGTTGCTAGCCTCAGCCAATTGGGATTCTCAGAGAGAAAACAAAATTTTTTTTCTTACTCTATCTAAGGAAAGCTTTATTTCCTTTCTCTTTTTAGGTATTTAAAAGTAGAGTTTTCCATTCCTTCCAAAAAAACTCCTACCAAACACCCCAGGGTTGTTCCTGACTCCCATGGCTCCAAGAAAATAATCACAGTGGCTCAAGTTGTGCACTTCTTAATTTTGGGCTTATTAATTTTAATGACCACAGGTGGGACGCTGAAAATTGAGAGCAGATTGTGTTTTGTCAAATCCAGTTCCTTTTCTGAGTCTATCTCTTTCACAAAAAGGTAAAGGAAAACAGAACCCCTCAGGCTGCCAATTCCTCGTGAGAACATTCCTGCAAAAAAATTTACACACATACACATCTTTCAATAGTAAAATAATCTATAGGTAAATGATTAGAGAAAGAAATTCTCTAAGGAAATATATTTGTGAACATGGTTCTGCTAGAGATACAGCTGATTTACTTTATTCTTTAGTCTAGTTAACATCTCCATGGATTGAGATACAGGCTCAGCTACTACAACAAAGCCACACTAACAGTGGTTCAAAGACATAGAACTTTACCCCCATCTCTGGGCATGGGTAGTTGAGAGTCCACTGTGTTGCTGAGAATCCTTCTACCTTGGGGTTTTACCATCCTCAGTCTATGGCTTTCATCTTACAACCTAGATGGCTCTTCACTCTATACTAAGAATTTTCATAGCATTTTTGAGTATATTTTCCCAAAGAATCCTCTTAACAATCATTTTTGATAGGTTATTACAGCCTCTGTGTTATAGATGAGGACACGAAGGCCCTATGAGATTTAGTGACTGGACTGGTTGACAAGAGGCCCAGACAACTGATTTGGGTCTGGGGCCTCCTCCTCAGTGTAGACAGTGGTTTAGCTGCATTAATCAGACTGGCTCTGGCCTTTACTGTAGCTATGAATAAGTTGTTATAAAAACATTGACCCTAACAGTAGCTATATCTGGCTTAGTCTGAGAATTTCACATTTAAAAGGGAAGATAAAAATGTCCTCCAAATGAGCTAATCATCTCATAGTTACTCAGTTGCTGCAGAAAGCAGGCTTGGTGAACTCTTTTAAAATGGCTCACTTTAGCCTTTTGAATCACCTTTTTGGGCACCTAAGAGTCTTCCTAATAGATACTTACAAGAATTAAACTCTGACTTCCTTTTACTTTTCATATAAAAGGTCTTTTATTCTCTATTTTTGAGTACTCCCTTTGGTACACTGCTTTTGGCACCTCCAGCTAATCTGCTGGACTGTAAGCCCCATGAAGAAAAAAGTTATGTTTGTCTTGCTCAATTTTGTGCCCATACCTAGCCTAGAATGTGGCACAGAGCATCCATCCCAAAATCATTTGTTGAAGAAATTAATTTTTGAAAATTGTGTAGGGAGTGCCAGGTAAGAATTTATGATACAGACAGAGTTGAAAGAGAATATTGAGAATCAGAGATGCAATGCAGGGTAGTGGAAAGAAAACAGAATGATATGAAAAAAACACCCTGAATGCCTAATTTGGCTTATGATTCTCTGGCTCAGAGGTCTTGGGAAAGCCATTCGACTAGCTTGAGAATCATTTTCCTCATCTTTAAAAGGGGCCAATGATACACAGTAGATTCATAGAATTGCTACAAGGGTCAGGTAATGCATGTAAAAACACTTTGCATACTTCGGGCACTCTATATATCTTTGGTGCAGAAATGAAGGAAATAAAATAGTTATTTTATTGTGAGTTGAAGGAGGTCTTTTGATTTGGAAACTAACCAAGTAGAGGACCCTTCCTTAATCACTGGATTCTAATTTGTTGGAACATCTTGAGGTTTGACGTGGCACATTCACCAGTTGATGTCAAGGTAAAGAACATGCACCTGAAAAGTTTCACATGTTTTGTTAGGGTGGCCACATTGTCTCTTCTGTTGATGACTGAAATTGCTGGGGGCAATGGTGGGAGGGAGTAAGGCCACAGTATGCTCTTGACCTCTTGATTGAAGAAGCCTGGCTGAGATGGCTCTCAGCCTGAAGAAACCCCAAACAAATGAGCTCTGAGGAACCCAGGAACATGCTGGCTGTAGATTCATGAACTCAGGTAAATGGACATGTGGAGCAATCACTGGGTTGGGGTCTGCAGCCCCTCAGGACTGCTGGTTGCTGGAAAATGTGGAATAGATGCAGCTGAGGTAGCTAGTTGGGTTTCTCTGAGCTGGGGGATAATCTCCTTTCAGAAAACACTTAACTCTTGGGAAACAGGTGGCCAAGGGACACCTGAGTTCATGAAAGACAGCTGGGACCATTCCTTGTGGCTTATAAAGAGTTTCTGGAACTATCTGGGGAGAAGGAATCCTGGAAAAAGAGGAAGGTCTTGAGTCCTATTTCTGAAATCTTACTTGAATCCTGAGAAAGTAATTTTCAAGGTCTGGAGACAAAATGGGGCAGACATAAAAGGCTCCAGTGACTCAGAAAGGGCAGAGGACAAGATGGATGGTTCTGGAGCTTTATATAATCTTGGACTTCTGTGGCACATGGATAGGAATGGGATGCGGTGTAGTTGTGTAGTCAGTAGATAAGATCGCAAGCTTTAGAGTCTAAGATGCCTAGATTCAAATATAGGCTTTACCTCTCACTACCAGCACAATCTTAGGTATCTCTGATATTCAGTTTTCTTACCTGTAAAATGAGGATAAATGTTAGCTCTCGATTGAGTACCTACTATGTGTTGGAGTCTGTACTAGGCTCTTTACTTACATATCAGATTTAATTGAAAGTATGAACTTCATATAGTGCCTGTGAGGATTTAATAATATCATGTATGTAAAGCACCTATTTCAGGCATTTACTAAATGCTTAATAAATGTTTGCTATAGTCATCACCATTATTTACTATTATGAAATTTTAGATTTCAGGCTTGGTGCCATGGGAAGCTGTAGTTAAACTTGAAACTGATGTTTTCATAAGAACAGTTTCTGGCCTTCTTATAATCTTCCTTATATTTGAGTCATATCCTTGAGAATTTGTTGGAGCTCAGTTCTCTCTGTTTCTCCAGTCATGACTCATTAGCCAGAGCATACTTCTTTCTGAAGGGTTTAAGAGGCATTCTTGCCAGGAGAAAATGTGATTCCAATAAGTCTGACATACCACAACAGGCCCAGATCATCACCCAGAGACTCACCCATTAAGAGAGAGAGGGAATAAAGGATTGATCTGGGTTTGCCTTAGGTCAAGATGTCTAAAAGATTCTTTAGTGTTCTGAACAGTTGACAGCCTTTACCTCAGATAGTATTATGAGTTGAATTATGTCCCTGGAAAAATTCTTATGTTAAGGTCCTAAACCCCGGTACTTCAGAATATGACCTTGTTTGGAGGTAAAGTCTTTACAGAGGTAATCAAGTTAAGATAAGGTGTTTAAGGTGAGCCCTAAATGCCATGTGACTGATGTCTTTATAAAAAAGAAACTTGGAGACTGACACACATACAGAGAAAACACCATGTGGACATGAAGATGGTTGTCTATAAGCCAAGGAGAGAGACCTGAACCAGGTTCTTTCCTCACAGCCCTCAGAAAGAACCAATCCTCCAACACCTTGCTTTCAGACATTCAGCCTCCAGAACTGTGAGACGATACATTTCTCTTGTTTAAGCACCCAGTGTGTGGTACTTTGTTATGGCAGCCTGAACAAACTGATAAAAGATAGCAACATTTTGGCTATGTTCAGGCCATAGGTGTTATCCTCACAGGGCTGGAGTGGTTAGGGAGGGGTGATGGGTAGAAATGATCAGTCATTCCTGGAACACAAGTTCCAAATTTGGATTTCACTTCCACTTTTAGGACAAACATGAATTCCAGAAAGTGTTTGCAAGGCTCACTTCCCTTAGCAAGGGAGAATGTTGACTCATATTAAAGTTAGTAAATAAGAGGAATAATAAGTGTTTTCAAGGACTAGGAATTCACCAAAATAGATTGTGTAAAATGGCCAGCCTGAGTCATTGATACTGTTTTTTACAAATTTATTTATTTTGTAACTTAACAGATACAATTGTATGTATTTATTGCATACAACATGATGTTTTGAAGTATGTAAACATTGTAGAATGGTTAAATATAGCGATTAACATATGTATTGCCTTACATAGTTATCATTTGTGGTGAGAACACTTACTATCCACTCTTTTAGCTTTTTTTCAAGAATACAATATATTATCATTAATTATAATCACAGTGCTGTACAATAGATCTCTTGAAATTATTCCTCCTAACTGTAAGTTTGTATCCATTGACCCATACCTCTTCAACCAATCTTCCCTATAACTGCCTCAGTCTCTGGTAACCACCTTTCTACTCTCTATTTCTGTAAGATCAACTTTTTTTAGTTTCTACATATAAGTGAAATCACGTGGGGTTTGTTTTTCTGGGCCTGGCTTATTTTGCTTAACACAATGTCTTCCAGGTTTATCCAGTTTATCTCAGTTAAAAGGATTTCCTTCTTTTGTATGGCTCAATAGTATTCCATTGTGTGTATATACCACATCTTCCTTATCCATTCATTCATTAATGGACCCTTAGTTTGATTCCATATCTTGGCTATTGTGAATAAGGCTGCAATAAACATGGAAGTGGAGTTATCTCTTTAATATATGATTTTATTTCCTTTGTATATATACCCAGTAGTGAGGTTGCTGAATCACATGGTAGTTCTATTTTTAATTTTTTGAGGAACATCCATAGTGTTTTCCATAATGACTATACTAAACTATATTCCCACGAACAGTATGCAAGTGTTCCCTTTTCTCCACATCTTTGCCAACACTTACTATTGTTTGTTTATCTTTTTGATAATAGCCATTCTGACAGGAGCAAGATGATATCTCATTATTCTTGTAATTTGCATTTTGATTTGCATTTGTTGCTTAGCAATATGGAGCATTTTTTTCATATATCTGTTAACCATTTGTATGTCTTCTTTTGATAAATGTCTATTTAGATTCTTTCCCCATTTTTAATTGTGTTATTTGTTTCCTCTGCTATTGAGTTGAGTTTTTTATATATTCTATATTCTGGGTATTAACTCTTTTTCAGATGTATAGTTTGAAAATATCTTCTCCCATCTGGCAGGTCATTTCTTCACTTTGCTGATTGTGTCTTTTGCTGGGCTTCAGAAGACTTTTGGTTCGATGTACTCCCATTTGTCTATTTTTTCTGTCATTGCTTATGTTTTTGAGATTATATCCAAAAAATCATTGCTCACACCAATGTCTTAGAGCTTTATTCTGAGGTTTTGTTCTGGTAGTTATACTGTTTCAGGTCTTTCATTTAAGTTTTTATATCATTTTGAGTTGATTTTTGATTATGGTGTGAGATAAAGTTCTAATTTTATTCTTTTTCACATCAATATCCAGTTTTCCCAACAGCATTTATTTTATTTATTTTTTCAGAGACAAAGGATTTTATTACTCATGGACCAATAAATAGCATAATCAAGAATATAGCAGTTCTCCTTGCTCCCAAGTCCCATGGGAGTGAAGTGGGTACTCAGATGGATGTGTGCACATGCAGTGGGTTTTCTCCTCTTACTGGAGAAAATACGTGAGGTTAGGGAAGGCAAATGTCTTAAAAAGAGTAGTAGGCATGCTTACTCTTTGTTCCAGAGGAGACACTAACATCCTCAGAGAGACAGTCTGAAACAAAGGGAAGTCTGTGCCTCTGCTTGCAAGATGTGCAGAAATATGAGGGACCCATGAAGAAATATTGTGCAACACTTTCCTCATATTAGACAAGTGAGTCTGTATGTATATGGGCTACTGAATAAAATATTTTATCTAAACTGGTCAGAAAATTCAGACAAAAGTTTAATTCAATAAAATAGCTGTATGTAATAAATAAGTTAATATTTTTGGTGTGGCTACCACTGATTGTCAAGTCCAGCTGCTCAAAAAGATATCTTAATGCTCCAGCCCAATCAAAGCTCAATTAAATCGTAATCTGTGGCATCAGCATTTTGAATACAGGCATCAGTATTTTAAAAGCTTTCCTGGTTACTATAGGAACAATGAAAACATTTTAATATTTATTTATTTACTTTTTAAACTTTTATTTTAGGTTCAGGGGTGCATGTGCAGGTTTCTTACATGGGTAAAATGTGTATCATGGTGGTTTGGTGTACAAATTATTTCATCACTCAGGTAATAAGCATAGTACCTGATTGGTAGTTTTTTGATTGTCACCCTCCTCTAACCCTCCACACTGAAGTAAGCCCTAGTGTCTGTTGTTTCCTTCTTTGTGTCCACATTTACTCAAAGTTTACCTCCCACTTATAAGTGGGAACATGATGTATTTGGTTTTCTGTTCCTGTGTTAGTTTTCTTAGGATAATAACCTGTATAGCCCCATCCACGTTGCTGCAAAGGACACGATCTCATTCTTTTTTATGGCTGCACAGTATTACATTGTATATATGTACTACATTTTAAAAATCCAGTATATTGTTGATGAGCATTTAGGTTGATTCCATGTATTTGTTATTGTGAATAGTATCATGATGAACATATGTGTGCATGTGTCTTTATGGTACAACAATTTGTATATTTTGGGTATATACCCAATAATGGGATTGCTGAGTCAAATGGTAATTCTGTTTTAAGTTCTTCGAGAAATCACTAAACTGCTTTCTAGAGTGGCTGAACTAATTTACATTCCCACCAGCAGTGTATAAGTGTTCCTTTTCTCCACAACCTTGCCAGCATCTGCTATTTTTTGACTTTAGTAATAGCCATTCTGACTGGTGTGATATGGTTTCTCATGGTTTTGATTTGCATTTCTCAAATAATTAGTGATGTAGAGCATTTTTCATATGCTTTCTGGTCACATGTATGTCTTCTTTTGAAAAGTGTTTATGTCCTTTGCCCACTTGTTAAAGTTTTTTTTCTTGTAAATTTATTTTTTTAAATTATACTTTAAGTTCTAGGGTACAGGTGCACAACGTGCAGGTTTGTTACATATGTATACATGCACCATGTTGGTGTGCTGCACCCGTTAATTCATCATTTACATTAGTTATATCTCCTAATGCTATCCCTCCTCACTCCCCCCACCCCATGACAGGCCCCGGTGTGTGATGTTCCCCTTCCTGTGTCCAAGTGTTCTCATTGTTCAATTCCCACCTATGAGTGAGAATATGTGGTGTTTGGTTTTTTGTCCTTGCGATAGTTTGCTCAGAATGATGGTTTGCAGATTCATCCACGTCCCTACAAAGGACATGAGCTTATCCTTTTTTATGGCTTCATAGTATTCCATGGTGTATATATGCCACATTTTCTTAATCCAGTGTATCATTGATGGACAGTTGGGTTGGTTCCAAGTCTTTGCTATTGTGAATAGTGCTGCAATAAACATACATGTGCATGTGTCTTTATAGCAGCATGATTTATAATCCATTGGGTATATACCCAGTAATAAGATGGCTGGGTCAAATGGTATTTCTAGTTCTAGATCCTTGACGAATCGCCACACTGTCTTCTACAATGGTTGAACTAGTTTACAGTCCCACCAACAGTGTAAAAGTGTTCCTATTTCTCCACATCCTCTCCAGCACCTGTTGTTTCCTGACTTTTTAATGATTGCCATTCTAACTGGTGTGAGATGGTATCTCATTGTGGTTTTGATTTGCATTTCTCTGATGGCCAGTGATGATGAGCATTTTTTCATGTGTCTGTTGGCTGCATAAATGTCTGCTTTTGAGAAGTGTCTGTTCATATCCTTCTCCCACTTTTTGATGGGATTGTTTTTTTCTTGTAAGTTTGTTTGAGTTCATTGTAGATTCTGGATATTAGCCCTTTGTCAGATGAGAAGACTGCAAAAATTTTCTCCCATTCTGTAGGTTGCCTGTTCGCTGTGATGGTAGTTTCTTTTGCTGTGCAGAGGTTCTTTAGTTTAATTAGATCCCATTTGTCAATTTTGGCTTTTGTTGCCATTGCTTTTGGTGTTTTAGACATGAAGTCCTTGCCCATGGCTATGTCCTGAATAGTGTTGCCTAGGTTTTCTTCTAGGGTTTTTGTGGTTTTAGGTCTAATATTTAAGTCTTTAATCCATCTTGAATTAATTTTTGTATAAGGTGTAAGGGAGGGATCCAGTTTCAGCTTTCTACATATGGCTAGCCAGTTTTCCCAGCACCATTTATTAAATAGGGAATCCTTTCCCCATTTCTTGTTTTTGTCAGGTTTGTCAAAGACCAGATGGTTGTAGATGTGTGGTATTATTTCTGAGGGCTCTGTTGTGTTCCATTGGCCTATATCTCTGTTTTGGTACCAGTACCATGCTGTTTTGGTTACTATAGCCTTGTAGTATAGTTTGAAGTCAGGTAGCATGATGCCTCAAGCTTTGTTCTTTTGGCTTAGGATTGTCTTGGCAATGCAGGCCCTTTTTTGGTTCCATATGAACTTTAATGTATTTTTTTCCAATACTGTGAAGAAAGTCATCGGTAGCTTGATGGGGATGGCATTGAATCTATAAATTACCTTGGGCGGTATGGCCATTTTCACGATATTGATTCTTCCTACCCATGAGCATGGAATGTTCTTCCATTGGTTTGTGTCCTCTTTTATTTTATTTCATTGAGCAGTGGTTTGTAGTTCTCCTTGAAGAGGTCCTTCACATCCCTTATAAGTTGGATTCCTGGGTATTTTATTCTCTTTGAAGCAATTGTGAATGGGAGTTCACTCATGATTTGGCTCTCTGTTTGTCTGCTATTTGTGTATAAGAATGCTTGTGATTTTTGCACGTTGATTTTGTATCCTGAGACTTTGCTGAAGTTGCTTATCAGCTTAAGGAGATTTTGGGCTGAGACGATGGGGTTTTCTAAATATACAATCATGTCATCTGCAAACAGGGGCAATTTGACTTCCTCTTTTCCTAAGTGAACACCTTTTATGTCTTTCTCCTGCTTGATTGCTCTGGCCAGAACTTCCAATACTATGTTGAATAGGAGTGGTGAGAGAGGGCATCCCTGTCTTGTGCCAGTTTTCAAAGGGAATGTTTCCAGTTTTTGTCCATTCAGTATGATATTGGGTGTGGATTTGTCATAAATAGCTCTTATTATTTTTAGATACATCCAATCAATACCCAATTTATGGAGAGTTTTTAGCATGAAGGATTGTTCAATTTTGTCAAAGGCCTTTTCTGCATCTATGGAGATAATCATGTGGTTTTTGTCTTTCGTTCTGTTTATATGCTGGATTACGTTTATTGATTTGCATATGTTGAACCAGCCTTGCATCCCAGGGATGAAGCCCACTTGATCATGGTGGATAAGCTTTTTTTTTTGATGTGCTGCTGGATTTGGTTTGTCAGTATTTTATTGAGGATATTTGCATCAATGTTCATCAGGGATGTTGGTCTAAAATTCTCTTTTTTTGTTGTGTCTCTCTCAGGCTTTGGTATCAGGATGATGCTGGCCTCATAAAATGAGTTAGGGAGGATTCCCTCTTTTTCTATTGATTGGAATAGTTTCAGAAGGAATGGTACCAGTTCCTCCTTGTACCTCTGGTAGAATTTGGCTGTGAATCCATCTGGTACTGGACTTCTTTTGGTTGGTAGGCTATTAATTATTGCCTCAATTTCAGAGCCTGTTATTCGTCCATTCAGAGATTCAACTTCTTCCTGGTTTAGTCTTGGGAGGGTGTATGTGTCGAGGAATTTATCCATTTCTTCTAGATTTTCTAGTTTATTTGCATACAGGTGTTTATAGTATTCTCTGATGGTAGTTTGTATTTCTGTGGGATCAGTGGTGATATCCCCTTTATCATTTTTTATTGTGTCTATTTGATTCTTCTCTGTTTTCTTCTTTATTAGTCTTGCTAGTGGTCTGTCAATTTTGTTGATCATTTCAAAAAACCAGCTCCTGGATTCATTGATTTTTTGAAGGGTTTTTTTTGTCTCTATATCCTTCACTTCCACTCTGATCTTAGTTATTTCTTGCCTTCTGCTAGCTTTTGAATGTGTTTGCTCTTGCTTCTCTAGTTCTTTTAATTGTGACGTTAGGGTTTCAATTTTAGATCTTTCCTGCTTTCTCTTGTGGGCATTTAGTGCTATAAATTTCCCTCTACACACTGCTTTAAATGTGTACCAGAGATTCTGGTATGTTGTGTCTTTGTTCTCATTGGTTTCAAAGAACATCTTTATTTCTGCCTTCATTTTGTAATGTACCCAGTAGTCATTCAGGAGCAGGTTGTTCAGTTTCCATGTAGTTGAACGGTTTTGAGTGAGTTTCTTAATCCTGAGTTCTAGTTTGATTGCACTGTGGTCTGAGAGACAGTTTGTTATAATTTCTTTTCTTTTACATTTGCTGAGGAGTGCTTTACTTCCAACTATGTGGTCAATTTTGGAATAAGTGTGCTGTGGTGCTGAGAAGAATGTATATTCTGTTGATTTGTGGTGGAGAGTTCTGTAGATGTCTATTAGGTCCACTTGGTGCAGAGCTGAGTTCAATTCTTGGATATCGTTGTTAACTTTCTGTCTCGTTGATCTGTCTAATGTTGACAGTGGGGTGTTAAAGTCTCCCATTATTATTGTGTGGGAGTCTAAGTCTCTTTGTAGGTCTCTAAGGACTTGCTTTATGAATCTGGGTGTTCCTGTATTGGGTGCATATATTTTTAGGATAGTTAGCTCTTCTTGTTGAATTGATCGCTTTTCCATTATGTAACGGCCTTTTTTGTCTCTTTTGATATTTGTTGGTTTAAAGTCTGTTTTATCAGAGAATAGGATTGCAACCCCTGCCTTTTTTTGTTTTCCATTTGCTTGGTAGATCTTCCTCCATCCCTTTATTTTGAGCCTATGTGTGTCTCTGCACATGAGATGGGTCTCCTGAATTCAGCACACTGATGGGTCTTGACTCTATCCAGTTTGGCAGTCTGTGTCTTTTAATTGGAGCATTTAGCCCATTGACATTTAAGGTTAATATTGTTATGTGTGAATTTGATCCTACCATTATGATGTTAGCTGGTTATTTTGCTCATTAGTTGCTGTAGTTTCTTCCTAGCACCGTTGGTCTTTACAATTTGGCATGTTTTTGCAGTGGCTGGTACTGGTTGTTTCTTTCCATGTTTAGTGCTTCCTTCAGGAGCTGTTGTAGAGCAGGCCTGGTGGTGACAAAATCTCTCAGCATTTGCTTGTCTATAAAGGATTATTTCTCCTTCACTTAGGAAGCTTAGTTTGGCTGGATATGAAATTCTGGATTGAAAATTCTTTTCTTTAAGAATGTTGAATATTGGCCCCCACTCTCTTCTGGCTTGTAGAGTTTCTGCCAAGAGATCAGCTGTTACTTTGATCTCTCTTGTTACACAAGGCTTCCCTTGTGTGTAACCCGACCTTTCTCTCTGGCTGCCCTTAACATTTTTTCCTTCATTTCAACTTTGGTGAATCTGACAATTATGTGTCTTGGAGTTGCTCTTCTCGAGGAGTATCTTTGTGGCATTCTCTGTATTTCCTGAATATGAATGTTGGCCTGCCTTACTAGATTGGGGACGTTCTCCTGGATAATATCCTGCAGAGTGTTTTCCAACTTGGTTCCATTCTCCCCGTCACTTTCAGATATACCAATCAGACGTAGATTTGGTCTTTTCACATAGTCCCTTATTTCTTGGAGGATTTGTTCATTTCTTTTTACTCTTTTTTCTCTAAACTTCTCTTCTTGCTTCATTTCATTCATTTGATCTTCCATCACTGACACACTTTCTTCCAGTTGATCGCATTGGCTACTGAAGCTTGTGCCTTCATCATGTAGTTCTCGTACCATGGTTTTCAGCTCGACCAGTTCCTTTAAGGACTTCTCTACATTGGTTATTCTAGTTAGCCATTCGTCTAATCTTTTTTCAAGATTTTTAGCTTCTTTGCATTGGGTTTGAACTTCCTCCTTTAGCTCGGAGAAGTTTGATCGTCTGTAGCCTTCTTCTCTCAACTCGTCAAAGTCATTCTCCATCCAGCTTTGTTCCGTTGCTGGTGAGTAGCTGCATTCCTTTGGAGGGGGAGAGGCGCTCTGATTTTTAGAATTTTCAGCTTTTCTGCTCTGTTTTTCCCCATCTTTGTGGTTTTATCTACCTTTGGTCTTTGATGGTGGTGACGTACAGATGGGGTTTTGGTGTGGATGTCCTTTCTGTTTGTTAGTTTTCCTTCTAACAATCAGGACCCTCAGCTGCAGGTCTGTTGGAGTTAGCTGGAGGTCCACTCCAGACCCTGTTTGCCTGGGTATGAGCAGCGGAGGCTGCAGAACAGTGAATATTGCTGAACAGCAAATGTTGATGCCTGATTGTTCCTCTGGAAATTTTTGTCTCAGAGGGTTACCTGGCTGTGTGAGGTGTCAGTCTGCTCCTACTGGAGTTTGCCTCCCAGTTGGGGCTACTCAGGGGTCAAGGACCCACTTGAGGAGGCAGTCTGTCCATTCTTAGATCTCAAACTCAGTGCTGGGAGAACCACTACTCACTTCAAAGCTGTCAGACTGGGACATTTAAGTCTGCAGAGGTTTCTGCTGCCTTTTGTTTGGCTATGCCCTGCCCCCAGAGGTGGAGTCTACAGAGGCAAGCAGGCCTCCTTGAGCTGCGGTGGGCTCCACCCAGTTGGAGCTTCCTGGCTGCTTTGTTTACCTAGTCAGGCCTCAGCACTGGTGGGTGCCCCTCCCCCAGCTTCGCTGCCACCTTGCAGATCGATCTCAGACTGCTGTGCTAGCAGTGAGCGAGGCTCCATGGGCATGGGGCCCTCTGAGCCAGGCACGGGATATAATCTCCTGGTGTGCCGTTTGCTAAGACCATTGGAAAAGCGCAGTATTAGGGTGGGAGTGACCTGATTTTCCAGGTGCCATCCATCACCACTTCCCTTGGCTAGGAAAGGGAATTCCCTGACTCCTTGCATTTCCTGGGTGAGGTGATGCCTCGCCCTGCTTCGGCTCTTGCTTGGTGGGCTGCACCCACTGTCCTGCTCCCACTGTCCTACAAGCCCCAGTGAGATGAACCTGGTACCTCAGTTGGAAATGCAGAAATCACTTGTCTTCTGCGTTGCTCACGCTGGGAGCTGTAGACTGGAGCTGTTCCTATTGGGCCATCTTGGAGCCGCCCCCCCATAAATTTGTTGAAGTTCCTTATAAATTCTGGGTATTAGACCTTTGTCAGATACATAGTTTAAAAATATTTTCTCCCATTCTATAGGTTGTCTATTTATTGATAGTTTCTTTTGCTGTGCAGAAGCTCTTTCATTTAAGCATGTCCCATCTGTCAATTTTTGTTTTTATTGCAATTGCTTTTAGCATCTTCATCATGAAATCTTTGCCATGTCTTATGTCTAGACTGCTATTTCCTAGGTTATCTTCCAAGATTTTTATAGTTTTCAGTTTTACATTTAAATCTTTAATCCATCTTGAGTTTATTTTTGTATATGGTGAAAGGAAAGGGTCTAGTTTTTATCTTCTGCATATGGCTAGCTAGTTATCCCAGCACCATTTATTAAAGAAGGAGTCCTTTCCCCATTGCTTTGTTTTTGTCAGCTTTGTCAAAGATCAGATGGTTACAGGTGTGTGGCATTGTTTCTGTGCTCTCTATTCTGTTCCATTGGTCTATGTGTCTGTTTTTGTACCAGTACCGTGCTGCTTTGATTGCTGCAGCCTTGTAGTATAGTTTGAAGTCAGGTTAGTGTGATGCCTCCAGCTTTGTTCTTTTTGCTTAGGATTGCTTTGGCTATTTGGACTCTTTACTGGACCCATATAAATTTTAAAATAGTTTTTCTTATTCTGTGAAGAATGCCATTTTGTAGTTTGGTGGGAATATCATTGAATCTGTAAATTGCTTTGGGCAGTATGGCCATTTTAACAGTATTAATTCTATCCATGAGCATGAAATGTTTTTTCATTTTTTTGTGTCATCTCTGATTTCTTTCAGCAGTGTTTTGTAATTCTCATCGTAGAAGTCTTTCATCTCCTTGGTTAGCTGTATCTATAGGTATCTTATTCTTTTTGTGGCATTTTGAATGGGATTGCATTCTTGATTTGGCTCTCAGCTTGGATCTTGTTGGTGTATAGAAATGCTACTAATTTTTGTACATTAATTTTGCATCGTGAAACTTTGCTGAAGTTGTTTATCAGAACAAGGAGCTTTTGGGCAGAGACTATGAAGTTTTCTAGATATACAATCATATAGTCTAAAAACAGGGATAGTTTGACTTTCTCTTTTCCTGTTTGGATGCCTTTTATTTGTTTCTCTTGTCTGATTGCTCTGGCTAGGACTTCTAGTACCATGTTGGATAGAAGTGGTGAAAGAGGGCCTCTTTGCCTTGCTGCAGTTTTCAAGGGAAATGCTTCCAGCTTTTGCCTATTCAGTGTTGGCTGAGGAGTTTTCATAGACGGCTCCTGTTATTTTGAAATATGTTCTTTGATGACTAGTTTTTTGAGGGTTTTTAACATGAAGGATGTTGAATTTTATTGGAAGCCTGTTCTCATCTATTGAAATGATCATGTGATTTGTTCTTAGTTCTCTTTGTTATGTGGTGAATCACATTTATTGATTTGCCTATGTTGAACCAACTTTGCATCCCAGGGATAAAACCTACTTGATCATGGTGGATTAGCTTTTTGATGTGCTGCTGGACTTGGTTTTCTAGTATTTTGTTGAGGATTTTTGTGTCTATGTTCATCAAAGATATTGGCCTGAAATTTTCTTTTTTTGTCCAACAGCATTTATGGAAGAGAATGTCCTTTCACCAATGTGTGTTCTTGGCACCTCTATCAAAACACAGTTGGCTGTAAATGCATGGATTTATTTCTGGGCCCTCTATTCTTTTCTACTTGTTCTAGGTAGTGTGATGCCTCCAACTGTGTTTTTCTCTCTCAAGGTTATTTTGGCTCTTTGGGATCTTTTGCTATTCCATATAAATTTTACATTTTTTTCCTATTTCTGTGAAGAATGTCTCTTTTATTTTGATAGGGATTATATTGAAACTAGATTGCTTTAGGTAGCACAGACATTTTAACAATATTAAATTCTTCCAGTCTATAGACACAGGATATCTTTCTATTTATTTGTGTTTTTTTAAAATATATTTCATCAGTGTTTTATTGTTTTCAGTATACAGATCTTTGACCTCCTTGGTTAAGTTGATTCATAGTATATATTTTTTGGTATCTATTGTAAGTGGGGTTGTTTTCTTCATTTCTTTTTCAGGTAATTCACTGTTGGTATGAAAAAAAATTCTAGTTTGATATCATTGTGGTCAGAAAAGATACTTGATATGATTTTAATCTTTTAAAATTTGTTAAGACTTGTTTTGGGGCCTAACATATGATCTATTGTGGAGAATGTTCCATGTGCAGTTGAGAAAAAGGGTGTGCTGCAGCTGTTGGATGGAATTTTCTGTATATGTCTGTTAATTCCATTTGGTCTAGAGTGCAGTTAAGTCTAATATTTTCTTGTGGATTTTCAGTCTGGGTGATCTGTCCATTTCTTAAATTGGGTGTTGACATGTATGTTTATTGCAGCACTATTCACAATAGCAAAGACTTGGAACCAACCCAAATGTCCATCAATGATACACTGGATTAAGAAAATGTGGCACATATACACATGGAATACTATGCAGCCATAAAAAAGGATGAGTTCATGTCCTTTGCAGGGACATGGATGAAGCTGGAAACCATCATTCTTAGCAGACTATCGCAAGGACAGAAAACCGAACACCACGTGTTCTCACTCATAGGTGGGAATTGAACAATAAGAACACTTGGATACAGAGTGGGGCACATCACACACTGGGGCCTGTTGTGGGGTTGGGGGAGCGGGGAGGGATAGCATTAGGAGATATACCTAATGTAAATGACGAGTTAATGGGTGCAGCATACCAACATGGCACATGTTTACATAAGTAACAAACCTGCACGTTGTGCACATGTACCCTAGAACTTAAAGTATATAAAAAAAATAAAGTGGGTGTTGAAGTCCTCTACTATTATTGTATTGCAATCTATCTCTCCCTTCATATCTATTAACATTTGCCTTATATATTTAGCTTCTTTAATGTTGGGTGCATATGGACTTAATAACTATTGAAGCTTCTTGCTGAATTGACTTCTTTATCATTATATAATGACTTTCTTTGTCTCTTTTAGAGGGTTTGACTTAAAGTCTATTTTATCTGATATAAGTATATCTCCTCTTGCTCTCTTTTGGCTTCTATTTGTGTGGAATGTCTTTTTCCATCCTTCACTTTAAGTCTCTGTGTTATAGGTGAAGTGAGTCTCTTGAAGGCAGTGTGTAGTTGAATTTTGTTTCTGTATTCAGCCACTCTGTGTCTCTGATTGAAAAATTGAATCGTTTATATTTAAGGTGATTTTTGATAGGTAAAGGTTTACTACTGCAATTTTATTACTTGTTTTCTAAATGCTTTGTAGATTTTTAAAATTTCCTTCCTCCTTTACTGTCTTCCTTTGTGCTTAAGGGAATTTTTCTCCGTGGTTTGTTTTGATTCCTTGCTTTTTATGTTTTGTGTTTCTATTATAGGTTTTTGTTTTGTAGTTATCACGAGGCTTGCAAAAAAACATCAGTTATAACAAAATATAGATTTTTTAGGTTGACAGCATCTTTACTGTCATTTTTACTATTGTAGGTCTGATATTAGGGATAAAAGCAAAGTCTTATTTTTACTTCTTTCTCTTTCCCCCAGGCAAATAGTATCTTTCTTTCTGCTGTGCTGTTGGGATTGGAGGGGTGATGTGGGTAAAAAAACTATCTTTCCTGTTCTCTTCAATGCATCTTTTCTCATTATTATGCTACAGCCAGGTACTGTGACCTCTCACATGAGTTTCTTAGTTCTTGTAAAGGTATTTTCATGCATGGGTAGTTTTTCAAATTGATATTTCTGTGTGGCAACGAACACTGGAGAGTCCTATTCCATCATCTTATTCCACACTCTCAGATGCTTTGTAAAGAAATAAAAATGTTTTGATCCACAATAACTGGAACAGGGCAAATAACACACCTCCTGGCATAAGTTTTTAAGGTACTTGTGTTGATGACTGAATAGAATATTGATTATCGATATACAAATGTGGTATTCTGTTTATCATATGAAGATTTTCTTCAAATACACAGGGTTTTCTAATAAGTAGTCTATTTCCTCTTCTTCTCATTTTAGTTATTTTTATAAGAGTAGTTAGCCAGCTCTTTGTTTTAAACAGATACATATTTTTTTTCAAATTGTATAGTAAGGAACACTAATTCCAAGCTTTTAATAGTGTTTTATCTTCATTATATTATTATTTTGAGACCTCTCAGCTAAACTGGGTGTCCAGTACCCGATCAATTAGCAAACTTACTCTAATAGGAAATGAAGGGGAGATAGACATGAATGTTTACAGTGTGCCTTTCATGAGATACTTCTTTTACCTGGCAAGTGGCCTAATGTCTAGTTGTCCAACCCACAATTGGGTCACACAAGGCAGAAATGAAGAGTAAGGCAGAGAGACAGAGAGAAGAGGTGGGGTGGGCAACTAGTGGTGTGTATAAAGGAATACGATTGTGGGTCACTTTAAGGAAAGTGGGGAACCCAGACTGATAGGTGGAAGAGATGCCTCTAAGTTCTCATCTCTGGTCACCAGCTTGAGCACTGGGTGTGGTATAGACCTAGAAGTTGTGTCAAGGGTGACTGAGCCTTACTTCTGGTATGAGAAAGTTAAACTTAATTCAAAATGGATGCTAAGGCAACTTAAAATTATAAGAATTATCTTCTATTATATTAGATAGAGATAGGTAGATAGAAGGAGGGAAAGAGTCACCATCAATTTCATAACCATTTTCATTTTCCTCTTAAATATATACATAGATGTTAAGGTAATTCCAATATCAGAAATATTAAAATGTGAGATAAATATACATTTTAGAACTGAGATAATAGAACAAATAGTCCATAGATATAAAAGGGTCCTGTGACTCAGTAAGTTTGGCAAATGCTCTACACTCATTTTCTCTTAGAGAGACATAATTCATACTAGTGTATATTAATAAGAAATCCCTGGAAAGCCTGGCAGTAAAAAAAATCTGATATTGGTTAACTCAGAACTTTCAGCACTACTTGGCCTTGAAATTCTTTTCATGTTGAGTGTCTTGTGGAACAAGTTCTCTGGAGTTCATTGGGAGAATGCTGGGCTAAGGCAAATTTTGTAGATACTTCTCTGAAGTGACACAGCTGTCAGATTTTGTGATGCTGGAGCAGCAGAAATTTTTCTGTTTGGCCAGGCCATGCCACTGACTGTACAGGATGCTGCTAGACTTGATGTTACAAGGCAGAGCCAGGGAGAAGTCATCAATATGGCAGCTCACCTCTGGCAATGGGTGCTAGCATATTTGCCAGCCTGCATTTTTCTCTGTCTCTAGGGTTGTTGGTGGCTTCAGATCATGGTGGAAGCCATTTGGGCACCACTGGGTGATTTGATAATATGATCGCTTTTTACTTACAGAGTCTGGGGATGGTTTCTTGTTGCTGACTACCCCTAGAAGTTCTGCTCAGATATGAACTTTTCATAAAAAAGCAGTCATTAGCAAGAGAATTTGGTTCACGAGACAGAAGAACTATGCTGCCTTTCCAGTCAATTCAATTTCTGTGATAATTTGAGAACCTTGCCTATAATTTAGGGATTTAGGAAGTGCCACACATTTTGGAAGCTATTGGAAAAATTGCTCTGGGAAATAGCTTCTTTTGAAAAACTTTTGCTTGGATGCTTCTGTGTGCCTAGTGTCAGAGATTGAGTCGAAATTCATAAACACTTATTTCTTACATCGTTAGTACTTCTACCACTTCTTTGTTTTTTATGGGCCATAAATCAAGGATTCAGCATGGATACACAAGCTAGAAACCATGGAGGTGACTTTCATAGTCTCCTGGAGCTTGTTAGAATCAGGATGTAAGACCTGCTTGAGATTATGCTTAGTGAAATAAACCAGGCACAGAAAGACAAATATCGTGTGATCTCACTTATATGTAGAATCTAAAAAAAATTGAACTCATAGCAACAGAAAGTAGAATGGTGGTTACCAGGGACAGGGCATGGGGGTTGAGTAAATATTGGACAAAGGGCAAAGTTTCATATAGGGATCTGCAGCTTTTTCATAATCTGAAATAGAAATGATTTGTCAAAGTTCAATGCAATAACACATATTAGGTAGAAGGAATAAATTCAAGAGATCTATTGCACAACGTGGTGACTGTTGCTGATAATAATGTCTTCTTGAAAATTGCTAAAAGAGTAGATGTTGTGTTTTCACCACACACACAGAATGATAGATATGTTGTCGCTGTGTATGTTAATCAGATCAATTTAGCCATTCTACAATATATACCTATTTCAAAATATTATTATAAATATGTCTATGTCATAAATATAGACATTTTTTATGTGTCAGTTAAAAAATAGTCTGGACATGGTGGCTAATGCTTGTAATCTCAGCACTTTGGGAGGCTGAGGTGGGAGAACTGCTTGAAGCCAGTAGTTCAAGACCAGCCTGGGCAACATAGTGAGATCCTGTCTCTGAAAACAAAATTATCTGGGAGATACTCAGGAGGCTGAGGGAGGAGGATTGCTTAAGCCCGGAGGTTTGAGGCTGCAGTGAGCTATGATAGTGATACTGCACTCTAGCCTGGGCAATAGAGAGGGACACGGTCTCAAAATAAAGAATTTAAAAATTAAAAAAGAAAAAAATCAGGCTGTAAGTACACATAAAAGAGGGCTGTATGAAAAATGGTGCTAGTTTTCAGGTGGGAGACACAAATAGACAATTCTTTTCTCCCCACTGAGGACATCCTCTTGATAGCAACCAGGATATATGTCCAGGAGAACATGATGACCAAATATGGCAATGAATGCAGCACTCAAACTCTGCAAAGGCAGGGACTGCTGTGCTGATATAAATGTTGTAGCATGAAAGACCAAGCCCTAGGGATTTATTACAGAAAAAGTGATTGATGGCATTGGACCTGGAGGAGGACAGTGAAACAGTAGGACACACATACAATCCTTCTGCTAAGTATCCCACCAACTACGCCAGCTGCTAACAGGATGCAGACTTTCGAAGACAGAACTAAGGAATATACCTAAGAATGGCTTGTTTCACTATGTAAATTAAATTATACCTAGAAATTATTATTTATTATTTATAGAAATTTGTTATTATTTACAGAAAGTGTGGGGAAAAAGTGATATGCTGTTGAGAGAAAAATATTCTAGTTTTTTTTTACCTTAACTAAAAATAATGTGTATTGTTTGGCCAAGAGTGCAAGCTCTGGAATTAAATTAAAATCCTGGTTTTACCACTTGATTATGTGGCTTGAGCAGGTTGTTTAACTGCTCTGAGTTTCATAATCTGCAAATAGGGATCACAGATTTTTCATAATCTGAAATAGAGATAATTTGTCAAAGTTCAATGAAATAACACATATTCTATGTGTTGGCACTTAGAACTCCTATCCTAATGTTAGCTAATAATACCCCGATTATTTCTCCAGGCCTATAATAAACTTCCTTACATGAAAGAAGAACACCTATGGTCTTTGTCCATGGAATGATGCTGTGATGAGTCAGGGATTCTTCTATCAAATCATTTCGCAGGAGATTTTCCCTAATGTTTGATTCTCTCCAGCTTCCCCTTGACAATTCTTAGGGCAAAGTCCCCATTTTTTTCCCTATGAATTTCTCTGCTTTCTTGTATGTTTACTATATACTAGAGAATCTGAAAACTCACTAGGATCAGGGAGGCACATTCCTCACCATTCATTTTTCTTTTTAAATGAAATCACTGGATTATGGTGCTAGTCTAGACTGAAGCTATCTCAATTTCTGATCATCTATGATGCAGTTTTGCAGAATAATTTGCCTCAAATAGAAAGCATATGTTCATTTATTAAATGAGTCATTCTACATTAAAATAACTTCTACAGACTGGCATCTCATGAAAACTGCTTTGTATTACAGTGGGTTAAAGTTTCTCAAAATTGAAAATGTATTTAGAGAGCTGATAATATGCTTTAGGCTTTTTGTGGGAACAAGTCAGGGACTAGATAAATGAAGTAATATGTTCCAAAATATATTTCTTAAAAAGTTTATTTTATTTTTAATTGACACATAATAATTGTAGACATTTATGGTGTACAGTGTGATGTTTTGATACATGTGTATATTGTGGAATGATCAAATCAGGGTAACTAGCATATTCATTGCCCCAAATATTTATCATTTCTTTGTGGTGAGAACATTTAAAATCCTCTTAAAATGGCTAAAAGAGAGGATTTTAAATGTTCTCATAATATGCTTTTAAAGTTATTTTGATTCTTGTGCCACCTACTAGAAAGGAGAAATATTGAAAAACACTGCCACTGTAGATTCCTGCAGTTGTAGGTACAGATGTTACTCATTTTTACCGAAGAAAAAAGAGTCTTTACCGAGAAAGAAAGTTAAACCTGTGATAGGTAAGAAATGAGAGGAAATAATGAGCAAATTCTAAGGGAAAATGACATCACACAAGCAACATTTTTGATAGTTCTAGGAACTGGCAAAGTCCAAAGTTGGGCTGTTAAGAAATCTTTATTATTTTCATGATGGTTTAAATCCTCATGTGCTAGTATAGAAACTGCTAAGCTTCTGAAAGTGATCACACTCGTAGCCTCTTACCTGTCTGGCTCTGACCAATAGCTTTAGGGTGTCGGTGGGCAGTTTAAAAAGTCACTTGCAAACCGATTGTCATATCTCAAGCCTGTAATCCCAGTAACTCAGGAGGCTGAGGTGGAAAGACAGCTTGAGGCCAGGAGTTCAATGCTGCAGTGAGCCATGATTGCACCACTGTACTCCAGCCTGGGCAACAGAGGGGACCCTGACTCTTAAATAAAGAAGTCACCTGTAGATAAGAAAATAATATATCCACTTGAGGAATCATTAGATGTCCTATCTTTGTTAACATCAGTAACTTCAATAAAGCTGATTTTCTCTAATTAAGCCAAAATCAGGATATGACTTTGGTATGTGAGGCATAATGCAAACTAGGCTATGAGTTATAATGTATTGACATCTCTGGTTCTTTCCTTGATATGTAGATACTCACAACCAAGTAGCCCTTTAGAAGAATAAATGACAATTTCACTTCAAGTCAAATTTTATGCAAGATGTTTCCTTGAGGAAAGTTTGTAATATAAATTAATAAGATTTGATCTTTTCCTTCAAGTAATTTTAAATCTAGTGGGGAGCAGAGCAAGAAGGTATGCAGGGGCCAGGCATGGTGGCTTATGCCTGTAATCCTAGCGCTTTGGGAGGCTGAGGCAGGCAGATCGCCTGAGGTCAGGAGTTCAAGACCAGCCTGGCCAATGTGGTGAAACCCCGTCTCTAATTAAAAAAAAAAAAAAAGAAAGAAAGAAAAAGAAAGAAGGTATGTAAGAATGCCTAAACCTGCTTTAATCATGGTGAGATAATGGCACGAACATTGTTAATCATCTTAATTAGCCTTTAAAAATTCTGAAATTAAGTCACCCAGGGAACAAATTAAATAAAAGGCTGAAAAGTGATTCAACATTACATATGGGTACTTTCCATGTGCATTGTGGTCAGAAGTGTGTGTGCATGGTGTGTGTATGTATTAAGAAAATAATAGATATAAAATTATTTAGTCTATGATAAAATAATTTTTTTTCTTTCAGTATTTTAAGACATTTCTCCACTGTCTTTTCACTTGCATTGTTTCTGACAAGCAATCTACTTTTATTTGTACTTTTGCTCTGCTATTCATAATGGCCTTTTTTTCTTTGGATGCAGTTAAGATTTTCCCTCTATTCTTGTTTTTTAGCAATTTTATTATGATATATCTTGGTGTGGATTTTCCATGTTACTTGTGCTTGGGGCTTCTTGAGATTCCTGAATTGGTGGGTTTATATAATAGTTTTCATAAAATTAACAAAATTTTAATCATTATTTAAAAAATGCTCTTCAGTATCAACTCTGTTTCTCTTCTCCTTCAGTGACTCCAATTACACATATATACAGCTGCATGAAGGTGTTCCACAGCTGACTGATGCCCTGTTCATTTATCTTTTTGATTTTTTTCTCATTTTGCATACCTTTTCTCTCTGTCTTAATGTTTACTAATTATTTATTTTGCATTACGTCTAATCTATAGTTAATCCCCCTTTCTTTTTTTTTGAGACAGAGTCTTGCTCTGTCACCTAGGCTGGAGTGCAGTGGTGCATTCTTGGCTCACTGCAACCTCTGCCTCTTGGGTTCAAGGGATTCTCCTGCCTCAGCCTCCCAAGTAGCTGGGATTACAGGCATACACCACCACATCCAGCTATATTTTTTTTGTATTTTTAGTAGAGACAAAGTTTTTCCATGTTGGCCAGGCTGGTCTCAAACTCCTGAACTCAGGTGATCAGCCTGCCTCGGCCTCCCAAAGTGCTGGGATTACAGGAGTGAGCCACTGTGCCTGTCCCCCATCCATTCTTTTAATCATCTGTAGACTTCATTGAATCTTTCATATTGCTTCTTATCTTCTTTGAACATATGGAGTTCAGTTATAATTGTTTTAGTGCTCTTGTTTGCTAATTCTAACATCTTTGGCAGTTCTTGGTCAGTTTTTATTACAAATTATTCTTATTATGGTCATATGTTCCTGCTTTTTGCATGCTTGGAGAATTTTTGATTGAATGCCAGACATTATGAATATTACTATGCTTGGTGCTAGATGTTTTGTATTTTTATACATATTCTTGAGCTTTGTTCTGTAGCACAGTTAAGATACTTGGAAACTGGCTGGGTGTAGTGGCTCATGCCTGTAATCCCAGCACTTTGGGAGGCCGAGGCGGGCAGATTATGAAGTCAGGAGTTTGAGAGCAGCCTGACCAACATGGTGAAACCTCGTCTCTACTAAAAATACAAAAATTAGCCGGGTGTTGTGGTGTGTGCCTGTAATCCCAGTTACTCGGGAGGCTGAGGCAGGAGAATCACTTGAATCTGGGAGGTGGAAGTTGCAGTGAGCTGGGATCGCACCACTGCACTCCAGCCTGGGTGACAGAGCAAGTCTCCGTCTCAAAAAAAAAAAAAGAAAAAGATACTTGGAAACTGTATAATCCTTTTTTTTTCTTTTTTTGAGATGGAGTCTGGCTCTGTCACTCAGGGCTAGAGTGCATTGTTGTGATCCTGGCTCACTGCAACTTCTGCCTCCTGGGCTCAAGCCAACCTCCCACTTCAGCCTCTTGGGTAGCTGGGACAACAAACAGGCACATGCCACCATGCCTGCCTGCCTGATTTATGTATTTTTCGTGGAGATGGGGGTCTCACTTTGTTGCCCAGGCTGGTATCAAACTCCTGAGTTCAAGCAATCCACCCACCTTGGCCTCCCAAAGTACTAGAGTTACAGGTGTGAGATACTGTGACCAGCCATATGATCTTTTGAGTCTTGCTTTGTAGATTTGTTAGTTTGAACTGAAGCACAGCTCAGTCTAGAGCTAATTATTTCTGACCTGAAGCAAGTCCTTTCTGTCTGCTCCACCCAGAACATCATGAATCTTGAGATTTCTCAGTCTGTCTGGCGAGAACAGGCACAATTTCCAGCCTTGTATGAGCATTGAGCACTGTTACCTTTAATCATTTTGGTGTTTTATTCCCTTGTCTCTAGGTGTTTCTTACATGTTTGTACTGACCAGCACTCAGCTAAATAATTAAGGGGTATTTTCTGCAGCTCTAGGGGTTCTCTCTCTGTTCAGCTCATTTTCTCCAGTATTTTGTCCTGTAAACTCTAGTTGCCTTGGTCTTTTCAGACTTTCAGCTCCATCTCCTTTAGGAAGTCCACTAAACTCTTCATGTACATTCTATCTCTGTACTGTGGCCTGGAAACTTTCTTAAGGAAATAAGCTGGGGAAATTTTAGAGCTCATTGGTTTCTTGACTTTCTGGGATCGTTGTCCTTTATTGCTTGATGAAAGTGCCTTAAGAATTATGAAACTATTTATTTCATATATTTTGTCCAACTTTGTGTATTTTAGGTCAGAAGGTAAATCCCGTTTCTATTACTTTATCTTGGCCAGAAGTAGAAGTTCTGGAAGTGGTTTTCAATTGGATGAATATAAGTGTTTTGAAATTGCCCAAACTATAGCATATTCACCCCCTTTGAAGCTTTATTTTATACTACCTGAAATGAAAAGTAAATAGTCTTTAAAGTTAGAAAGATCTAGGTTTAAATCTGGGAACTACCACTTAATAGACATATGATCTTGGGCAAAAAAAAATGTAATGTCCCTTAACCTCTGTCTAATCTTTGATAAAACGAGATTGAAAGAATTTACTTAAAACACAGGGGTTTCTATGTAGTATTTCTATTTATAGCAAAATATTGAAAATAGATAAGGAAGTGAGAGGATAAATCAGAACTAATGTATAATTTGCATTTCTATGAAACACCTAAAAATAATGAGATAGATCTATATGTATTCTTATGAAAAAAGTTAATAACACAGTGTTAGGTGAATAAAATACTTTACAGAAAAATGTGGGGTGTGAACTGATTTTAACTTTAAAAATCCTGAGTGTGTGTGTGTATGTGTGTGTGTGTGTATGTAAGGAAAACACCATCTGGAAGCATATATGCAATTTTAAGTAAGTGGGGAAAATAACTTGAATAGTACATTTTCAACTTTAAAAACAGATGTATTTAAACAGTAGTAGACACATACAAATTAATTTCTCAAGAAAAATGAATAATAAAAAGAAGCAATGTTCAAGAGAGGTAAGAGATATGCCTGGCACAATTTATACTGTCAATGCCCGAGAGCCAACAAGCATCAGGAACTCACATGCAGAAGAAAGGTAGGCTTATTTCGTGTGCCGCAGCAAGAGTGAGCATGCACCAGAGGGAGCAGAGTGTTGGATAAGAGGGAACCGAGAAGCCCTATTATAGGATTTAGTTTTGTGCTGGGTGATTCTAAGAAGGATTTAGGGAGTGGATGCCTCCTAAATTCTGAGATGAGTGTTAGCAAAAGAACTGGTGATTAGCTATGTTGGTAATTTATATCTAAGAGGAAGGAAGATTAAAGTAGGTAAAGAAGGAGTATTTACTCAGATTAGTTAGAAGAGCAGAGTATTTAGCCATTTTTGTGGGTGCCAAGAGTTCTTGTCTTGTGATTATGTTTCAGACATAATCACAGAAACATAGTCACAGAATGGCCTTTTCTCTGTCTTGTTCCATTTCAGTCATAGAGTGGCCTTGTCTAATTTTTGCTCATATCCTGTAAAGATTGTTTATATTCAATTGGGAACTTTATGGCTAATATATCAGCTGCTATCTTCAGGGCCATTTTCTAATTTCTCAATACTGTTGATAGCCTCCTCTCTTCACTTACATTTTTACTTTGCCAAAGATAAGATGACTCTACCCAACTTTGGAGTTAATCGTATGACATACTGGCTCTAATTCTATAGATTTTACTTTGGTCCTCATATGTTGATAGAGTTTGGCTCTGCGTCCCCACTCAAATCTCATCTGGAATTGCAGTCCCCACATGTCAGGGAAGGGGCCTGGCAGGAGACGACTGAAACATGAGGGCGGACTTTCCTCTGCTATTCTTGTGATAGTGAGTGAGTTCTCATGATATTTGGTTTTTTGAAAGTGTGTGGCACTTCCCCCTTTACTCTCTCCCTCTCCTGCTCTGTCATGGTAAAACGTGCTTGCTTCATAAATTACCCAGTCTCAGGTAGTTCTTTATAGCAGTGTGAGAACAAACTAATACATATGCTAAAATAATGCACAGTTCAATAGGAAAAATTTAATTTTTTTCCAGGAGATTTGCCTTTAGATTTTTTTCTATGCTGTTTCAGGCAGATTGTCCACTAAAAGATTTCTCCACAGATTCTCACAGAAAATTTATAGTGGAGGCCTTTGGGATCAGGACCTGCTCCCTTCAGCATCTGTGGCTCTAGGTAAAAAAAAAAAACCACACACACAAAACAAACAAACAAACAAACAAAAAAATGAATGTTTTCATTAGTTAGATTTCTACTGAAGGAGAGAGGAGTTTCCCAGAGGGGAAAAGTGTTCATGTTGCAAACCTTTGGCAACTCTTATTGATTCTTGACTCAGTGTGTGTGTGTGTGTGTGTGTGTGTGTGTGTGTGTGTGTGTGGGAGCGTGTGCATTGAAGTGTTGTTGTAATGGCTGTCACACCCATGTTAAAATAATCTTTTCTAATACTCATTACTATTAACATTTATTGAGGGTTTATAATTTCTGTGTATTATTTTATATATTACATTATGAGGCTGTATGATTCCTATACATTATCTTATCTATTCCTAACAAACAAGCAAATAAACAAATTAGAGCACCCCATGAAACATATATAAAGAAAAACCAGGCATAAAAGCTCATTTAACTTGTAAAGAGACACTGCTGGTGAGTGGCAGAGTTGGGATGTGAACCAGAGTCAAAGAGTTCTAAATCCTGTTCACTATACTACCATACAGTGATACATGTGTTTAAAACAACATTCTGTATATATATATATGTATAGATATTGGGTTCCATCCAATATTGCTGAATCAACATCTGCAGGGCTGGGCTGTAGTTATATACACTTTAAAAAACTGCTAGGTCATTTGAATGCTGTTGTCTACAGATTGGTATTTAAAGACAACTAATGTATGCTACACATTCACTTAACTTCTAGTTAGGAAGCTGCCCATATTATTACTTTTTATCATCATTCATGCATTCAATATTTATGGACTATCAACTGTGTCTAAGCCTCCATACCAGATGTTAAAAGGTTATAGAAAGAAAATGTATGTCAACTTCCTTATAGATGGTAGGGAAGCTCTGGTATGTAAATAAATAATTTAGATAGTGATAAGTAATATTTATTTACATAGTTGAAGGGCTATGGATATTCAGTTGAAGAAGAAATTACTTCCAGGAGTAGAGGGTTGGCAGGAAACAAACACTGGTTTGGGAACACTACAGGGAGAGACTAGCTCTTGAAGGAATAATGAGATTTGGGTGTGTGGAGGTGTGTTGTTTCACATGATGTATGTACTGATTAACAGTATATGACTTCCTGACTTTGAAGAGTAAGCTGCCATGTTCTGAGAATGACAATGGAGAGGGCCATGTGGCAAAGAACTATGGACTTCCTCTAAGATCAGAAAGTAGCTTTCAGCTGACAGCCAGCTTTCAGCTGACAGACAGCCAGTTCTACACCTGCAAGGACATGAATTCTGCCAACAAAGTGAGTGAGCTTGGAAGCAGATCTACCCTCAGCTGATCCTTCAGATAAGGACACAGTCTTGGTTGACAGTGGGGTTATAGCATTTCAGAGGATGTTATTATGCAGCAATAGATAGAACTGATACAGATTTTGGGATTACAACAATACAGATTTATTTCCCTGTTGAGGGATGTTCACTTTCTAGGTCTTGACTTTCCAAAAGATGCTATAATAAAGATCCTTAAATATGTGGCCTTAGGGACTGGGACTTTTATTTCCATCAAGTTTTAGGGCTGAAATTCAGGATTGAAGGCTTAAAAATTTTTTTTCTTTAAATTTTACTTTAAGTTCTGGGATTACATGTGCAGAATGTGCAGGTTTGTTACATACACTTGCCATGGTGGTTTGCTGCACCCATTAATCTGTCATATACATTAGGTATTTCTCCTAATGCTATCCCTACCCTAGCCCCCCACCCCCCAACAGGCCCTGGTGTGTGATGTCCCCCTCCCTGTGTCTATGTGTTTTCATGTTCAACTTCCACTTATGAGTGAGAGCATGTGGTGTTTGGTTTTCTGTTCTTGTGTTAGTTTGCTGAGAATGATGGTTTCCAACTTCATCCATGTCCCTGCAAAAGACACAAACTCATCCTTTTTTATGGCTGCATAGTATTCCATGGTGTATATGTGCCACATTTTCTTTATCCAGTCTATCATTGATAGGCATTTGGGTTGGTTCCAAGTCTTTGCTTTTGTGAACAGTGCCACAATAACCCTATGTGTGCATGTGTCTTTATAGTAGAATGATCTATAATCCTTTGGGTATATACCTAGTAATGAGATTGCTGGGTCAAATGGTATTTCTGATTCTAGATCCTTGAGGAATTGTCACACTGTCTTCCAAAATGGTTGAACTAATTTACACTACCACCAACAATGGGAAATTCCTATTTCTCCACACCTCTCCAGTATCTGTTGT
The DNA here is from genome assembly GCF_000001405.40 of Homo sapiens. Lineage (NCBI taxonomy): Eukaryota > Metazoa > Chordata > Mammalia > Primates > Hominidae > Homo > Homo sapiens. The sequence goes on along the minus strand of NC_000011.10, from coordinate 57,046,627 downwards.
TTCCTGACTTTTTGATGATCGCCATTCTAACTGGAGTGAAATGGTATCCATTGTGATTTTGATTTGCGTTTCTGTAATGACCAGTGATGATGAACTTTTTTCATATGTTTGTTGGCTGCATAAATGTCTTCTTTTGAGAAGTGTCTGTTCATATCTTTCCCCCGCTTTTTGATGGGGTTGTTTGTTTTTTTTCTTGTAAATTTAAGTGACTTGTAGATTCTGGATCTTAGCCCTTTGTCAGATGGATAGATTGCAAAATTTTTCTCCCATTCTGTAGGTTGCCTGTTCACTCTGATGATAGAAGCTTTTTAGTTTAATTAGATCCCATTGGTCAGTTTTGGCTTTTGTTGCCATTGCTTTCAGTGTTTTAGTCATGAAGTCTTTGCCCATGCCTATATCCTGAATCGTATTGCCTAGGTTTTCTTTCAAGGTTTTTATGGTTTTAAGTCTTACATTTAAGTCTTTAATCCATCTCGAGTTAATTTTTGTATAAGTTGTAAGGAAGGGGTCCAGTTTCAGTTTTCTGCATATGGCTAGCCAGTTTTCCCAACACCATTTATTAAATAGGAATTGCCTTCCCCATTGCTTTTTTTATCAGGTTTGTCAAAGATCAGATGGTTGTAGATGTGTGACAGTATTTCCGAGGGCTCTGTTCTGTTCCATTGGTCTATATATGTGTTTTGGTACCAGTAGCATACTGTTTTGGTTACTGTAGCCTTGTAGCATTGTCAGTTTGAAGTCAGGTAGTGTTTGAAGTCAGGTAGTGTGATGCCTTCAGCTTTGTTCTTTTTGCTTAGGATTGTCTTGCAGTCTAGACTGGATAAAGAAAATGTGACACATATACACCATGGAATACTATGCAGCCATAAAAAAGACGAGTTCATGTCCTTTGCGTGGACATGGATGAAGCTGGAAACTATCATTCTCAGCAAACTAACACTCGAACAGAAAACCAAACATTGCATGTTTTCACTCATAAGTGGGAGTTGAACAATGAGAACACATAGACACAGGGAGGGGAACATCACACACCGAGGCCTGTCGTTGGGTGGGGGGCTAGGGTGTGGATAGCATTAGGAGAAATACCTAATGTAGATGATGGGCACAGCCAACCACCATGGCTTGTGTGTACCTATGTAACAAACCTGCACGTTCTGCACATGTATCCCAGGACTTAAAGTATAATAAAAAAAAAATTGGCACTATCAATCTGGTTGTCTACAAGTGCAGAGAATTAGAAACTGAGGCCCAATCTAGAACTGCTTCTTTCCTTTTTCTTTTAGAGCTTCTCTCGCATCTTGGACTCTCAGGCTGCAGATCAATCACAATGCCATAGAACACAGATGACACTTTCCCCTGCTTTGGAGACCCGTTGTTCCCATGGTGTAGATACATGTAAGAGGGAGTGCCATAGAAAATGACAACTGCTCGTCAGGTGGGAAGCTCACATGAAGAAGCCTTGTGTCCTTCCTGCAGTGGAAGACATCTTCGGGATAGCAGCCAGGGTATATACCTGGGAAAAGATGACCACCATCAATCACAGTGGTGTTCAGGAGCTTTCAGTTCTCATGCCCCCACAGAAACAATGACTGACAACCATTCACAGATGAGAGCACCTTTGTGGAGCCCGGAAGGCCAGCAGAGAGGTCCAAGCATCCTGCTGAAGAAAAGAATCTGAACATAGACACTTTAAAGAGGATAAGAAAAGCAGTTTCATTTTACCAGCATCGGCCTCCCTCAAGGCAGCACAGCTTAATGTCAAAGAGACCTGCACCTCCAGTGATTTCTCCCATAGGGGAAAGTGAGACCTTCTCCAGCCTAAGGGGTTCTTTTCTTTCTCACCTCACCCAGAATACTGAATGAATGACTCAATAGTCCTGGGACAATTCGGGGCAGGGGCTCACAGCAACATGGGTGCAGTACATAAAGCGTTATTGTTTCCACTGGCTGCTCTGCAGAATCCACCAAGAGGCTGCTCACAAACCTTCCAGGACATATCACCTGTGGAGGCCACAACAAGACCATGGTTGTGTCTGGTATTTTGCCTGCCCTCTCCCCATAGATGTGCCTGCAAGAGCCTCTGCAGCTCATACACCAAAAACACACACAGACAGCCAACTAGACTGCTCTGGGTTGGGAGAAGATACTTTAAGCACTTCATGTCACTGCCCTAGGAAAAATAAATTGGAGATTCTCAGTACCCAGCATGGTTTTAAGGCTTGAGAGAAAGTATACAATCGTAACACTTCCTCGTGGAGAGGGAACAAAAGGAGTGGAGTTGGTGTATCCATAGGATAAGTCTGAGATTCCACATGCAAGTGAGATCATGCAGTATTTCTTTCTTCATCTGGCTGATTTCACTTAGCACAGTGTTCTCCAGGTTCCTCCATGCTGTTGCAAATGGCAGGATTTCCTTATTTTTAATGGCTGAATAATATTCCAGTGTCTATATATATCATGTTTTCTTTATCCATTCATCTGCTGACCAACATTTGTTTACGTATCTTGACTATTGAGACTAGTGCTGCAATGAACATTACAGATGAGAGTGCAGATATGTATTCGACATACTGATTTCATTTCCTTTGGATATACACCCAGAAGTGGGAATGCTGAATCATATGGTAGTTCTATTTTTAACTTTTTGAGGAAGCTCTGTACCATTTTTACAATGCTTGTACCAGTTTATAGTCCCATCAGCTGTGTACAAGGATTTTTGTCACACAAAACTTCAACACATCCTTTTCTTTTTGTTAGTAGCCATTTTAACAAGTGTGATGTGATATCTCATTGTGATTTTGATTTGCATTTATTTGGCAATTAGTGAGGTTGAGCACCTCTTCATATACCCATTGGCCATTTGTATGTCTTCTTTTGAGAAATGCCTATTCGGGTAACTTGACCATTTTAAAATCAGGTTGTTTACATATTTATTTTGCTATTGAGTTGTGTGAGTACCTTATATACTTTGGATATAAACTCCTTATCAGGTATATAGTTTGCAAATATTTTCTTCCATTCTCTACATTGTCTTTTCATGTTGTTGATTGTTTCATTTGCTGTACAGAAGTTTTTTAGTTTCAAAGAAGTAATTCCACTTGTTTCTTTTTGTTATTGTTGTCATGGGCTTTTTATGTCTTATCGAAAAAAATAATGCCAACAGCAATGTGAAAGTGCTTTTCTCCTATGTTTTCTTCCAGGAGTTATATGGTTTCAGATTTTACATTTAAGTCTTTAATCCATTTAGAGTTAATTTTTGTATATGGTATGAGTCCTATTTCATTTTTTGCATGTGGCTATCCAGTTTTTGCAACACTACTTATTAAAGGGATTTCCCCCCCAATTTTGTACTGGCACTTTGGTCAAAGATTAGTTTACCACATATGCCTAGATTTATTTCTGGGCTCTGTATTCTGTTTCATTAATCTATCTGTCTGTTTTCATGTCAGTACCATACTGTTTTGATTACTGTAGCTTTGTGTTATAATTTGAAATTATTGAGTGTGATGCCTCTAGGTTTATTCTTTTTACTCAAGATTTCTTTGACTATTGGAGGTCTTTTGTGGCTTATAAATTTTAGGATTGTTTTTTCTATTTCTGCAAAAAATGTCATCAGAATTTTGACAGAGACTGCATTAAATCTGTAGACTACTTTGGGTAATATGGACATCTTAGTAATATTAATTATTCCTTTCCATGAACACAGAATATCTTTCCACTTTTTTTTTGTCTTCAGTTTTTTCATCAATATCTCATATTTTCAATGTACAGATCTTTTACCTCCTTGTTAAATGTATTCTTTAAGTATTGTATTCTTTTTGATGCCATTGTAAATGGAATAATGTTGTTAGTTTCCTTTTTGAATAGTTTATTGTTAGTGTATAGAAACACTAATGACTTTTCTGTGTCTATTTTTTATGCTGTAACTTTCCTGAATTTATTACTTTTATCAGTTTTTTTTTGTGTGTAGAGTCTTTAGAGTTTTCTCTATATAAGATCATGTCATTTGCAGAGACACTTTGATTTCTTCCTTTTCAATTTGGATAATTTCATTTCTTTTTTTTTTGCCTAATTGCAACAGCTATAACTTCCAGTACTGTGGTGAATATAAATGGCAAGAATGGGCATCCTTGTATTTTTCCTTATCTTAAAGGACAATCTTTCATCTTTTTACCATTAAGTATGATGTAGACTGTGGGCTTGTCATACATGGCTTTTATTATTTTGAGACACATTGCTTCTACACCTACTTTGTTGAGACTTTTACCATAAAACACCATTGAATTTTGTCAAATGCTTTTTCTGTATCAATTGAGATGACCGTATGAATTTAATCCTTTATTCTGTTAATGTAGTGTATCTTATTTATTGTTTTGCATATGTTGAAACATCCTTGCATCCTAAGAGTAAATCCCACTTGATGAATTTAATGTGCTGTTGAATTCAGTTTGCTAACATTTTATTGATGATTTTTGCATGCATATTCACCAAGGATGTGGCCTTTAACTTTCTTTTCATGTAGTGTTTGTGTCTGGCATTTGTATTAGGGTAATGCTGGCCTCATAAAATCAGTTTGGAAATATTCCTTCTTCTCTGCTTTTTCTGGAAGAGTTTGAGAAGAATGGGCATCATTTCTTTAAATGCTTGGTAGAATATACTCAAGAAACCACCTGGTCCTGGGCTTTACTTTCTTGGGAGATTTTTGATTGCTGATTCAATCTTCTTACTCCTTCTGGCCTATTTGGACTTTCTATATCTTCATGATTTAGTCTTGGCAGGTGATATGTTCTAGAAATTTGTATATTTCTTCTAAGTTAACCAGTTTATTGATGTATAATTATTCATAGTAGTCTCTGATTCTTTGTATTTCTGTGATAACAGTTGTAATGTCTCCTTTTTCATTTGTAATTTTATTTGAATCTTCTCTCATTTTTTCTTGGTCAGTTTTGTTAAAAGCTAGTTAATAGCATTTGTCTTTTCAAAAAACCAACTCAGTTTTGTTGATATTTTCTATTGCATTTCTCATGTCTATTTCATTTATTTCTGCCCTAATCTACATTATTTCTTTCCTTCTGCTGACTTTGGGTTTAGTTGCTCTTAGTTTTCTAGTTCCTTGACGTGTAAAGTTAGGTGGCTTAAGGTTTCTTTTTTTTTTTTTCTTAATGTCGGTCCTTAATACTATACACTTCCTTTTAGCACTGCTTTTGCTGCATCCCATAAGTTTTGGTGTGTGGTATTCTATTTTAATTTGTCTCAAGATTTAAAAAAAATTTCCTTCTGATCTCTTTTTTTGACTCATTGGTTGTTAGGAGTGTGTTTTTAAATTTCCACATATTCGTAAAGTTTCCAAAATCCCTCCTGCTATTGATTTTTAGTTTTGTACCATTATGGTCAGAAAAGATACTTGAGATGATTTCAATCTTCTTACGTTTGTTAAGACTCATCTTGTGGCTTAGCATATGATCTATCCCAGAGAATGCTCTGTATGTGCTTGCAAAGAATGTATATGCCATTTCTGATGGATAGAATGTTTTATATATATCTATTAGGTCGATTTGGCCCATACTATAGATCAAGTCCACAGATTTGCTGTTCCTTATTGATTTTCTGTCTGGATGACCTATCCATAGTTGAAAGTGAAGTGATGAAGTCCTCCACTATTATTCCATTGCTATCTGTTTCTTCCTTCAGGGATGTTAATATTTGCTTTGTATCTTTAGATACCTTAATGTTGAGTGCATATATATTTACAATTGTTATAGCCTCTTAGTGAATTGACCCCTTTATCATCAAATATTCACTTTCTTTGTCTCTTATGACAGATTTTGACTGGAATTCTATTTTATCTCATGTAAATATAGCTACCACTGCTCTCTTTTATTTACTGTTTGCATGAAATATCTTTTTCTATCCTTTCACTTTCAGTCCATGTGTGTCCTTAAGTCTAAAATCAGTCTCTTGTAGAGAGCGTATTGTTGGATCTTGTTTTTTAATCTATTATGCCATTTTGTGTCTTTTGATTGGAGAAGTTAATCCACTTACATTTAAAGTAATTATTGACAGGCAAGGGCTTACTACTGCTGTTTTGTTACTTGTTCACTGACTTGTAGTCTGTTTATTCCTTTTTTCAATTCTTACTGTATGTCTTTGTAATTTGCTAAATTTTTGTGGTGTTATGCTTTGATTCCTTTTTAAAAAGTCATTTCTGTATCTACTAGAGGCTTTTACTTTGTAGTTATCACGGGCCTTACATAAAACATCTTAGAGTCATAATATTCTAATTTAAACTCATAACAACTTAATTCCAATTGCATATTAAACTCTAAATTTTTACTTCTCCCCTACCCCACATTTTATGCTATAGTTTTTCACTTCTGAATGACTACTGCTTTCTCATCAATAGCATGATCATTTCTGTTTTGTTCTTCCCACCTCTTGAGCAATGCATATTAAAATATCTAATTTCTGAGTTTTCCCTACTCCTCAGAGTATCCAAATCTACAGAGAGCCACTGATTCCTTCCTTCATTCTTGGATTCATGCAGCAAAGCCCATACTCTATGAAAATCCCCTTTCATATTTCTCTTACTGAGATACTTACAGCTCTGTGGAGTGTGTGCTGCAAAAGGAAAATAAACCTAAAATTTGGACTACAGCCCTGTTTGGTCAGTAGATTTGAACAAAACAAAGTTCCTATATATGAATTTGATTTATCTTTTTAATTATATAACATAACTTCTATAACTTAATTCTAAAGTTTTTTTCTCAAGTTGGTCTGTCATGAATTGGAAGAGACGAAGTAGCATTTGCTACTACTATTGTGTATCTTTTGCCCATTTATTTTCTGTTTCTTCTTCTTTTTTAAATTCTGTGACTATAAAAGCTATATTATTTGGTACACAGATTCTCAAAGAATAATTCACATTTCTTCACAGCCTATTTCTATGAGCAAAGGCATTTATAGTCATTACATTTAAGAAGGTTTGCATGAGGAGATATATCAGGATAATAAAACTTAGAGATGCCTCTCTCTCCAGAGATGGTCCAGGAGGTAAATAAAGACTTGTCCTTTCCTATCTGGAGATTTGCTTACATTTTAGAGTGAAAATAAGGTTTCTTTCAATAGAGGGGAGGATGAGCAGGTCACTATCAATGCTGTATAAGCTCTTGAGTTTCTCAGTTTTGGGTTTTATCTCCTGTAATCATATATCTCCTGCATGTATATAATATATATATGTATATCATATATATACACATATATGTGCATATATTTCACATAATACATACACATCTGTGTATGTTTTAATACACATATTTTATTTTACTTTTTTACAACGGGAACACTAAAGTCTGATCCCATATTTAAGTTCTAGATTTAAGCCTATAATTCTGCATTAATTCTCATTGTTGGGAATTGATGGATATAAGGTATGAATTCTGGGTAAATGAGCCTGCTCGGTAGCACCAGACTCTGCATGGTATGTTGTTTTCCTAAGATGTACACTTGCAAGAAGGTATAGCTGAATATTGAAGTTATATTTACCAGTGACAAAATTGATATGCTCTATATTTTTCTGACTCCTGCACTGATTTCCTAATTTGTCAGGGAAACTAGGGAAAAGATGGATATTTGTCCCTAATACCCCAATATCCGTGAAGATTTACTCCACTGTCTTTCCTTTCCTTCCTTCTTTTCTGCATATATTATCCAAAGAAATAATCTTTCAAATTTTACTTTACAGTTACAAATAGATTGGCTGTAGAGAAAAATACCTCTCAAGAGAAGAAAAGAAAAGATTCCCTCTACCCCCTGCTGAGTCTTTATACTCTATTTAATGGAAGTCCTTACACAACATTGATTATGCACTTCTCATTGATTTACTTTACTATTTTTTTGATGACAGATATCTCAAAAAAGCCTCATTAAAATGTATGGATGCAATTTCAAAGATATTGTTTTAGACACATTTTCTTTAAGGAACACATGGATTAGAAGTTTGTTTATTTAATCATTCCAAATGTTTTTCTCTATCTTTCAAATGCTATTGATATAATTAAGTAATGCATTTCTGTCTTATAGACATTTGTCATATTTTCTGAGATTGAGAAATAAGAGCACTGTTGGCTGGCTTGTTGAGCCATGTTGAGATAGAAATCAAAGTTCAAATTAGAAATACTTTTTTTCTGTTAGTTTTATGGCTTCAATCACATCTTGGTTTCTCTGGCTGTAAATCAAGGGGTTTAACATGGGAATAATAATGCCATAAAACACAGAGGCCACTTTTTCTTGTTTTTGAGACTCATTAATACGATGGCATAGATACATGTAAGAGAGAACCCCATAGAAAATGGTGACTGCTGTCAGGTGGGAGGCACATGTAGAGAGACTTTTTTCTTCCCTGCAGCAGAAGATATCCTCAGGATGGCAACCAGGACATATATGCAGGAAATGATGACCACCATCACAGTGCACATCAAATTTAATCCCACAAATACTGTTAATAACATGATGTTGAGGTCAATATTGGAGCATGGTAGGGCAATAATTGGAGGTTCATCACAGAAAAAGTGATTAATTGTTTTGGATTTGCAGAAGTTCAATGAGAAAGTGAAACTTATGTTTATAGAGGCATTTAGGAAACCCATGACATATGAACTAACTAATAGCTTAATGCAGAGTCTCTGGGACATAACCCCTGGATAATGGAGTGGGTTACAGAAGGCCACATAACGGTCTACTGCCATAGCAGCCAGGATGTAGCAGTCACTTGTTGCAAAGTACCATAAACTAGTAATTGCACCATACATCCTATACATGAGATAGATTTTTTTGTTTCTACAAAGTTTTTCAACATCTTGGGAGTGATAGCAGAGGTGTAACAGAGATCAACAAATGCCAAGTGTTGGAGGAAAATTTACATGGGGATATGAAGAGAAGCATCAATTTTGATAAGTAGGATCATTCCAATATTACCTACTGGGGTAACCACATAGATTGCTAGAAATGCTATGGAGAGGATATGCCAAGACTTGTGTTGACCAGCAAATCCCAGGAGAATGAATTCAGTCACTTCAGTGCCATTATTTTGTTCCATGGCTAGCATAGATTAAATATCAGCTGAAAATATGCAAAGAAAGAAGCAAATAGAAAGAGAAAGCTAAAATCATTGTTATCTTTTAACTTATTTCAGATTTGGAAATGTCTTAATATTTGGTTTCATAGTGGGGTCAGCATGTACTTTCTGTGACATGATTGACTTCTATTTTAAAGGCTGAAACTTGACAGCCAGCTTAGAATTTCATCTACAGTTTGTACAAATTGCAATGGAGCAGTTGCTATATTCCCGGGGTACAAACTGATTGGCAATTCAAAAATATATCGGTTAAGAAATCTATGAAATATTCTTTTATTTAATTATGACTTCTTTTATGTTCTTTATATTTTAATTAAAATATCTCAATTTACCTAAATAGTAATTTTATATCTAAAAATCTTGACTTCTTCTTAGGGTTCTATATGACCTTGTTTCAACTTATCTCCATATTTTCATTTTACCCTTTTCCCCTTCTTACTAACTCCACCATGGCCATCATGACTCATGGCTATGTAGAACTCTTCACGGAAGTATTTATCCAAGTATCTGTGCCAAATGATCTTATTTTAAAAATAATTCCCAATCTGTTATCCAGTTATGGATAGATACCAAATTGCTTACAATTTGTCTCCGATACAAGTAACTCAGTGTGAAAATTTCTCAGTGATGTACTCCTAGAGACAAAATTGTTGAATCTGAGGATATGCCCACATTTAACTTGACAAGCATTGCAGATCACTTTCCACAATGGAGGCACCAGTAAACAGTCTTACTAATTGCGTGTGGGAATTCCGATATCCACACTTCCTTGTGAACACTGGTATTTTTACTTTTTTCTTTTCTTGGGCCACAAAACAGGTGTAAAGTAGCATACCATTTTAATTTTTTCCTCTAACTGCAAATGTAATATCCTTCTTAGAATTTTGGAATTCTATTGTTCTGTAATTTGCCTGTTCCTATTTTTTTTACAAATATTTCTATTGAGTTGATTTATAAATGTTCTTTTTAACTTATCAGTTGACTTGACAAAAATTTCCAAACATTGTATTATCTATTAACTTTGTCTATAATATGCTTTTCATGGACCAGAAATTATTAAACTTGAAATGATAATTGATCATTTTTTGTTTTATGATTTGTTCTCTTGAAAAAAAAAAGGAATGAAGTTCATTCCTTTCTCTAGTTCATTTTCCCTGTGGATACAAATGCAATGATAAAACTTATTTTCCTTCTTATAGTGTGTTGCTGCTACCTGATGCTTGCTGAATCATAATACTTTATACCATACATATAACCTGATATTTTTGTGGTTTCTCAATATTTTTTTTTTTAAAGAAAGCTAACAGGAAAGACATTATTTAGTAGTTGGTGTGTGTGTGTGTGTACCAAATATTTAAATTTCAAAATATTAAATGATTTGATTTTCTATTTTAAAATTAACCCACAAAAACACTAGAATCAACTATGTTGAATACCTATGACTTAGATATACAGATAAAATGTAAGAAGACATAAAAGCACAAATCGTAAAACATTGAAAATTCAACCATATTAAAATAAAAATATCAATATTATGAAAGAGAAAAGACTGGATAGTGACTGGAAATTTACTCACGTTGGAAATTTACTCAGGTAAATTTATTTTAAACACATATAAATGCCAAAAAATATGTAGCCACAAAACTTAAAAAAAATAAAAATTTAGTGTCTAGTACATATAAATAATTTCTATAAATAAACTTGAAAAATTCACAAAGGACATAAACCAGATAATTATAGAAAAGAAAACCCAAATGACCAACAGAAATGTGAAAAGATGAACAACTCACTAGTAATCAGGTAATTTCATATTAATACTTCATTGAAATACAGTCTTATGCTCAACAATCTGAAATGCCAATTTTTGATGAGTAATGTGGAGCCACAGGGATTCACATATTTCTGCTGGGAAGGAGAATTAGTACAGTCATGTTGGAAACAAATTTGGAAATATCAGTAAAATTAAATGTATGCCTTTCTGTGGTCCAGAATTTCCAGTGTAGGTACATATTCTTGAAAAATTCATGACCACATATAGAAGGATATACAAATATCTATGAACATGTGTATACATAGATATACCCGCAAGAATGTTTATAGCATAGTCATAGAAAAAAATACGAGCTATTAAATAAGCTAGTTAAATGGTGCTACAGCATCTGCATGGATACATCTTTCAAATGGAATGCTAAGTAATAAAAAGCAAGTTGCCGAAGTTAGATGGCAAGCTACATGAGTTGTTGTTAAATGATTATAAATATATGTGTGTGTATATATATGTGTGTGTGTGTGTGTGTGTGTGTATATATATATATTTGGGAGGGAGTCTCGCTCTTGTTGCCCAGGCTGGAGTGCAATAAAACATCGAAAATTCTGCCATATTAAAATAAAAATATCAATATTATTAAAGAGAACAGACTGGATACTGACTGGAAATTTACTCATGTTGGAAATTTATTCAGGTAAATTTATTCTAAACACATATAAATGCCAAAAAATATGTACCCACAAAAATTAAAAAAAATTAAAATAAAAACAATCTTGGCTCACTGCAACCTCTGCCTCCTGGGTTCAAGCAATTCTCCTGCCTCAGCCTTCCTAGTAGCTGGGATTACAGGCACCCACCACCACACGTGACTAAGTTTTGTATTTTTACTAGAGATGGGTTTCACCATGTTGGCCAGGCCGGTCTTGAACTCCTGACCTTGGGTGATCCACCTGCCTCGGCCTCCCAAAGTGCTGGGATTATAGGCGTGAGCCACCGCGCCTGGCCAATTTAAAATATATATTTGTACATCTTAAATATTGTATAATAGTAGAAATTGGTCATAGAAGAAAAAAATCACATCCCCAATATATCAGTACTGGAATCCTTTATTCTGATGTCAGTAATGCCAGGTAGAGCTGTAGCTGCAAAGATGAAGTGATTTGTTTCAGGTAAGAATGTGCCTTTATTGATGGGGTATCTAGCAAGCTAAGCTGGGTGTTGATATGGGCTTCTCTGGCCCTTTCCACTATCTTAAGAAATAAGCAGAGTGGGTTAACTCTAGGAAAAAGAAACAATTCTTTTCAAGTCTACACTTAGGGCTGAGGGCCAATAAGCTTGTATAAGTTGCCTCCTCAGGTAAATTTGCTATAAAATATATGAAATGCAGGTCTTTCAAGGGGGCTTCCTTCCATCCAGTGGGTAAAAGCACTCGTCAGAGGAAGCTAGAAAAAGTCAGGGTCCACTTAACCTAGAATCCTGATTATAATGACAAGCAGCTGATTCACGTGAACGTCCCAGCACAAGGAAAGTATTGAATGGATGCTCAAAATTAGTCATAATAATACATGCAAATAATGCATTAAGGGCATATTATATTCACTCATTAATTCAATAAGTCAATCATTTGTTAATTCATGTAATTTCCAGGCAACACAGCCCGATTTAGTTCCCTCACTCCATTTTCATCACACCACCAGGGATGAAGTGACTCCTCCTGTTTTTGGGGTGAAACATGCTAGCACTTAGGCTCTGATTCTTGCTCTACCATTACCTGCACACACTGCAATGATAACATTGATACATGGCTGATGCCGAAGATGCGCTTTGCTTTGTTTTATTTCCCCCCAGATTGCTTCCAGAGTCTCTTTCTGCCACTGTGCAGCCTGATAACCCACCATGGCCTATCTCTGTTTGGTTATTCACTATCAGGTGTTTATAGTTGGGCCTAAGAGATCGATATTCACTTTCTTGAGATTCGAGGTTTCGGTGGCTGAGATGCAATTTGGAAAAACAATGTTCACTACATATTTCATGCTGACAAAAATTTAAACTTTCTAGAGGGCCTATTTTTTTCCCAATGTTACTGTCATTAGGGACTTCTTCTTTTTTTAAAGAGCTGTCTTGTTAGAGAACAGCTGCTTTTTTTTCTTGTTAAGAATGAGGATGAGCATGTTTTTATATATCTAAGAAATTATTTTTAGGTCTAGTTAATCATCCCTGTCACCACAATCAGCAATAAGCCTGGTTTTCTGAAAGAATCTAAATTTAATGTAAATTTATCTCAGCTCTAGATGTCACATTCTCTTTCAAAGAAAGAAAAACAGGGACAAAGACAGCAGGGTGACACCACATATATACCCTTGACAGATATATATGATATACATATATAATGCCTTCTGCAAACTCCCCAGCAGACTTTTACGTACATCTTATTTGCTAGAACTGTGTTACATAGATTAGCAGATATCTTTGTGTCTTGTACCGCACTTCCTTAGTACTTGATTTCAGTGCATCTGTGGTAGACAGTTTTGTCTGTGCTACCAGCAGTCCATCTTCTATAACATCTCTCTGCTTCTCTGCCTCAGAAATATCTCTGAAAACATTAAAGATCACTCATCAGGGCCACCACAGGTGCGTGAGGATGTTAAAATCCTTGGGCAATCCCAAACCACTGGGTGAGGGGAGTTGAAAAAATGTCTTAAGTTCCTGTCTTTTAGAAGAATAATTCTGAAGGACATTCCACATATTTTATCAGAATCCCCTGTAGGATCAAGTTCCAGTTTTCCGGAGTGTATACCAGCAAAGTAATTCCTCCATTGCTGGATTTTCTCCTTTTGTATTTCGCTATTCTTGCTCCCGGTCTCTGCGGCCTTGGAAACTTCCCTCGAGGAGCTTAGAAACCTGTCTTCTGAGGGAGCAATTCTCACTACACACTCACCCTCAGGTTTGATACTTCACTAGAGTGACTCAAAAATTCAGCTGTTATGGACTGAATTTTTGTATTCCCTCAGAATTCATCTGTTGACTCTGAAGCCTCAATTGGTGATTCAGGAGGTAAGGATTTTGGAAGATAAAGTCATGAGGGTAGAGCTCTTCTGACTGAGATGTGTTTCCTTATGAAAGAGAACCCAGAGAGCTCTCTTGCCTTCTTTGAGTATCCTGCAAACCCGAAGAGGCCCCTCATCAGAACTTGACCATGCTGGCACCCTGATCTTGGATTTCCTACTTCCAGAATTGGAAATAAATTTCTTTTATTTATAAAACCACCCAATCTATGCTAATTTCCTATAGCAGCCTGAACTGATTAGGATAGAAGTTGGTATAAGGGGTGGTGCCGCCCATTAGAAATTCCTAATATTGTAGAAATCTGCTTTGGAACTGGGAAATAGGTAGATCCTAGAAGAGTTTTTAGGTGCATCTTAGAAGAAGCCTAGATTTATGTGAACAGACTTTTAAAGGCATTTTGGTGAGGGCGCAGTAAGAAAAGGTAACTATACAGAAAGTTTCTGTATTCTTAGAGAATATGTAGGTAACCATGAACAGAATGTTGGTAGAAACATGGAAGGTAAAGGCCCTTCTGATGAGGTCTCAGATGAAAATGAGGAATATGTTATTGGAAAATGGAGAAAAGGAGATCCTTGTTATAAGGTAGAAAAGAACTTGGCTGACTTGTGTTTATGTTCTGGGTTTTGTGGAAGGTAGAGGTTGAGAGCAGAAGATTGCTAAACAAAGTATTGAAGGAACAGCTTAGTTTCTCCTGACTGCTTATAATAAAATGCAAAAAGAGAGAAATGGTTTCAAGATGGTTCTTTAAGCAAAAAATGAACCAGAACTTAAAGATTTAGAAAATCAAATTCTTAGCCTATCCGTATTGCAAAAGTGAGAAAGTGTATTTGGAAGAGAACACGAAGGCTGTGGCCAAGTGTCCATTTGATAAGATTAGTATGAATGTGAATGACAGGCTTAATCAGTCATCTCAACAAAAGACAAGAATAGAGATGGGATTATGCCAGTGGGAGTACTGCCAGATAGGACTAAAGGAAACAGAGAAGATAGGACAAAATGAAAACAGCCTATAAGACTTTTTAGACCCTGCTGTACTGAACTATAGAAGTATCTGGGTGTATACATGTAGTATTTTTCAAGACAAGGAAAAAAGAACCTGGAAGGCAATTAAGAAATCATCAGGGTCACCATTCCTAGAATGCATGAGCCCAGGAGGTGGGATTGCCAAAGAATGGGACCAATACTTAGAAAGTTGGGTTGGGGTATCTTGCCAAACCCTGGTGGTGGTGCAATCCCCAACCCAATAGAACTGAAGCATTAGGGGCCATGGAAGAGTGCCAAAGCATGGGCAGTGCCTCCCCAAGCTGTGGGGGTAGTTTTGCCACCTCAGTGGGTCTGGAAGGGTGTCCTGTGCTCCAGTGGGTTTGCTTTTGGAAAGGAAATGTCTATGCCACGATTGCACTTTGGAAGCATGTAATTTGTTTGGCTTTACAGGTTCACAACTGAAGAAAGAATTTGCCTCAGGATAAATTGCATTTTGAGTCTCATTCATGTCTAATTTAGATAATATTTAGTTGACATTTTAGTCTTTAGAATGAATTAAGGCTTTGGGGGCTGTTGGAGAGGAATGAATGTATTTTGCATGTCAGCAGGACACTAATTTTGGGGGTTAGGGGTGGAATTGTTCTGGTCTCCAGAACTGTGAGAAATAAATTTCTTTTACTTATTATTATTATTATTATTATTATTATTTTTTGAGACAGAGTCTCGCTCTGTCGCCCAGGCTGGAGTGCAGTCACGTGATCTCTGCTCACTGCAAGCTCCGCCTCCTGGGTTCACGCCATTCCCTTGCCTCAGCCTCCTGAGTAGCTGGGACTACAGGCATGTGCCACCACGCTGGGCTAATTTTTTGTATTTTTAGTAGAGATCGGGTTTCACCATGTTAGCCAGGATGGTCTCGATTTCCTGACCTCATGATCCACCCACCTCGGCCTCCCAAAGTGCTGGGATTATAGGTGTGAGCGACTGTTCCTGGCCTCCTTTAATTATAAGTCACTTAGTCTGTGGTTGTTTAGTATAGAATGTGAATTAAGACATTAGGAAATTGTTTAAGACTATACATACAATTATAGATTTATTATAGCCAAAGAATACAAATTAAGCCAACAAACAAAGAGAAACATAAGGCCAGGTCTCAGAGGGGTGCAAACATAAAGTTTCCATCATGCTTTTGCCATATCAATGCATGGCAATTGATGCATGGAGTTGTCATACATATTGGCTTCAGGTCAACCCAGGAAGTTCACCTGATCCTGTGGTGCTCAGGGTTTTTATCAGGGCTCGATTGCATACTGCTCCTGTAATTGATGTTAGTTCCCAGCCTTTCTGGAGGATCAGCATAATGACTTTTGTCCCCCGTTCTCTGGAAATCAGAACTGATATGGCATGTCCCAAAGGCCCCAACATAAACCACATTGTTGGACTTTCCAGTGACCAAAGCCTCCTGGCAAACAAAGAGGCTTGACTTTGTTCATTAATTCATTTGTTGAATTCTTTGTTCATTAATTCAACAACTACTTAGTGAGCACTTTATATATTCCTGACAATTGGTAGACACTGGGGATAAAATAATGAGCAAATATAAATTATTGTGCCTTTATAGAGATTCAGTTTGTTTCTCATATCAACATCTGTGGCAGGATGATTCATATTCTGATTAGGGTGTCAGCTAAGAAACAATTTATTCTAGTAAGAACATGTTGTGGTAGGTTATAAAAATGGTCCCCAAGTTTTTGTTACATTCACATCATCGTGATGCAGTGGTGCAGATCTTTCCATCAGACAGGAGAGCCTGTTACTCCAACACCTTGAATCCAGGTTTGGGTTGGCCTTGCAACTTGCTTTGACCAATATGCTATCAGCAAATATGGCAGGGCGCTCACCACAGGATACTTCTGACACTCAGTGTTAATAATTTACCCTCAGTCTACATGTATTAATACTTTTTCCTTGTTAACTGTAGAGCTTCTTTTACTTCCTAATTTCACAGGCAGTAGATAAGGAAGTTTAACACGAGAGTCATAATGCCACAAAATATGGATGCTGGATTTTCTTGCTCTTGAAACACAGTAGATTCAGGTTGTAAGTCCATGTAAGAGAGAGCTCCAAAGAAAATGGTGACAGCTGTCAGGTGGAAGACAACTGCGGAAAAAGACACATAGCAGAGGGCAAGCTCAGGATGATGGAAGATATGTGTGTACTTGAAGGTGACGATCAGCATAGTGACATTCAAGTAAACTCCAGCATAGATTAGCAACTATTTTTACTACATGTATTTTTAATTGAATTTTTATTGACATCATTGTAGATTTGCATGTATTGTAAGAAACAATACAGAGAGCTCCCTTGCACACTTTTTGTTTTTTTTTTTAATGAGATGGAGTTTCACTTTTATTGCCCAGACTGGAGTGCAATGGAGCAATCTTGGCTCACCGCAACCTCCGCCTCCCAGGTTCAAGTGATTCTCCTGCCTCAGCCTCCCAAGTAGCTGGAATTATAGCCACATGCAACCGTGCCTGGCTAATTTTGTATCTTTAGTAGAGACGGGGTTTCTCCATATTGGTCAGGCTGGTCTTGAACTCACGACCTCAGGTGATCCGCCTGCCTGGGCCTCCCAAAGTGCTGGGATTACAGGCGTGAGCCACTTGGCCTCCCTTGCACACTTTGCCTAGTTTCCTTCTGTGATAGGAAGACTAATGATTCCCCAAAGATGTCTGCATCCTAATCCCTGGAATCTGTGAATGTATTAGGTTATGTGGTAAAGAAGAACTAAGGTTGCAGATGAAATTAAGATTGCTAATTGGCACACCTTGAAAGGGGAGGTTATTCTGGATTATCCAGTTAGGGCCAGTATAACCACAGGGGCCCTTATAAACAGAAGAAAGAGGCAGAAGTGTGGAGTGAGGGTCTTGAAGATGCTGTGATGCTGGCTTTGAAGATAGGAAAGGGGCTACAGCCAAGGAATGCCACTGACTTCTACAAACCGAAACAGGGGAAGAAAATGGATCATTTCCTAGAGCCTCCAGAAAGGAACACAGCTCTGCTGGTAACTTGATTTGAGACCTATTTTGGACATCTGATTTCCAGAACCATAATATGTTAAATTTGTGTTGTTTTAAGCCATTTATTTTTGTTGTGATTTGTTATAGCAGCAATAGAAAACAGATACACCCTATTGGTGACATATCGTGAGCGTACAGTGTAACATCACAAGGAGGACATTGATGTTGACACGACACTGATCTTGTTCAAATTTTCCCAGTCTTTACTTGTGTGAGTGTGTTTGTATTAAGTTCTATGAAACTTTATCACCTGTTTGGTTTCCTGTATTCACCACCACAGTCGACACCACATATTTCCCAAACCACCAAGATTCCTTGTGCTGCTGTTTTATAACTTCAGCCACCCCATCCCATCCACATGCCTTTCTCATTCCATCCCTAATTCCAGGCAACAGCTAATCTCTCCTCCATTTCTAAAACTTTGTCATTTAAAGTATTCTATATAAATGGATACATACCAGGTATAACCTTTCGGGGTTGGCTTTTTTCTTGGCATGATTCCCAAGTGATTAATCCAAGTTGTTATGATATGTATGTACCACAGATTATTTAACCATTAACATGTTGAAGGATATCTGGGCTGATTCTAGTGACTGTCTCTTACAAATAAAGCAGCTGTGAACATTCATGTACAGGTTTTTATATAAACGGGAGCCTTCATTTCACTGGAATAAATGGCTGGGTGTGCTGGGCCATATGGTAGTTGCCTGCTGAGTTTTTAAGAAACTGCCAAACTGTTTTCCTGAGTGGCTGTATTATTTTACAATCCCATCAACTAATACATGAGCGATCTATTTTTTCTGTGTCCTCAATAGTATTTAGTGTTTTCACAATTAAATAAAATTGTATCCATTATATAGTTATTTAGTGATATTTCATTGTGTTCTTACTCTGTTAAATTTTTCTTTGAAATGGAACAGTGTATTATTAAAATACCCGAGAGTGGTGGCATAAAGTAATGTGTCTAAACTCATTTTAAAAAATGCCTTTCACTAATTTGAAGTTGATATCATCACTCTTCAACTTTCCATGGTCTCATCTCTTAAAGTTTGTAGCCATTTTTCCTGGTATGTTAGTTAATGTTCCTTATTTGTGGGGACTTTGCAGTTTTTTTTCTTTATTTTTTTATAAACATATCTCGAAAGAATCTCCCATTTAGCTGTTGCTTTACTCTAGGTCTTTACATTGCTCATATAGTTTGACATTTTGATGAACATGTCCCATTTGAATTTACCCTTCCATTTTGTTATTATTATTGTCCAGCTAGAAGAAAAATCACATAGTAAATTGTGTAATTAATACCCTGTAATTGCTTATTTTGACTTGATCATGTGTTTTCATGTTTTTCTACTTCTAAGCCATTTCAGCATTGTTTATGTATGTAGCCGACACATACTTATTTTAATATGTACCACAGTGCTTTAGACTTTTTGAACCTAATGTCTGTGTTCTTAAGCACTATCCCTAATATTGATCTTGGAACAGAATAGCAGAGACCCTTGGAATTTATGCTTTTTGTGATCTATGACCCATTCAAACTCCTGGGCCTGTTTTCTGGGTAAGTTTTTCAATTTCTGTGATTTTTGAGGCTATGATGGAGTTCAGTATGTATTACTTAGCAAATATGTAAGCCTGGATGGCATATATTTATGTGGATTTCTTGTCTTTTGTTAAAATTTGGAACTATAATACTGTTTATTATACAGTGCAAAATCTAAAAATTAAAGCTTTGAAAATCCAGTTACTAACGAAGTTTTCCAGAATTAATTTTTTTGGAATTAGTGTGTTTCCAGACATACAATGTGCTTCCCAGACATGGGGCAAAGTTTCTGTATAATGCTCTTTATTATTCATCTGCTTTCTCCAGATATTCAAAAATGCA
Organism: Homo sapiens; assembly: GCF_000001405.40. Classification (NCBI taxonomy): domain Eukaryota; kingdom Metazoa; phylum Chordata; class Mammalia; order Primates; family Hominidae; genus Homo; species Homo sapiens. The sequence continues at coordinate 57,026,717 of NC_000011.10, read as the reverse complement.
TAACTAATTATGAAAACATAGGCTTTTTATTAGATTCATCTTAGAACTTTCTTTTTCACATCTGGTGCAAGGCTGGTTGCTTCCTAGCATAAGGTTTTCTGATTGCTTCAAATGGGGCATTTTATTTCTGAGGCCTGTGGGGATAGGACTTGTAAAGATCTCAGTGTCTGAGGACTGAAATGAGCTAAAAACATACAACATTGATTGGCACATCACTGTCAGATTAAGAGCTAATCTTTTCAGAAGAGATCATTTAAAAAATGTTGTAAGTGACTAAAATGTAAGGATTGTTCATCCTGTGTTGTTCTGTCTATGGGTTTAGTTTGTATCCTTTTCTGAATAATTAGTTGTGGAATCAAAAACCTGGGTTTGATGCAGGAAACCTAGTTTTCTCACGATAAATGGGGCTAATTCTAGATTCTGCAGGCCATAAGGAGAATGGAAATAGAAAATGTACGTGAAAATACTCTATGACTTGTGATCAATAAGAGGATTTAACCCGGGTCTCACAGTGCTACAAAATCCAGAGATGATTTTCTTCTGTCCTTGGGACTTTCTAGAAACAGAATGTAAGTACGTGTCAGAGAGAGCTGAGAGAAAATGGTGACAACTTTCAGGTAGAAGACACTCGTGAGAAGGCCTTTTTCTTTCTATCAGAAGGCAACCTCAGGATGGCAGCCAGAATATATATATATATATATACACACACACACGTATATATGTATATACATATATAAATATATATTTATATAAAATATATTATATATTTTATTATGTATAATGTATAATATTTATATAAATATATATTTATATAAATATATAATATATTTTATTATATATTTATATAAATATATATTTTATTATATATTATATATTTATATAATATATAATATATTTTATTATATATTATATATTATATAATATATATTATATATATAATATATATTATATAAATATATATATTTATATATTATATATATATTTATTTATATAATATATAAATTAGCCTCATCCTTATCTGGAAACAGCAACATTATGAATGTTTCTTTGTATCTTTTTATTTTTCGATTTATAGCTTTAACAGACAGACACACAGACACACAGACACACAGACACACACACACACACACACACACACACAAGCACCCCTGAACCATATGTTTTCTAGTATGCCTGTTACTGAACTTAATGAAAAATGTTTTTCTATTTTATTCATGGATGTTTATTTTTACTTGTGTTAAAACTTTTCTGTTGTGTCATAGCAGCAGTTCATTCATTTTCACTGCTGCATAATATTCCATTATGTGATTAAAATCTAATTAATTTATCCCTTCACCTGTGTAGCAGTCATGCGAATGAATTTGTAGGCCTCCTTCAAGGAGTGTAAATGACCCAGGATCTGAGCTTCTCACTTTGAAATCCTTTGCAGTAGTTTTTCTGAGACCCCACTTCCCATGGGCTGCTCTCTGCCAATGACTGTGTGCAGAATGGATTCTAAGGCAGACTCATACCTGGGAGACACAGGACTCATTTGTCAGCCCATTTTGGTTCAAGGATTTCTCAATAACTTTGCCAAATCATCCTTCTACTTTATGACAGTCTCACATGATTCTGCCCAATCTTCTCTTCCTCTCTTCTTGACTTGGGGTCAGACTTGCATTTTTCCTAGTTTTTTCCATTGTCCTATTTCATTTTACATTGGAATCCCCCTAAAAATGTTTGCATGTGTGATCCTATCTTGGTGTCTGCTTCTTAGAGGATTTATACCAACAGATTCTGCCAATGGGTGTTGTAGTAGTTTCCAGATTTTTCTACTATACACAATATTGCTATACACTTTGTGTTACATGTTACTTGGCATTATTTTTCATGAGTATTGCGCTAGTTTCCTGTTCTTATTGCTTCTGTAACAAACTACCACAGAGTACTTCTACTTCCTCTTCCTCAGGTCCAGTGATGTCATTACTATAGTGGACCAGAATGGTGTTCTATAGGTTTCCAGATGCTCAAGGTCCCCTAGGCTACAGTGGCTGAGGAGAGTTCAGATAGCCCTGGAAACGACTAGGAATGTTTCATGATATGCATGCTAAGAGAAGGTAACTTCCTTCTGAACATGCTTCCTGATACGTGTGGAAAATAATGCGTTTCCAAATTAGTGCCAGTGCATAGTACTAAAGGCTGTTTGCTCCAGTAACAATTGCACATCTGAGACAGTGGCTGAGATTGGTGCTTCCATTTGGCTAAGACTGTGGTAGTCAATTTTCTGCCACAATCTGTTTGGGTTTTATAGGTCCTGGACTGGTGAATTAAATGGGGTTGTAATGGGGACCACCACCTCATCTAAGTCTTAGAGAATGGCACTATTCCACTCCACCTGGAATAACTCTGATGTACTGTTATGTTTACTATCCCCAAAATCACTTCCCCTTTCACTATAGTGGTAGATGACCATTATCTTCTGCCTTACAGAAGATCGATCACCGATATCTTTGGCAGTAGGATATCATAGCAACAATATCCTTGGCAGTAGTTTGATTCTTTTTTAACTGTAGTAGTAAGTTATCTATGCAAAGGATCATTTCAGGTGTTGAGGATTAATTCCTGAAATGTGTAATTTTTCTGGTGGGGAATGATGGAGACACCACACATGCATCCACTGCCAAAATTGCTCACTACTCCTCTGGATTAAGTGATAGTTCTGTCCATGCTGTCCTCTGTGTCTATAATTCCTGCATGCCATTAGATCCTTCTTCCCTTTTGTCTTCTGTAACACATGCATACACACACGCATTATATATATATGTATACACACACACACACACACACACACACAAACTTGACCTCTAAAATCAAAAGAAAACATCAGTAATAACAACCAAACAATTCTTGGAGATTCCTGATAGCTTGCTCAAACTACCAAACTGGTTTCACATATTTTATTCCATAAACTGTGTATTGAAAAACATAACATTAAGACACTGAGGAGCTGAAGGAATCAACTTGCTCATGTTTATCCTGTTGCTCTTTTATTCTACACTTCTGCATATAACATGACAGACAGGTACTTTCTGTGTGTTTATTTACAACAACACTGTTCAGTGTTGTTATAGGCAGTTGGTTCACCCAGTAAGCTTGGCAAAGCTCTGTTTGCTGCTTCAGAATCCAGAAACAGCTGCACTGGACTGCAGCTGACTCCTCTCAACTCCACTGAGAGTGCTCTGTCTAGATTTCTGGTCTTTCCTTTCTGCTTTCATTTGTCCATTCATTTATTGAACAAATGTTTATTGAGCAACTACAATGTGGTAAGAATATGCTGGATGTTGGGAATCCAATGTTGAGCAAGTATTTTCCTCAACTTTATGTTCCTTATTGGTGGGCACATTCATCTTTTCTGGTGGCAGAATGAATCACATGATCAGTCAGAGCCAATAAAGCAGGAAATTAATCATCAAATGGATAGAAAGATGCTACAGCATTTCCTCTGTAATTTGGTATCTCCCTAGCTATCTTCCCAGAGAGAGTGTTTTCCTTTAATCTGTATTTGTTTGAATGGTGAAGTCAGAAACTTTAAAACTAGTGTATTGTCAGTATCTCCTGGGAAGCATTTTTTAGCCCCAGGAGATGTTTCTATTATATTTTCCAAAATTAAAGTGCTTATCTATTGAAAAAAGTAGCATCGGTTTATGATGTGAATAAGTTCCCTATTTTGTTTTTTGATACTTTCAACTTTTATTCTAGATGTGGAGGTTCATGCACAGGTTATACGGGTATATTGCATGATGCTGAGGTTTGGGATGTGAATGATCCCATTACCTAGGTAGTGAATACAGTGATACGGAAAGGAGACAGGAAAATACTGGGTAGAAGGGGATGGTTCCCCTGCAAAGGCCCCACCCTCAAGCCTGGAGACCCACAGCCCTAAGTGGGAACAGGCATTTCTGTTCGTGCATCCAAAAAGTTGCCTTTTGGCCCACTCCGCCCCCCTATCCTGTGCCCATGTAAACCCCGAACCTCAGGCTCCAGAAACAGATGAGGAGATGAGACAGGAGATGAGCAGATGAACAGCGGAATGGTGTGGCAGATAAAGAGAAGAGAAGGAACGTCTGAATGCCAAGAGGAGTTAGGCTGGGGCAGTCAGAGGGAGGTTTTGCTGCTGGATTGGGCAAAACTCCAGGGGAAGATCATCTTCCCACTCCATCCCCCTTTCAGCTCCCCATGCATCCCACTGAGAACCACCTCCACCATTCAATAAAATCCTCCATTCATCCTTCAAGCCTGTGTGTGACTCAATTTTTCTGGGATGCTGGGCAGGAGCTCTGGATACAGGAAGCTGTCACACTGGCCCTCTGCCCTTGCAAAAAGACAGAGGGTCCATTGAGCTGGTTAACATTTAAGCTGTCTGCGAATGGCAGGGCTAAAAAAGCATTGTAATACTGGGGCTGCAGGCACCCACCCCTAGACACTACCATGTGGCCAGAGCTCAAAGCACTGCCCCAGCTCCTGCACCTGACTGTCTGTGTGCTCCCCCTTCCATCAGGGGTTTGAGCAGCAATGGTGACAGAAAAGGTGAGCCACACCCCTGTTGCTCAGGGGGATTAGAGATCTCTTCTGTTTCAATAGCACCCAACAGTTAGTTTTTTAAACCCTTGCCCCACTTGTTCTCTTCCCGCCTAGTATTTCCCAGTGTCTGTTTTTCCCATCTTTGTGTCTGTGTGTACTCAATATTTAGTTCGCACTTATACATGAGAACATGTGGTATTTGCTTTTCTGTTCCGGTGTTAATTCGCTTAGGATAGTGGCCTCTAGCTTTAGCCATGTGGCTGCAAAGGACCTGAGTTTGTACATTTTTATGGCTGTGTGGTATTCCCTTATGTATGTGTACCGTATTTTCTTTATCCAATCCACTGATGATGGGCACTTAGGCTGATTCTATGTTGTTACTATTGTGAATGGTGCTGTGATGAACATACAAGCACATGTGTCTTTTTTGTAGAAAAATTTATTTTCTTTTAGATATTATCCAGTAATGGGATTACACAGTCAAATGATAGTTCGTTTTAAGTTCTTTCAGAAATCTCCAGACTGCTTTCCACAGTGGCTGAACTAATTTACATTCCCAGCAGGTATAAGCATTCCCCTTTCTCCATGGTGTGGCCAGCATCTATTGCTTTTTGACTTGTTAATAATAGACATTCTGACTGATATGAGATGGTTAGCTCATTGTGATTTTGATTTGCATTTTTCTGATGATTAGTCTTGTTAGGCATTTTTTCATATGGCTGTTGTCTTCTTGTATGTCTTCTTTTGAGAAGTATCTGGTCATATTCTTTGCCCACTTTTTAATGGGGTTATTTGTTTTTTGCTTGTTGAGTGGTTTAAGTTCTGTATACATTATGGAAATTAGATTTATTGGATACATAGTTTCTGAGAATTTTCTCCCATTCTGTCGGTTGCCTGTATACTCTGTTGATAGTCTCTTTTGATATGCAGAAGGTCTTTAATTTAATTAGGTCCCAGTTGTCAAATTTTTTGTTGCTACAGCTTTTGAGGACTTAGTCATAAATTATTTCCCAAGGCTGATGTTCAGAATGATGTTTCCCAGGTTTTCTTCTAGGAGTCTTATAGTTTGAGGTCTCATTTATCTCTTTAATATATCTTGAGTTAATTTTTGTATATGTTAAAAGGTATGTGTCCAGTTTTATTTTTTTGGTATATTGCTAGCCTATTATCCCAGCACCATTTATTGAATAAGAAGTCTTTTCTCCATTGCTTATTTTTGTTGACTCGTTAAAGATCAGACAGCCGTGTTTGCGTGTGTGGCTTTCTTTCTAGGTTCTCTAGTCTGTTGCACTGGTCTATGTTACAGTTTTTGTACTAGTATTATGCTGTTTTGGCTACTGTAGCCCTATAGTATGTTTTGAAACTGGATAATATGGTGCCTCCAGCTTAGATCTTTTTGCTAAGGATTACTTTGGCTATTTGGGTTCTTTTCCATTTTCATATGAATTTTAGAATAGCTTTTCTAATTCTGTGAAAAATGGCGTTGTGGCTTGATAGGAATAGCATTGAATCTGTGGATTGCTTGGGGTAGTATGGCCATTTTAATGATATCGATTATGCTAATCCATGAGCATGTACTCTTTTTCCATTTGTTTGTGTCCTCTCTGATTTCTTTGAGTAGTGTTTTGTAATTCTCTGCTAGTAGAGATACTTCATTTACTTGGTTAGATGTATTCTTAGATATTTTATTTTTTTGGTAGCTATTATTAATTGACTCGCATTCTTGATTTGGCTCTCAGTTTAACATTATTGATGTTTAGAAGTGCTACTGATTTTTGTACATTGATTTTGTAACCTAAAAATTTAGTGAATTCATTTGTCAGCTCCAAGAGCCTTTTGACAGAGTCTTTAGGGTTATCTAGATATAGAATCATATAGTCCACAAAGAGAGATAGTTTGACTTCTTCTTTTCCTATTTGGGTGTCTTTTGTTTCTTTCTCTTGCCTAATTACTCTGCTTAGGACTTCTAGAACTATGTTGAACTATGGTGAGAGTGGGCACCCTTGTCTTGTTGCAGTTTTCAAGGGGGAATGCCTTCAGATTTTGCCCATTCATTATGACATTGGCTGTAAATTTGTCATAGATTGCACTTATTTTAAGGTACATTGCTTTGATGCTTAATTTGTAGAGAATTTTTACAACGAAGGGATGTTGCATTTTATTGAAGGCTTTTTTTGCATCTATTGAGATCATATGGTTTTTGCTTTAAATGCTGTTTATGTGGTGAATGACATTTCATGATTTGCATATATTGAACCAACCTTGCATCCAAAGAATGAAGCCTACTTGATCATGGTGAAATAACTTTGGATGTGCTGCTGAATTTGGTTTGCTAGTATTTCATTGATGGTTTTGCATCTATGTTCATCAGGAATATTGGCCTGCAGTTTTCTTTTTTCATTGTGTCTTTGTCAGGTTTTAGTATCAGAGACCTGATGCTGGTTTCATAGAATGAGTTGCAAAGGAGTCCCTCCTGCTCGATTTTTTGAAATAGTTTCAGTAGAATTGGCACCAGCTCTTCTTTTTACATCTGGTAGAATTTGACTGCAAATTCATCTGGTCTGTACTTTGTTTTTGGTTGGTAGATTTTTGGTACTGTTTTCACTTCAGAACTTGATACTGGTCTGCTCAGGGTTTCAATTTCTTCCTTATTAAATCTTGGGAGTTTGTGGGTTCCTAGGATTTTATCCATTTCCTCTATATTTTCTAGTCTATTTGCATAAAAGTGTTCATAATATTCTCTGAGTATCTTTTGTATTTCTGTGGGATTGGTTGTAATGCCACCTTTGTTCTTTCTGGCTGTGCTTATTTAGATGTTCCCTCTTTTCTCGTTGTGAATCTGGCTAGCAGCCTACCAATCTTATTTATTCTTCCAAGAAACCAAATTTTGGTTTCATTAAGTTTTTGCATAAATATTTGTGTCTTAATTTTGTTCAGTTCGGTTCTGATTTTAGTTACTTTTTCTTCTGCTAGCTTTGGGATTGGTTGGCTCTTGTATTTTAAATTCCTCTAGAGGTGATGTTAGATTATTAATTTGACATCTTTCTACATATTCCTTATTGTAGAAAAATTAAATTTTGGCAGAACAGCTATGTTGGATGATTTGTTGAGCTGAATGTTAACAACTGGGGCTGATTTAAAAGAACTTTTTCCCTATCAATTTTAAAGCTTCTTTTACTTCCTTATTTCTCAAGCTATAGATTAAAGGATTCAACATGGGAATAACAGTGCCATAAAATATAGAGGCCACTTTCATATTCTCCTGGGAATTATTAGAATGAGACTGGTAAGTGCATGTAAGAGAGTGTCCCATAGAAAATGGCAACTGTGGTCAGGTGGGAGGCACATGTTGAGAAGGATTTTTTCCTTCCTGCACTAGAAGACATTTTCAGGATGGTGGCCATGATGTAGATGTAGGAAAAGATGACTACCAACCCAGTGAACATCAAGTTAAATCCCACAAAGACAACAAGTAGCATGATGTTGATGTCAATATTGGAGCATGAAAGGGCAAGAATTGGGGGACCATCACAGAAAAAGTGGTTGATGTTATTGGACTTGCAGAAAGACAGTGAAAATGCAAAACCTGTATGTACAGAGGCATTTATTGAGCCCATGATGTATGAACCAGCTACCAAATGGATGCAGACTGTTTGGGACGTGATTACGGTATAGTGAAGGGGCTTACAGATTGCAACATAATGGTCCACTGCTATCATAGCCAGGAGATAACAGTCACTGGTTGCAAATGTTGCATAAACCAATAATTGTATCATGCAGCCCCAAAATGATATCAAATTCTTTTCTTCCGTGAAGCTTTGGAGCATCTTGGGAGTGATAGCAGAAGTGTAACAGATATCAACAAAAGCCAAATGTTGTAGAAAAAAGTACATGGGTGTTTGAAATCTGGAATCTGTGTTGATGAGTAAGATTATTCCACTATTACCCATTATGGAGGTCACATAGATGAGAAGGAATATAATGAAGAGGATACACCAAAACTCTTGCTAGGCACCAAATCCCAGAAGACAGAATTCAGTCACTTCAGTGCTGTTTCCTCATGCCATGGCTACCAAAACTCTAGAAATGACCAAGAGAAGGACCCAGAAAAGAAGGGAAATCCTTGTGACTTCTTGCAATGAAATGGCTCTGTATTTCACGTCACTTTTTTCTATTTGGATTTTCATGACAAATACTCCCAATAGTGTTACTCATTTTCAAATTAAAAAAATGTATTTATAATCATCAAGTAAAGAGTGATCTACTTGATGAAAGAGGAAATGAATTCATCTTCAAAAGGAAAAAGGTTGTCTTAGAAGAAGACTGACTTCTAATGTGTGTAGTTCTTAGAAATATAGATGAGCAATTTTTCACTATATTAAACAGGCATCCATACCTAAAGTAATATTAAAACATAATTTTGTACCCCTTTAGTAACCTACAATTGTTCACAGCCACCTACCATTTTAATTTTGGATAAAGCTCTTGAAATTAGTACAATAAACTAGAGATAAATTTCCCTAAATATATTCATGCTTTACATATGTTTGAAGGCTTCAAAGTATCTTTGTATTTATATCTTTAGAATGCAACTCCCATCTAGGTGATATTCTTTACAAGCAAAATAAACCTGTTATATAATTGATGTCTGAGAAATAGCCTTACATTTTCTATTGCTTTTTTTTTTCTGTTCTGTAGTGGAGGAACAAGAAAGCAGAAACAATTCTCTTCAATTTAACATTTAGTGAATACTGAGGTATATTAAGTTAGCATAAGTTTCTTCATAGGGTAAATTTACTGTAAAATGAAAGAAATGCAGTCCTTTCAAAAAGTGTTTCTTTCATTTGGATAAACACTTACTAGAGGAAGCTTGAATAGGCCAGAGGTCTAGTTAAGCTAGAATTTCAATAGAGTAATGACATTTATCATATCAACTTGACTTTAGTAATCTGGATTTAAATAAAATAATATGAAAATATGAGGATGCTTCTCAGGAGCTAAGGAAACTAGTGTAACCCCCCCCTCCAATCTCACACAGAATCTGTACATTTCTATGTTTAATATTGAGCTAATCGTTGGCTGGTTCAATATGAAATATTTTGTTTCATCTATGTTGAAGGTGTTTTCTAATCAAATGGATACTACAAAGAAAATGGCCAACTATCTAAGCATTTTTTTTAACATTAATGTTTGGTGGTACATGTGAAGGTTTGTTACATAGGTAAACTCATGCCACGGGGGTTTACCCTAGCATTTTAAACATGCTTAATATATGGGTAGTGCTGGGTTTTTTAGGCTTCATTTATAGTCAACCTTGTGCAGTGGAAAGGAAATAGGTAACCGTGGTTTTGAATTTTTGTCTCACCAGTTAATAGAAAAAGACATATAATTCCCTTTGGCCCTAGTTACTTCCCCTGCACAATGGGGATCACAGAACTCATCTGGAAGTTAATTATGTTCATTCACTTGTTTATAGTATCAATAACATGCATATTATATAAAATATAATATTATGTAACTTGCATTGAAAATAAGTTAACAAAACCTTTTAATAGTAAAATCAGGAAATAGAATTGTATACATTTCAGTAGATTTATATTATTCATTAATACCTAGCCTAAGGCAGAGAGATAAATATGTACTCTTATGGAGTCAAAAGAGAAAAGAATGTTGTAGAAAAATATGTAAATTTGGACCATTTGAAAAACTAAACTTTCTGTCACTCTTACTGTCTCTTACTTTCATTCTCTTTATTTGTGGATAAATGCCAGAAAATGGCACACCAAATTCAAGTATAGTTATTCATGGGTGTGGCATTAGGTGAAAAAGAACATTATTTTCTAAACTTATAAACTTCTGAACTTTCACTTTTATAATGGGAATTCATGCCCTTTATTGTTTTAAAAATGAAGAAAACTATGTTTTATGTGGTCATTGATGCCCTAAAGTTGTCTGCCATTTCATTATTTTAACTGTTCTTTTTTGTTCCTCTCTTTTCTTTTTCCCGCATTTCTGTGGGCTTTTTCTTGAACTTTTTCTTATAATCCCATTTTGGTGCAGCTATAAGTGATTATTTTTGTATAGTGTTTTTATTAGGTATCTTTGTATATGTTTTTTAGTGGCTGCTGTAGGTGTTGCATTATGTGGGCATGGCTTGTTTTATTGTGCTTCACAGATGTTGCATTTTTAAAAAATAAAATTAAAGGTTTGTGGCAATCCTGCATTAAGCAAGTCGATTAGCACTATCTTCCAGCAGCACGTGGTCATTTAATATCCTTGTGTCAGCATTTTTGGCAATAAAGTATTTTTATATAAAGGCATATACTTTTTTAGACATAATGCTATTACACATTTAATGGACTGTAGTGCAGTATAAACATAACTTTTGTATGCACTGGGAAACCAAAATATTTGTGTGACTTACTTTATTGTGAGAGTCATTTAATTGAGGTGGTCTGGAACTAAACCCACAATTTCTCTGAGACATGTTAGTATAATCATAACTTGTGTTCATTTTACCAGTTTTAGTGAAGTGTGGAAAGCTTACTTCCTTTTTCATTTCTTTACTGTCTCCCACTTATAATTGTCTTAACCATTTCCTCCACATGCACTGAGAACCGCCTTAGGCAGTGTTATAATTTTTGCTTCAACCCTCAATCATCATTTTAAAAACTCAAAATAGAAGAAAAGTCTATTGTATTTTGCTCTTTCTACTTACTTTTCTTTCCTTTTATTTTTTTGAGATAGAGTCTCACTCTGTCGCCCAGGCTGGATGCAGTGGTGTGATCTCGGCTCACTGCAACTTCCGCCTCCCAGGTTCAAGTGATTCTCCTGCCTCAGCCTCCCAAGTAGCTGGTATTACAGGTGCCCACCACCATGCCTGGCTACTTTTTCTATTTTTACTAGAGATGGGGTTTCACCACGTAAGTCAGGCTGATCTCGAACTCCTGATCTCAAGTGATCCACCCGCCTCGGCCTCCCAAAGTGCAGAGATTACAGACATGAGCCACCACGCCCGGCCTCTTTCCATTTTCTTAACCTTCTGATATTTCATGTTTCTTTCATTTAATAACAACTAAAAGAAAGAATATGGAAGAGTGGACAGAAAAATGACACAATCATATTCTGTGTACAAGAAACTCACTTCAGATATAATGATACATGTAGGTTTGAAATAAAAGGAAGAAAACATATATCATGCAAACATTAGTCAAAAGAATGAAAGTATGGCTATGTAAATATTAGATAAAGTATATTTTACAGCAAAGAATATTACCAAGGACAAAGAATAACATCACATAATAATAAAAGTGCTAATCTATCAAGAAGAAATAGCAATCTTAAATGTGTAGGCACCAGACAAGTAAACTACAACATATATAAAGGAAAAACTGAAAACAAATTGAATTGAGGTAAAGGCCAATCTATAATTAAAATTGGGATTTTAATATTCCTTTCTCAACAATTTGTAGGACTATATGGAAAATCAGCAAGGGTATAGAAGAACTCAACACCATCAGCAAACAGGATATCAGTGATAGTTATAGAACAGTCCATCTCACAGGACTAGAATACATATTTGTTCCAGCACTTGTAGAACATATATCAAGATAGATTATACATAATCTATATAATTTTAGAAGAATGGAATTCACACAGTGTGTGTTCCTGACCACAATGAAATTGAACGAGATATAAACAACAGACACGTAACAGGAAACTCTCCAGACAGTTGGAAACAAAACAATGCATTTATAAACAATCCTTGGGTCAAAGAGGTAGTCACAAGGGTAATACAAAACATTGAACTGAATGAAAATACGACACTTAAAATTTATGGGGTGCAGCTAAAGCAGTGTTTAGTGGGCATCCCATAGCACTAAATGCTTACATTAAAAAGAGAAAAAGCCTCAAATCATTAATATAATCTTCTACTTGAAAAATATTGAAAATGAAGAACAAAATAAGTTTAAAATATGTAGAATAATAAATCTAAAAACAAAATTCAATGAATTGGACAAAGAAAAACAATTAAAAATACTATGAAACAAAAAGCGGGTTTTGAAGAAAATCAATAAAACTAACCTGCACATTGTGCACATGTACCCTAAAACTTAAAGTATAATAATAATAAATTAAAAAAAGACAGACAAACAAACAAACAAACAAACAAAAAAAAAACTGACAAACCTCCAGAAGGTCTGGCAAAGATAAAAGAGAGAAGATACAAATTACTAAGTCAGGAAAAACAGGGGTATCACTACAGACTCTGCAGACAGAAAAAAATGATAATAAGAGAATACTACAAACATCTCTACACATATTAATTTGACAAATGAAGCCATTAATTGAGGAGTATAAACTATCCCATATGAAACTGATTATTTGAATAGCCCTACAGCCATGAAGAGAATTGAATTTATAATTTAAAAACTTCCTTTTAAAATATCACTGGAAAACTCACTAAATGTATGAAAAAGAATTAACTTAATTCTATACAATTTCTTTCAGAAAACAGATGTGAAAAGAACATTTTCCAACTTATTTTATGAATCCCATATTACCCTGCTAGCAAAAGCAGACAAAATAGCACACAAAAAAGAAAACCATAGTTCTGTATCTTTAATGAATATAGATGCAAAAATCTTTTAAAAATTTAGCAAATAGAATTCAGCTATGTGTATAAAATCATACACAATGGCCAAGTTGGGTATATTCAGGTCTAAAAGAGAAAAATCACAGGATCATATAAATTGATGAACAAAAAGAATTTGACAAAATTCAATATCTACTTAATATCTTAAAAATCTCTGAAAACTAGGAAAAGAGGGCAATTTCCACAACTGATGAAGAACATCTACATAAAAACCTATAGCTAACATCCTACTTAATAGTTACAGACTAAATGCTTGCCCCTAAAATTGGGAACAGCTGAGGATACTCATTCTCTTCAGTGCTATTCAACATAGTTTGGGAAGTTCTAGTCAAACGAAAGGATATATAGGCATAAAAGTGATACAGATCAGAAAAGAAGAAGTAAAACTGCAATTTGTAGATGACATAATGGTTTACGTAGCAGATTCCAAGAATCTACCAAAAACTTCTAGAGGTAATAAGTGAGTTCAGAAAAGATGCAGAATACGAGATAGTTCTAAAAAGTCCATACTATTTTCATAACAATGAACTTGTGGAAGCTGGAATAAACACAACACCATTCATAATAGTTCAAAAAATGAAATACTTAGGTAGAAATATAACAAAACTATTACAGGACTTGATGATGCAAATTATAATATGCTGATAAAAGAAATCAAAGAAGATCTACATAAATAGGTATATTGTGTTTAGGAGATGCAAGACTCCACACAGTGGTGTCAGTTCTCCCCAGATTGATGTACAGGTTTAACACGAATGCAATCAAAATCTCAGCATAGTATTTTTAGCATGTAAACAACAATATTCTAAATGTATAGGGAAGAGCAAAGAAGTTAGAATAGCTGATACAATTCCAAAAACAAAGAAAAAAATGAGATGAATCACTTTACCTAACACCAGGATTTTTTATATATCTACGATAATTAACACTGTGGAATTGGTGGAAAGATAGATAGAAAGATGGAGCAAAATAGTGAATCCACAAGCAGATTCACACAAGTGCAGTGATTTGATTTTTGAGCAGGTTCAATTCAATGGAGGAAGGCTTTTTAGAAAATAGTGCTGAGACAATTGGATATTCATAGGCAAAAAAATGAACCCAAACCTAAACCTCATACATTATATAAAAATTAAGTCAGCATGAATCTTAGCTTTAAATGTAAAATATAAAACCATTAAACCTTTAGAGAGTAATCTAAGACAAAATATTTAGGGTAAAACTTTAGGATAGGTGTTGTGAGGAGTTCTTAGACACGACATCAAAAGCACAATCCCCTCCTCAAAAATTCAATAATTGGATCTCATTAAAATTAAAACTTTTGCTCTGTTAAAGACCCAGTGAAGAGGATGAAAAAGCAAGCTACACTGGAAGAAAATATTTTCGAACAATGTATGTGATAAAGGACGTGTGTTTAGAGAATATAAAAACACATGAAAAAATACTCACCATCACTGGCTATCAGAGAAATGCAAATCAAAACCACAATGAGATACCATCTCACACCAGTTAGAATGGCAATCATTAAAAAGTCAGGAAACAACAGGTGCTGGAGAGAATGTGGAGAAATAGGAACACTTTTACACTGTTGGTGGGACTGTAAACTAGTTCAACCATTGTGGAAGTCAGTGTGGCGATTCCTCAGGGATCTGGAACTAGAAATACTATTTGACCCAGCCATCCCATTACTGGGTATATACCCAAAGGACTATAAATCATGCTGCTGTAAAGACACATGCACACGTATGTTTATTGCGGCACTATTCACAATAGCAAAGATTTGGAACCAACCCAAATGTCCAACAATGATAGACTAGATTAAGAAAATGTGGCACACATATACCATGGAATACTATGCAGCCATGAAAAATGATGAGTTCATGTCCTTTGTAGGGACATGGATGAAATTGGAAATCATCATTCTCAGTAAACTATCGCAAGGACAAAAAACCAAACACCGCATGTTCTCACTCATAGGTGGGAATTGAACAATGAGAACACATGGACACAGGAAGGGGAACATCACACACCGGGGCCTGTTGTGGGGTCAGGGGAGTGGGGAGGGATAGCATTAGGAGATATACCTAATGCTAAATGATGAGTTAATGGGTGCAGCACACCAGCATGGCACATGTATACATACGTAACTAACCTGCACATTGTGCACATGTACCCCAAAACTTAAAGTATAATAATAATAATAAAAAAGAACTCCCAAACTGAAAAAAAAAATCAAATTGGAAAATGCCTGAACAACATGAACAGACTTTTTACCAAAAAGGGCTATATGGATGGTAAATAAACACATGAAAAGGTGTCCAACTTCATTAGCCATTAGGGAAATGCAAAGTAAGAACAAAATGTGATATCACTACACTACAAGTGAGATGTCACTGCAGAATGGCTAAAATAAAAAAACTGTGACAATAGCAAATGCTGGAAAAGACTCAGAGTAACTGGATCACTCATACATTGCTGGTGAAAATGGTAGTCACTCTGGAAAATAGTTTGGCAGTTTTGTAAAAAGCTGCTAGACATACACTTACCACACAACACAGTCCTTGGACTTGTGGGCAATTATATTTGCATAAAACTTATATTCACACGAAAACCTGTACAAAATTTTTTGATAACATTTTCATTTGTAGTAGCCAAAATCTGTAAACAATCAAATGCCCTACAGTAAATGAGTAGTTTAGCAATTTTATTATATCCATACTATGGAATATTACCAAAAATAAAGAGAAATAAACTATTGATACATGCAGCAGCTCAGATAACTCTCAAGGGCATTATTCTGAGTGTAAAAAAGCCAACATCAAAAGGACATATACTATATGATTCCATTTACAAAGCATTATCAAAATGACGGAATTATAGAAACAGAGAACAGGTTGGTGATTGCCAGACATTGGGGTGGTAAGGGGAGGAGCATGGTGTGATCAGAAGGGGTACAAAGGAGACATGTAGAATCTGAGATGTGTGATCAAGTCTGTATCTTCACTGCAGTGGTAGTGCTATAAATCTACACAAGTATGAAATGACATAGAGCTATATACACAACTGTCCCAGTACCAAAATCCTGTTTTGATGTCATATTATAATTATGTAAGATCGAACCCTTGAGGAAAAAGTATGTGAAGGATATTTGAGAACTTTCCCTATTATCTTTGGAACTGCCTGTGAATCTAGAAGTATTTCATAATAAAAAGTTAAAAAATGAAGGAGAAAAATAAAGTCTATTGTGCAGTGATGTGAGGTTTAAGTAAGCAAATTTATGTGAATTTATGTACATTTCTCAGCACAGGGCTGGGCATGGAAGATATGACCAGCAAATGACTTTAATAACAATGCAAATAATACATTAAAGGCATATTATATTGATTGGTTAATTGAGCCATCAGTTTATTCATTCAATCATTTGTTCATTTATCTTTTCTCCCAGGTGATACTCAGACTGAATCAAGCCCATCCCTTTATTTTCAGTAAATCACCAAGGATGAAATAATTCCTCCTGGTTTTGAGGTGAAACCTTCTGGGGTTTTGGCTAATCTTTTGCTCCAAAATTTCCACCATGCACTGGCATGGTACATGGCAGGTTTTGAAAAAAAAGCTATTTGCTTTGTTTTACTTACTTGGAGGTTGCCTACACGTTCTCTTCCTGCAACTGGCACTGATTGCTGACCAAGGTCTCTCTTTTCAGTTCCTCCTCATCAGCAAGTATATTGCTGGGGCATAAGAGATCAATACCCACTCCCTTGAGAACCTGAGGTTCCAGGGTCTCAGATGTAATTGGCAAAAACAATGTTTGCTAGTTATTTTCTGCTGAAGCAAAGTTGAGCTCTCCAGGGGGAACAAAATTCTTGTTTTAATGCCATCAGGGAGTTTTTGCCCTGCTATGGGCAACTTGCTATTAACCTTCTTCCCTCCCTCTCTTTTATTCTTCCACCATTTCTCTCCTCTGTATTTCCTTTCTTCCTGCTTTTATTTCTTCTTACCCCTACCTTCTCTTTTTTTGGATGGGTGATGAATAACAAACCAAATGGTAAATTCAGAAGTATAAAAGTGTATAGAGTAAAAACCATGTCCCCCTTCATCCCTTGATTTCTAATCTTCAGTTTCCTTCCCTGGAGATCACCACTGTTACAAGCTCCTGTTATTCTTCCAGATATACAAGCCCTGCACTGCATTTGAAAACATATTATATTCATATTCTTTATTCACTCCTGCAACAAAAGACAACGTATTATTCACATTGCTCAGCCTTCATTTCGCTTAATACTTTTGGGTGATTTGTCTCCATCAGTATGAAAAGAGAAGCCTCACTCTTTTAAATGTTTGTATTATATTTTATTGAACAGTTGCATTTATTAATCTGTTTAATCATACAGTTTTCCCCATTGTTTGACATTTAGATTGTTTTCAATCTTTTACTAATATAAACAATGTTACTGTAAATATTATCGTGAATATATCTGTAGGAATAAAAGGTATTTTGGAGAGGAAACTGAGTAAAGGGTATGATAATGATAACTTTTGATACTTATCAAGATACCTCAAGAGGCTCTACCAGTTTATACTTCTACCAAATCTAGTGACTATTTCTCCAAATTCTAACAGATTATTACAAAACTTATATAAAATTGGTTGTTTTTATAGGTGAAAAATAATTTAATTTGTTTGTCCTTTTCTCATATGAGCCAGGTTGGATATCTTTTCATATTTCTATGAAGAATGATTTTTTTTATTTTATGTGAATTAAGTTATATATGTTGCCCTCCGAGAAAGTATTTTGTTTTTAAATTGATATCTTTAATTGCCCCGTTTTTGCCTCATGAAAAAGAATGAGGCAATATTTTGTACTATACACAACATTGCTATAAACTTTATTGTATGTGTTACTTGGTACAATTATTTTTCATGTATATTGCACTAGTTTCCTGTTCCTATTGCTCCTGTAACAAACTACTACAGAGCAATTGCCGCTTCCTCTTACTCAGGCCTAAAATTTTCCAAAGAAGGGCATACAAAACTCAAGTTTTTTTTTTTCTTATTGAGCACTTCAGAGATTAAGACTGATGGCATTTAGGTATAAAATTTAAATATAAGTGTTAGCTGTTAGATCTAGTCTCTCTAATCCCCCCTCTACCACTGAAAATGGAATTTGATTGAATTAACTAAAGGGACAATCTATCATTTGCATTGCTCTGGATTAGGGCTAGTCTCTCAAAGAATTTTCCTTTCATATACTGACTCCTGAATGACCTGATTGTGGGGGTGACAGCAGTGGTTAGGTGAGTACACAGTCTCCCTGAGGATGTTCAATGTAAAGTCATAGCCTGTTTTGTGTAATAAGAAGTTTCTTAGAAAGCACTCAATTTTCTGAACTTTCTGAAATTTTATTTTAATTAAACATCATAACAATGTGCAGAGAATTGGATTAGTCATCACCCTGCTTCATGACACACTGTTGCCATTGGTCCATGCACAGCCCCACTTAATATTAATTACATAATAATTTATTAAATGAATAATCCAGTCCAAAGTCTCAAAAATTATCTACAATATATACTTACCAATGTTCTCTTTCCCTGTACTTTGCATCTGCTTACCCTCATCCTTACCTGCAAATAGCAACATTATGAATGTTTCTTTGATTCTTTTATTTTTTGATGTATAGCTTTACACACACACACACAGACATACACACAGACACACACACACACACACACACACACCCCTGAAACATATATTTTCTAGTTTGCCTGTTACTGAAGTTAATGAAACATTTTCTTCTATTTTATTCTGTGATTTTTTAAAAAAAATCAACAGTACTAAATCTTATTTGTTGTGTTGTTGTAGCAGTGGTTCATTCATTTTCACTGCTGCACGATATTCCATTATGTGATTAAAATCTAATTAATTTATTCCTTCATCTGTGTAGCAGCCATGTGAATGAATTTGTAGATCTCCCTCATGAGTGGAAATGACCCAGGATCTCAGCTTCTCACTTTGAAATCCTTTGTAGTAGTTTTTCTGACACCCAACTTCCTGTGGGCTGCTCCTTGCTAAAGTCTGTGTGCAAAATGGATTCTAAGGTAGACCCATACCTGGGAGACACAGGGCTCCTTTGTCAGTCCATTTTGGTTCAAGGATTTCTCAATAACTTTGGACAGTCTAACATGCTTCTGCTCAATCTTGTCTTCCTCTCTTCTTGACTTGGGGTCTGACTTGCATCTTTCTTAGCTTTTCTCATTGTCTTCCCTATTTCCTTTTACATAGGTATCCCCCTAACAAAATGTTTGCATGTGTAATCCCATCTTGGTGTCTGCTTCTTAGGACATTCTGCCAATGGATGTTGGAGTAGTTTCCAGATTTTTCTACTATACACAATATCACTATATACTTTGTTGTACATGTTACTTGGTACAATTATTTTTCATGAGTATTGCAGTAGTTTCCTGTTCCTGTTGCTTCTGTAACAAACTACTACAGAGTACTTGCTTCTACAGGATACTTGCTACTTCCTCTTCCTCAGGTCCAATGATGTCATCAATATAGTGGACCAGAGCAATGTTCTAGAGTTTTCCCGATGATCAAGGTCCCACAGGCTACGCTGTGGCTGAGGAGAGTTCAGCTAGCCCTGGGAATTTGGGGGAATGTTTGGGGATGGCTATGCTAGGAGAATGTACGTTGCTTCTGAACTTGCTTCCTGATAAGTGTGGAAAAGAACACATTTCCAAATTAGTGCCAGTGAATACTTCTAGAGGCTGTTTGTTCCAGTAACAATTGCACATCTGGGATGGCAGCTAGATTGGTGCTTCCATTAGGCTAAGATTGTAATAGTCTATTTTCTGCCATAATCAGTGTGGGTTTCATAGTTCCTGGATTGGTGGATTAATTGGGGATATTGATGGCCGCGGCTGCTCCTGGTGGCCAGTTGCTTCCATCACACCAGCTGCAGCAGGGAGGTGTGGCTGGGGCTGCATGCTCCGTGGGCCCAGCAGAAGCTGGGGACAAGTGGGAGCCCTGCCCCTTTCGAATTAGGGTGAGAGCTCCCTGGGTGTCATTGCTGCTGCTCAAACCATGGCTGCAAAGGGCCTCTTGCTCCACAGAGAGGGCAGGATCCCTGGCTTCTCCCCCCAACCCTGTGCAGCTGCAACCACCCAAACCACAGCTGCAGACTCAGGCATCCCTCCACTCTTGAGGTCCCAGGAAGGCCCCACTGACCCCACAGGCTTGGAAATGCCTGCTCTCACTGCCTGGCTTTTCCCTGCTGTGGGTGCCCACTCTGATCTCAGAGCAAAGTCAGTACCAAGTCCAGGGGCTATGAATGGCAGCAGGATGTAGCCAGATTCCTGGGCAGAAGGGTGCACCCCATGTTCAGGCCAGGGAGGGCCAGAAGACTTGGGCTTGGCTGCGATTCCCACTGACCAGAGGGAGATCTTGTGGCGTATTTTCTGGGCCTACCCATGGCTGCTCATGGACCAATCACCATGCGCTTTCTCCCATCTGAGGCCCATAAAAGCCCCGTGCTCAGAGAGAGCTTGGCAGATGATGGGACGACTAGGTGCATAGAGCAGCTACCCTCTCTGCTGATAGCAGGAGACATCAGGATGACCACCAGGAGAGAGAAGTTACCCACTCAAGGGCCTGCTGTCTGCTGAGAGCCGGGAAGACAACAGGATAACTTGCCTGCAGAGAGAAGCTTCCCACTCCAGGGTCTCCTCTGTGCTAGGATCTGAACACTCATCAGGACACCCTGACTGCAGAAAGGTACTACCCCATGCAAGTCTGCTGTGAACTGTTCTATTGCTCAATAAAGCTCCTCTGTATCTTGCTCACCCTCCATTTCTCTGTGTACCAGATTCTTCCTGGTCACAGGACAAGAACTCAGGACCCACTGAATGGTGGAGCTAAAGAAGCTATAACACAAATGGAGCTGAAACATGCCCCTTACTTGCCATGTTGTGGGTGAAGAGAAGGAAAGAAGAGGTTCAGCCTCTTTGGGAGCACAGACTTAGGAGCTTCCTGAGCCAAGGCTGTGCCTTCCTTTATGGGGTCCTGTGGTGCCTGGCATCTCCAAGCTTCCAGGTGCCACTATGTTCCCTGGTGCCAGCCAGGAAAGCTGCCTGTAGTGTGCCTGGTCCAGACACAGCCTCACAGAGAGCCAGTTCCTGTGCCAGCACCTAGAGCTTCCTGCTTTGCTGTGGCAGCCAGCATATCTGACTGTGCAGTTGCTGGACCCTACGCTTGCTCACACACCCCTCACCACTCCATGCCTGACTTGCCCTTGGCAGGAGTGGGATCCAGGCTGGTAGTGTAAGCTGAGTGCAGCCTGCCAGACCGAGTTGGTGGAATGAGCCCAGTGGGCCCAAGCAAAACTCAGGCAAAGGTGCCACTAGCCAGAGGTTTCAGGCCAGAAAAGCAACACCCCAAGGATCCTGTAACAATATAATGAGGACCACTACCTAATCTAAGTCTTATAGAGTGGCACTATTCCACTCCATTCCACTCCACCTGGAATAATTCTGATGTACTGTTATGTTTACTATCCCCCCAAATCACTTCCCCATTCACTGTAGTGATAGATAACCATTATCTTCTGCCTCATAGAAGATTGAGCACCAATATCCTTGGCAGTACGATATTGGCAGTAGGATCAATATCCTTGGCATCAGCCTGACTTCTTTCTTAACTGTACTGTTAAGTTATCTATGCAAAGAATCATGTGTCAGGTGTTGAGGATTAATCCATGAAATGTGTAATTTTTCTGGTGAGGAATGATGGAGGCCTCACACATGCATCCACTGCCAAGATTACCCACTACTCCTCTAGGCTAAGTGACAGCTCTGCCCATGTTCTTCTTGGTGTCTATACTTCCTGTATTGCATTAGACCCTTCTGCCCCTATGTCTTCTGTGGCACATACATACACGCATACACATCCACAAACTTGACCTCAAAATTCAAAAAGAAACATTAGTAATAAAAACCCAACAATCCTTGGAGGTTCCTGATAGCTTGCTCAAGCTACCAAGCTGGTTTCACATATTTTATTCCATAAACTGTGTATTGAAAAACTTATAACGTTAAGACATTGAGGAGCTGAGGGAATTAACCTGCTCACATTTATCCTGTTGCTCTTTTATTCTACCTTTCTGCATATAAAATGACAGACATGTACTTTCTGTGTGTTTATTTACAATAACACTGTTCAATGTTGTTATAGGCAGTTGCTTCACCCAGTAAGCTTGGGCAAAGCTCTTGTTGCTGCCTCACTTTTCAACCCAGAGACAGCTGTGCTGGACTGCAGCTGACTTCTCTCAATCCCTGTGAGAATGCTCTGTCTAGATTTCTGGTCTTTCCTTTCCACTTTCCTTTGTCCATTTATTTCTTCCACAGATGTTTATTCAGATACTACAATGTGCTGAGAATATGGTGGATGTTGGGAATCCAACGTTGAGCAAGTATTTTCCTCACCTTTATGTTCCATATTAGTGAGGACATTCATCTTTCCTGGTGGCAGGATGAGTCACACCATTATTCAGAGCCAATAAAGAAACTAATTAACCATCCATAACATCTAGATAACACTAGATAACTTCTAGAAAAATGTTACAACATTTTCTTTGTGATTTGGCATCTCCCTAACTATCTTTACAGAGAGAGTGTTTTCATTTAATTCCTTTCTGCTTGAATGGTGGTCAGAAACTTTAAAACTAATATAGTGTCAGTATCTCTTGGGAAGCAATTTTTAGCCTTAGGAGATATATCTATTATATTTTCCAATCTTAAAGAGCTTATCTATTTAAAAAAAGCAGCATTGGTTTATAATGTGAATATGTTTCCTATTTTATTTTACTTTTTAATAATTTCAATTTTTATTCTAGATTCGAGGTTTCATGCACAGGTTTGTTATATGGGTATGTTGCAAGATGTTGAGGTTTGGGATGTGAATGATTCCTTAACCCAGGTAGTGAGTATAGTGATATGGACAGGAGACAGAGAGATACTGGGTAGAAGAGGGCAGTGCACTGGCAAAGGCCCCACCTTTAAGGCTGGAGACCCGCCAGAAATAAGTGAAAAGAGGGATTTCTGTTTTTGTACTCCAAAAGTGGCCTTTTGGCCTGCTATGCCCCCCTATCCTATACCCATATAAGTTCTGAACCCCAGACTCCAGAGGCAGACAAAGAAATGAGGAGACGACAGAAGACAAATGGAAGAAAGGCACAGCAGAGAGAGAGAGAAGAGAAAGAACATCTGAATGCCGAGAGGAATTCGCCTGGGGGCAGTTGGGGGGAGTTTGGCTGCTGGATGGCCAAAACTCCAGGGGAAGATCATCTTCCCACTCCATCGCCTTTCCGGCTCCCCATCCATCTTGCTGAGAATCACCTCCACTACTCAGTAAAGCCCTGCATTCATTTTTCAAGCTTGTGTGTGACCCAATTCTTCTGGGATGCTGGGCAAGAGCTTGGGATACAGAAAGCTGCCACACTGGCCCTCTGCCCTTGCAAAAAGGCAAACGGTCCATTGAACTGGTTAACACTTAAGCCATCTGCAGATGGCAAGGCTAAAAGAGCATTTTTACACTGCGGCAGCAGGCACCCACCCCTAGACACTCCTGTGGGGCCGGAGCTCAAAGCACTCACCCCAGCTCCTGCACCTGACCATCTGCGTGCTCCCCGTCTCCCTCCTATCAGGGGTTTGACCAGTGGTGGTGACCAAACCTGTGAGCCACACCCTTATTGCATATCCTGCAAAGGGAATCAGGGAACTCTCCCATTTCATTTGGGGCCCCATCTGGGATACAAAGAAGGGTGAGTTAAAATGAGGATCTGTGTCTTTTCCAAGACCCTGCCACCTCTCTCTTTCCTACAGACAAAAAGAACATTGACTATATTTCTCTTCAGAGAAGTCTATCCACCACAGAACTGGAGTAAAGCTCTAGGGCAACCGAAGGGCTTTTTTTTTTTTTTTTTTTTTTTTTTCTGGAAGGCCCCAAGACTCAACTCCGTTGGCCAAGACTCCCAGACTTTGCCTGGTGTCTTTACTTCTCTCAAGGTTTGAAATGCCTCTTATCTCTTCCCTGATAATGTTAAGGGTTTTGCTACAAACCGCGACAATGATACTAAATATAATGAGCATTTGGCGCAGCCATCAAAGGTGAAATTCAGAACAATGTGGTTTCTGTTTATTCTTAGAGGTACCATCCCCATCCTGAACCTGACAGTCACAGACGCGCAGCGCATGACACCTCTTCTCCTCGCCCACTCCCTTCCTGGCTTGGGTGCCTGGGCATGTCGACAGCATGCATAAGCCATGCCCAATGGCCACGAGGGGTGGGAGAAAATCACAACTGCTGCCGGGGCCTCATGTGGCTAGCTGTCCAGCACTTCCCACCTGCCATGCCGATGGAACTTTTCCTCCCCTGACCAAGAAGGTCACCCTGGTCTGAACCAGGTGAAGGATACAATGATAAAGGAACCTGTTTGCACTGAGCAAGGTGTTTTTCCCCCAGGACCTCTCACTTTTGCCTCTTAAACTATTTTTTTCTTTTCTAAATGAGAGGGCTCCTATCCACAGCACGCTGCTTATGATAGGAAAAATAATAGAGGAGCGACCCCTGCTGGCTGATAACTGCAAATTCAACAGGGCTAATTTGAGACCATCTAGACAGATACAGACAGCCCCTGAAATACCTTTTTTTTTTCTTTTTTTGTCTCAAATTCGATTCCAAGCTTCAGGCTGAATCCTTAGAAAGGAAAACCAGATCTGAGGGAGTCAAAGCCAGGCAACAGGCACAATGTGAATGGGCAGGACCAATTCCTGCTGACTAAACCCCCACCACATGGAAGGAGGCCATGCTCCATAACATAAATGAGCCCAGGGATCTCAAAGGTTGCCAGCAGTAGGGAGGATGGAGGCATAGGTGAGGGCAAATAATTCCTATTCTCTAGGCCTTCCCTGCATCATGGGTACATGTCGCATTGGCACCCATGGGTGGGAGCTGCCAAGGTCTCCAGGACTCAGGGACAAAAGATGGAAGAGAAAAAGGGGACACTTGTTTTCTCTCTCTTCACACTCTGAGTTTTCACTGAAAGAAGGAAGGGAAATGAGAGTCACCTCTATTTCCTTGTCTTTCTGAATGGGCAACCAGCTCTTTTCATCACCCTTTGCTTATATTCCTTTGGAGTCTATCCTGAACCACTGGGACTGCTATGACCCTTAGAATCTGGAAGAAAAATGCCTCATAGCCCTCTGCACAGAGGTTTGGTGAAATTATGAAGGACTGGATCTGCCTTAGGAAGGAACAATTTATTTCAATACCATCCTGCAGTGTTATCTTTTCTGTAGATGTGCAGACAGATGATCTGAGGCCCCATATTTGCAGGCTTTCTGTAACTTGCAGAACAACCCAGGCCTTCGCTGACAGTGTAGGATTAATCCAGCCCTCATGTTAACCATCTCAGGAAAGGCTGCAAGGGGCAAGCCAAGGAAACTAAAAATACAAATTCCAGAGACACCCCTAGCAGAGGAGCCAGCTCCTTCCAGCCCTGTTCCTCCAGGTCGGCCCTGACCTCCCTATCCAACTTCAGCCTTACACTTGCCCCCGCTTAGAAATCCTCACCATAGACAAGTCCTAGTCTCACTCTTGCCCCTCCAACAGATGCCTGGTTAATTTTGCCTCAGTCAGGTCCAAGTCTCCTTCTCCTTTTAAGAGTTAAGGCAAATTAAGGGGGATCTCGACAAGTTTTCAGATGGCCCTGATCAATATATAGAGGCTTTCCAGAATTTCACTGAATAATTTGAACTCTCCTGGAGAGATGTTATGTTACTTTTGAATTAGACCCTGATAAAGACTGGGAAGCAGGCCACTCTACAAGCAGCAGAGAGATTTGGGGATGAACTTTTTATCACATATAGCATCAGGGAAGGGGGTGAAATCCTCTAACTGGAAGAGAAGCAGTACCAATGGATGACCTAAATGAGATCCCAATGACAAGACGGGAGGCTGGAAGAGGAGACACTTTCAGGTGTGCATAATGGAGGGATTACATAGGACTAAGACTAAGCCTCTCAATTATACTAAGTTATCCATGATTGACCAGGGATTTGATGAAAATCCCACTGTCTTCCTGAGAAAGCTAAGAGAGGCCTTGATAAAGCACACCTCTCTATCTTCTGATTCAGTCAAATGGAAAACTAACCCTAAAGCATAAATTTATTACTCATGTAGCCCCTAATATCAGGAGGAAGCTGCAAAAACAGGCCCTGGGACCAGATAATACTTTACAGAACCTCCTGCAAGTAGCCATGTCAGTCTTATACAATAGAGATAGGGGTGCCCAGGAGAGAGAGAGAGAGGAAATACAGAAAAGAGACAGAGGCTTTAATGGATGCCAGGCAAGCCCACAAACCCAGAATTCCCAGGGTGCACTTGTTAACTGCTACAGATGGGCCAAGCCAGGGCGTTTGAAGAAGGATTGCCCAGGCAGCATAAGGAAGCCACTTTGACCTGTCCAATCTGTCGTGGGGAAACCTGGAGGGTAGATTGTCATTGGGGACACCAGCAGTAGGATTGACAGGTCCTGGGGCTCTTCTTCTTGAGTCTGGTGTTCCAGACCATTATTATCATCCGAGAGCCCCAGATAATTCTGGAAATTGAAGGGGAAAAAAGTAGACCATCTTTAGGACACTGGGGCTAGTCTCTCAGTTCTCCTCCCCATTATGGACCCTCTCTCCTCTCTTAGTAAGACCATGAGGAACATATCAGGAAAGGCCTTTAACCTGATCTTTTTCCCAACCACTTAGTTGTAGCTGGGGAGACCTTTGGTTCACCCATGCTTTTCTAATTATGCTGGAAAGCCCAAATCCTCTGTTGGGTGGGGATATTCTGGTTCATATGGGGACCCCATCCTGATGGCCCCTGTGCAAACTTTTTGTCTGCCCCTAGTGGAGACCATTTTAAACCAAAAGTTTGGGCAACTCGAGGGAAAATTGGCAGAGCCACAACCACCATACTGGTCCAGGTCCATCTTAAGGATCTTACCTCCTTTCCTAACCAGAAACAATATCCCCTGAAACCAGAAGTCAGGAAAGGACTAGAAGCCATCATTGATAACTTGAAGAGGCAAGCCCTCCTCAAACCCTGAAATGGCCCTTGCAATACCCCAATATTGGGGGGTACAAAAACCCAAAGGGGAATGGGGACTAGTTCAGGACCTCCATATCATTAATGAGGCTGTGGTTCCAATACACCCAGTGGTTCCCAATTTGTATACCCTGCTAGCTCAAACATCTGAGGGAACTAAATGGTTCACAGTGCTGGACCTAAGGGATGCCTTCTTCTGCATACCATTACCCTCTGACTCTCAGTATTTGTTTGCATTTGAGGATCCCTCTAACCAAACCACCCTGGACGGTGTTACCTCAGAACTTCTGAGACAGCCCCCACCTGTTTGGGCAGGGATTATTGAGAGACCTCAATAATCCTCTGTCCTTTATCCTTAGTTTAAAGTTTTACAATATGTCAATGGCCTTCTTCTCTGTGCTCCAACTGAGGAAATCTCTCAGGAGGGCAGTAAGGCTTTTCTTAATTTTCTGGCTAACTGAGGATATAAGGTTTCAAAATCTAAAGCTCGTCTCTGTCACGCTTCAGTGAAGTATCTAAGCCTGGTGTTCTCAGAGGGCACAAGAGTGTTGGGTGAAGAGAAAATTAAACCCATTTTCCATTTTCCCTTCCCGCAACCCTCAAGCAACTGAGGGGATTCTTAGGCATTGCAGGATTCTGCAGACCTGGATACCTGGGTATGGTGAAATAGCTTGTCCCTTATAACACCTAAGAAAGGAGACTCAGGCAGTTAAACCTCACTGTCTAATATGGGAATCAGAGGCTAGAAAGGCCTTTGACTGAGTAAAACAAGTCTTGCTTAAGGCACGAGCCCTTAGTCTCCCCATAGGAAAAATGATTAATCTTTGTGTCGGAGAGAAAGGAAATGACAGTGGGAGTTCTAACACAGGCCTTTGGTCAGCCCAGAAGCCTGTAGGCTACCTGAGTAAGGAGTTTGATTTGGTAGCCAAAGGATGGCCAGCCTGTCTCTGGGCAATCACAGCAGTGGCCTTGCTGGTACCAGAGGCTACTAAGTTAACCATGGAGAATAATTTAACTGTCTATACCTCACATAATGTGGCAGGACTACTATCTTTTAAGGGGAGTCTCTGGCTATCAGACAACTGCCTCCTTGGGTATCAAGCTCTGTTATTAGAAGGATCTGCAGTCCAATTAAAAACCTGTCGCTCCCTAAATCCAGCCACCTTCCTCCCAGAGGAAGCTGAGGAACCTGAACATGACTGTGAACAAATAGCACAAACCTATGCAGCCAGAGAGAACCTCAAGGAAACCCCCTTAGAGATCTCAGACTGGATTCTCTTTACAGATAGGAGTTCTTTTGTAGAATAAGAAACCCATAAAGTAGGGTATGCAATAGTTACCCTGAGTGATTTTGTTGAGAGTGCACATCTCTTCTCTGGCAAAAGTGCAGAACTGGCTGAAAAAATTGTTCTCATGAGGGTGCTTGAATTAAGCAAAGGAAAAACAGTTAACATTTATACAGATTCTAGGTATGCTTTCCTTGTCCTCCATGCCCATACCACTATCTGGAAAGAGACGAACTTCCTTACAGCTAATGGGTCTCCCATTAAATACCATTAGGAAATTTACAGACTATCATCCTCAGCTTTCCTCCCATGGAAAGTGGCAGTAATAAATTGTAGAGGCCACCAAAGAGGGATGGATGAAATAGCCAAGAGAAATAGGCTGGCAGACCAAGGAGCTAAATCCATCAGTAAGGGGGGCCCAGGTCTCTGACCCACTTGAAGCCCCACTGATCTGGGAGGGACCCATAAGAGAAATAAAACCTCAATATTCTCCTGTGGAAATATAATGGGCCACCTCTTGGGGAAACATCCTTCAGTCCCCAGGATAGCTACAATCAGACAATGGCAAGCTTCATATACCAGCTGCCAACCAATGGTAAACTCTTAAAAGCCTTCACCAGTCCTTCTACCTAGGTAAGAATAAAGCTTATCAACTCTCTCAGAGATTGTTCTCAGGCAAAAACCTTATACAAACAATTAAACAGGTCGATAATGCTTGTGAGACCTGCTTTAAAAACAATCCTCTTAATTGATGGCTTCTTCCCTCAGGAACCCAGAGGACAAAGGCTACCTTTTGGCAAATGGATTTCACTCATATGCCAAAAGCAAGAGGCATCCAGAATCTCCTAGTATGGATAGATGCTTTCATTAACTGGGTAGAAGAATTTCCATGTTGGACAGAGAAAACCTCTGAGGTGATAAAAGTACTAATCAATGAGATAATTCCTCACTTTGGACTCCCTAAGTGCCTCCCGAGTGATAATGGCTCTTTGTTCAAGGTGACTGTCACCTAGGGGGTCTCAAAAGCACTAGGTATACAGTACCATCTTTTTTGTGCCTGGAGACCACAGTCCTTAGGAAAGGTAGAAAAGACAAATGATATTATCAAAAGGTACCTCAGGAAACTCTCAGGAAACTCGTCTCTGCTGGACTACCCTTCTCCCCTTATCCCTGCTATGTATTAGAAACACTCCTTCAAAGCTGGGTTTGAGTCTCTTTGAGAAACTCTCAGGAAACTCATCTCTGCTGGACTACCCTTCTCCCCATATCCTTGCTACATATTAGAAACACTCCTTCAAAGCTGGGTTTGAGTCTCTTTGAAATGATGTATGGACAGCCTTTTCTCACCAATTATTTCTTTCTAGACCAAGAAACCTCTGATTTAATTAAATACATAACCTCGTTGGCCCATTTCCAACAGAAACTGCAACAATTGTCAGAGGCCCAATCCCATGAACCAGGGCGACCTCTATTATTAACTTAGGGTCCCTAGTGCTAGTAAAGGCATTTCCTTCCTTTTCTTCCTCTATAGGCCTAGGTTGAGAGGGACCTTACACTTTTCTTCTTTCTACTCTTAGGGCAGTGAAGGTCACAGAAATAGACTCTTGAATTCATTATACCTGAGTAAAGGCCTGGGAAGGTGATGGAGTCACCGCCGTTGACCCAGAAGAGCACCCAAAGTACCAATGTGAAGAGATCATGGACCTCAAGCTAAAAATCACAAAAGATAAGTGTTATGAATTTAACTTCCATGGATATCCTCCTTATAGTGTTGCCTATGCTTGCTGTTCTTACCTTTGTTCTGTTCTATACCATGGGGCACAATAGTGTTTTTAGAATAATTACCATTCTTATTCTGTACACTTCTTATTTCTGTAATCTTTGGCACTAGATTCTTTCCTTGTATAATACACATTTAACGCATGCACACTTAACCTTACAAAACTTGTTTTTTTTTTTCTCTCTCACATAGAGGCCATCAAACTCCAAACAGTCAGGCAATCTGACCCTCAGACGATGGTTCCCCTTTGCCAGGGACTCTTAGATAGACCTCTAGGAAGAATCTGACTGCCATTTTCCCCAAAACTATGCCCACTGTCAACAAGAAGTAGCTAAGATTGGTCATCGCCCATATTCTAGCAGCAGTTAGATGTGCCTACTCAGAGGGGGAAATGATATGGACAGGAGACAGGGAAATACTGGGTAGAAGAGGGCAGTACCCTGGCAAAGGCCTAACTCTCAAGCCTGGAGACCCATGGCCCTAAGTAGGAACAGGCATTTCTGTTTTTGCACCCAAAATATTGCCTTTTGGCCCACCATGCCCCCCCTTATCCTCAACCCATATAAACCCCAAACACCAGGCTTCAGAAGCAGATGAGACGAGACAAGGAGACAAACAAGACAAATGGCAGAATGGTGTGGCAGAGAGAGAGAGAGAAGAAAAGGAATGACTGAACAGCAAGAGGAGTTCAGCTGGGGGCAATCGAAGAGGAGTTTGGCCAATGTATGGCCAAAACTCCAGGGGAAGGTCATCCTCTTACTCTTTCCCCCTTCCAGTTCTCCATCCATCCCACTGAGAACCACTTCAATAACTACACATTCACCCTTCAAGCTCATGTGTGACCTGATTCTTCTGGGATGCTGGACAAGAGCTCGGGATGCAGAAAGCTGTCACACTGGCCGTTTGCCCTTGTGGGTAGGCAGAGGATTCACTGAGCTGGTTAACACTTAAGCCCTCTGCAGATGGCAAGGCTAAAAGAGCATTGTAACACTGGGGCTGCAGGCACCCACCCCTGGACACTACCATGGGGCTGGAGACCAAAGCACACATTCTGGCTCCTGCAACTGCTCATCTCCATGCTCACCCTCCTGTCAGGGGTTTGAGCAGTGGTGGCTTGCTTGGTGGCAGCCAAACAGGCAAGCCACACCCCTGTCACACTTCCTGTGAGGAGGATCAGGGAAGTCTCTCATTTTAATATGATATGGTTTGGTTGTGTCCCCACCCAAATCTCATCTTGAATTGTAACTCCCACTATTCCCACTTGTCATGAGAGGAACCCGGTGGGAGGTGACTGAATTATAGGGGTGAGCTTTTCCTGTGCTGTTCTCATGACAGCAAATGAGTCTTATGAGATCTGATGGTTTTAAAAATGGGAGCTCTCTTCTCTTTTCTGTCACCATCTGAGATGTGCCTTTCACCTCCCACCATGATTGTGGGGCCTCCCCATGCCATGTGGAACTGTAAGTTCAATAAAATTCTTTCTTTTGTAAATTGCCCAGACTCAGGTATGTTTTTATCAGCAGCATGAGAACAGATTAATACAGTAAATTTGTACCAGGAGTGGGGTGCTGCTGAAAAGATAACCTGAAAATGTGGAAGTGACTTTGGAACTGGGTAACAGGCAGAGGTTGAAACAGTTTGGAGGGTCCAGAAGAAGACAGAAAAATGTGGGAAAGTTTGGAACTCTCTAGAGACTTATTGAATGGCTTAGCCCCAAATGTTGATAATGATATGGACAATAGAATTCAGGCTGAGTTGGTCTCAGTTGGAGATGAGGAACTCTTTGGGAACTGGAGCAAAGGTGATTCTTGTTATGTTTTAGCAAAGAGACTGGTGACATTTTGCTCCTGCCCTAGAGATCTGTGGAACTTTGAACTCAAGAGAGATGATTTAGAATATCTAATGCAAGAAATTTCTAAGCAGCAAAGCATTCAAGATGTGACTTGCATGGTGTTAAAGAAATTCAATTTTAAAAGGGAAACAAAGCATGAAAGTTTGGAAAATATGTAGCCTGACAATGTGATAAAAAAGAAAATCCAATTTTTTGAGGAGAAATTAAATTTGGCTGCAGAAATTTGAATAAGTAATAAGGGATCAAGTGTTATTCACCCAGACAATGGGGAATATATCTCCAGGGCATGTCAGAGACTTTTGGGTGGAAGCCCCAAGTCTTGGAAGCTTTAACTTCCAAGCTGTTGAGCCTGAGAGTGCGCAAAAGTCAAGAACTGAGGGTTGAGAACCTCCACCTAGATTTCAGAGAATGTATGGAAGTGCATGGATGCCCAGGCAGAAGTTTGCTGCAGCAGTGGGGCCCTCATAGAGAACTTCTGCTAGGGCATTGCAGAAGAGTAATGTGTGGTCAGAGTCCCCACACAGAGTTTCTACTGGAGCACCACCTAGTGGAGCTGTGGGAAGAGGGCCACCATCCTCCAGACCCCAGAAAGGTAGATCCACTGACAGCTTGAGCTGTGCACCTGGAAAACCCACAGACACTCAAGGTCAGTTTGTGAAAGCAGCCAGGAGTGGGGATATACCCTGCAAAGCCACAGTGACAGAGCTGCCCAAGACGATGGGAACCCATCTCTTGCATCACCATGACCTGGATGTGAGACATGGAGTCAAAGGAGATCATTTTGGAGCTTTAAGATTTGACTGCCCTGTGGGATTTCAGACTTGCATGGGGCCTGTAACCCCTTTATTTTGGCCATTTTCTCCCACTTGGAATGGCTGTAAATTTACCCAACACCTGTATCCCCATTTTACCTAGGAAGTAGCTAATTTGCTTTTGATTTTACAGGCTCATAGTCAGAAGGGACTTGCCTTGTTTCAGATGAGATGTTGGACTGTGGACTTTTTGAGTTAATGCTGAAATGAGTTAAGACTTTGGAGAACTGTTGGGAAGGCATAATTGGTTTTGAAATGTGAGGAAATAAAGTTTGGGAGGGGCCAGGGTTGGAATGATATGATTTGGCTGTGTCCTCACCCACATCTCATTTTGAATTGTAACTCCCACTATTCCCATGTATCATGTATGAAACCCGGTGGGAGGTGGTTGAATTACAGGGGCAAGTCTTTCCTATGCAGTTCTTGTGATAGTGAATGAGTCTCATGAGACCTCATGTTTTTAAAAATGGAGGTCTCCCTGCACAAGCTCTCTTCCATTGTCTACCACCATGTGATATGCACCTTTAACCTTCTGCCATAATTGTGAGGCTTCCCCAGCCATGTGAAACTGTAAGTCCAGTAAACCTCTTTCTTTTGTAAATTGCCCAGTCTTGGGTATCTCTTTATCAGCAGCATGAAAATGTACTAATACACAATAGTACCCAACAGCTAGTGTTTCTAACCCTTACCCCAATTGCTCCTTCCCCCTAGTAGTCCCCAGTGTCTATTGTTCTTGTCTTTGTGTCTCTGTGTATTTAGTGTTTAGCTCCTACTTATACATGATAACATGTGGTATTTGCTTTTCTGTTTCCACGTTAATTCACTTAGGATAATGGCATCTAGCTGTATCCATGTAGCTACAAAAGACTTGAATTTGTTCATTTTTATGACTGTGTGGTATTCCATGGTGTATACATACCATGTTTTCTTTATCCAATCCACCATTGATGTGCACTTAGGTTGATTCTATGTTGTTGTTGTTATGAATGATGATGTAGTGAACATATGAGCACTTATGTCTTTTTGGTAGAAAACTTTATTTTCTTTTAAATATTATCCAGTTATGGGATTACTAGGTCAAATGATAGTTCTGTTTTAAGTTCTTTCAGAAATCCCCAGATTGCCTTCCACAGTGGCTGAATGGGTTTACATCCCCAACAGTGTATAAGCATTCCCTTTTCTCCACAGCCTGGCCAGCATCTATTAATTTTTGACTTGTTAATAATAGACATTCTTGCTGGTGTGAGATGGCTTTCTCATTGTGGTTTTGATTTGCATTTTTCTGATGATTAGTGCTGAGCATATTTTCATATGTTTGTTGGCTTCTTGTATGTCTTGTTTTGAGACGTGTCTGTTGATTGTTGATATCCTTGGCTCACTTTTTAATGGGGTTATTTGTTTTTGCTTGTTAAGTTGTTTAAGATACTTATACATTCTGGATATTAGATTTGTTGGATACACAGTTTGTGAATATTTTCTCCCATTCTGTAGGTTTCCCGTACATGCTTTTGATAGTTTCTTTTGCTATGCAGAAGCTGTTTAATTGAATTAGGTTACACTTGTCAAGTTTTGTTTTTGTCACAATTGCTTTTGAAGACTTAGTCATAAATTATTTCCCAAGGCTGATGTTCAGAATGATGTTTCCCAAGTTTTCTTCTAGAATTCTTTTAGTTTGAGGTATCACATTTAAATCTTTAATCCGTCTTGAGTTAGTTTTTGTGCATAGCAAAACGTAGGCGTCTAGTTTCATTTATTTGGCATATTGGTAGCCTATTATCCCAGCACCATTTATTGAATAGAAGTTCTTTCTGCATTGCTTAATTTTGTTGACTTTGTTAAAGATCAGATCTCTCTCTCTCTCTCTCTCTGTGTGTGTGTGTGTGTGTGTGTATGTGTGGCTTTCTTTCTATGTTCTCTATTCTGTTCCACTAGTCTATGTCATCGTTTTTGTAATAGTACCAGACTCTTTTTGCCACTGTTAGCCCCACAGTATGTTTTGACGGCAGGTAATGTGAAACCTCCAGCTTTGTTCTTTTGCTAAGGATTGCTTTCACTATTTGGGCTCTTTTCCAGTTTCATATGAATTTTAGAATAGTTTTTCTAATTCTGTGAAAAATGGCATTGATGGTTGATAGGAACAGCATTGAATTTGTAGATTGCTTGGGGGCAGTTTCGCCATTTTAATGATATTGATTATTCTAATCCATGAGTATGGACTGTTTTCCCATTTATTTTTGTCCTCTCTGATTTCTTTGCACAGTATTTTATAATTCTCTCTGTAGAGATATTTTATTTTATTGGTCTGATGTTTTCCTAATATTTTTATTATTTTTGGTAGCTATTGTAAATTGGATTGCATTTGTGATTTGGCTCTCAGCTTAATATTATTGGGGTTTAGAAGTGCTACTAACTTTTGTACTTTGATTTTGTTACCTAAAAATTTAGTAAATTCATTTATCAGCTCCAGGAGCCTTTTGGCAGAGTTTTTAGAGTTATCTAGATATAGAATCATATAGTCCACAAAAAGAGATAGTTTGACTTCTTCTTTTCCTATTTGGGTGCCTTTTGGTTCTTTCTCTTACCTCGTTGGTTTGCTTACGACTTTTAGAACTATCTTGAAGAGCAGTGGTGAGAATGGGCATCCTTGTCTTGTTCCAGTTCTCAAAGGGGAATGCTTTCAGTTTTTGCCCATTCATGATGTTGGCTGTGAATTTTGCATAGCTGGCATTTATTTTGAGGTATGTTGCTTTGATCCCTATTTTGTTGAGAATTTTTATTATAAAAGAAGGTAACATTTTATTGAAGGCTTTTTCTGCATCTACTGAGATCATATGGTTTTTGTTTTAAATGCTGTTTAGGTAGTGAATAACATTTTGTGATTTGCACATTTTCAACCAATCTTGCATCCAAGAATGAAGCCTACTTGATCATGGTGAATTAACTTTTGATGTGCTGTTGAATTTGGTTTGCTAGTATTTCATTGATGGTTTTGCATCTATGTTTATCAGGAATACTGGCTTGCAGTTTTCTTTTTTCATTGTGTCTTTGTCAGGTTTTTGTATCAGGCTGATACTAGTTTCATAGAATGAGTTACAGAAGAGTCCCTGTTCCTCAATTTTTCCAAATAGTTTCACTAGAATTGGCCCCAGCTCTTCTTTTTACATCTGATAGAATTTGACAGCAAATTCTTTTGGTCTGGGATTTTTTTTTTTGGTTGGTAGGTTTTTTTTAGTAGAGATTCAATTTCAAAACTTGGTATTGATTGGCTCAGGGTTTCAGTGTCTTTCTGATAAAATCCTGAGAGGCTGTATGTTCCCAGGAATTCATCCATTTTTCTCTATATTTTCTAGCTTATTTGCATGGAAGTGTTCATAATAGTCTCTGAGTATTTTTTTGTATTTCTGTGGGATTGGTTGTAATGTCACCTTTGTTCTTTCTGGTTGTGCTTATTTAGATATTCCCTCTTTTCTCTTTGTGAATCTGGCTAGCAGCCTACCAATCTTATTTATTCTTCCAAGAAACCAAATTTTGGTTTCATTAAATTTTTGCATAAATTTTGGGTCTCAATTTTGTTCAGTTCTGTTCTGATTTTAGTTATTTTTTTCTTCTGCTAGGTTTGGGATTTGTTGGCTTTTGTATTTTAAATTCCTCTAGAGGTGATGTTAGATTATTAATTTGACATCTTTCTACATATTCCTTATTGTGGAAAAATTAAATTTTAGCAGAACAGCTATGTTGGATGATTTGTTGAGTTGAATGTTAACAACTGGGGCTGATTTAAAATAACTTTTTCCCTATCACTTTTAAAGCTTCTTTTACTTCCTTATTTCTCAAGCTATAGATTAAAGGATTTAACATGGGAATAACTGTGCCATAAAATATAAAGGCCACTTTCATATTTTCCTGGGAATTATTAGAATGAGACTGCAAATACATGTAAGAGAGTGTCCCATAGAAAATGGTGACTGCGGTCAGGTGGGAAGCACATGTTGAGAAGGATTTTTTCCTTCCTGCACTAGAAGACATTTTCAGGATGGTGGCCATGATGTAGATGTAGGAAAAGATGACGACCAACCCAGTGAATATCAAGTTAGATCCCACAAAGACAACAAGTAGCATGATGTTGATGTCAACATTGGAGCATGAAAGAGCAAGAATAGGGGGAACATCACAGAAAAAGTGATTGATGCTATTGGACTTGCAGAAGGACAGTGAACATGTAAAACCTGTTTGTACAGAGGCATTTATTGAGCCCATGATGTATGAACCAGCTACCAAACGGATGCAGACTGTTCGGGACATGATTACAGTATAGTGAAGGGGCTTACAGATGGCAACATAAGGATCCACTGCCATCATAGCCAGGAGATAACAGTCACTGGTTGCAAATGTTGCATAAACTAAGAATTGTATCACACAGCCCTGAAATAACATCAAATTCTTTTCTTCTGTGAAGCTTTGGAGCATCTTGGGAGTGATAGCAGAAGTGTAACAGATATCAACAAAAGCCAAATGTTGTAGAAAAAAGTACGTGAGTGTTTGAAATCTGGAATCTGTGTTGATGAGTAAGATTATTCCACTATTACCCATTATGGAGGTCACATAGATGAGAAGGAATACAATGAAGAGGATACACCAAAACTCATGCTGGGCACCAAATCCCAGAAGATAGAATTCAGTGACTTCAGTGCTGTTTCCTAGTGTCATGGCTAGTAAAAGTCTAGAAATGACCAAGAGAAGGACCCAGAAAAGAAGGGAAATCTTTGAGATTTCTTGCAATGAAATGGCTCTATATTTCAAGTCACTTTTTTCTATTTGTATTTTTATGACAAATACAATAGTGTTATTCATTTTCAAATTTAAGAAATGTATTTATAATCATCAAGTAAAGAGTGATTTACTTGATGTAAGATGAAATGGATTCATCTTCAAAATCGAAGGAGATTGTCTTAGAAGTATCCTAACTCCTAATGTGTATAGTTCTTAGAAACATAGATTGACAATTTTCCTCTGTATTAAACAGCTATCCATATTTTTAAAGTAATGCTAAAATGTAATTTTTTACTTTTTTAGAAACTTATAATTGTTCACAGCCACTTACCATTTTAATTTTGGTTCCAGCTTTGGAAATTAATAGAATTAGAGAGAATTTTTTTGAAATGTGTTCATGGTTCACATATGTTTGAAGGCTTCAACGTGTCTTTGTATTAGTATCCCTAGACTGCATCTCTCATCTATGTGATATTCTTTACAAGCAAAATAACCTCATTATGTAATGGATGCCTGAGAAATAGCCTTACATTTTCTATTACTTTTTTTTTTCAATTCTGTAGTTGAGGAACAAGAAACAATTCTCTTCATTTTAACATCTAACAAGGACTGAAGTATAGTAAGTTCGTATAAGTTTCTTCCTAGGGTAAATTTACTGTAAAATGAAAGAAATACAGTTCTTTCAAGGAGTGTTCCTTTTATTGGGATAAACCTTTATTAGAAGAAGGTAGAATAGGCCAGAGGTCTACTTAAGCTAGAATTTTGATAGAGTAATGACATTCATCATATCAATTTGACTTCAATCATTTGGATTGAAATAAAATAATATGAAATTATGGGGATGCTTTTCAGGAGCTAACAAAAGTAGTACAAGCCCCACCCCCAATTTCATGCAGAATTTATACATTTCTATGTTTATATCGAGTTAGCGGTTGGTTGATTCAGTATGAAATATTTTATTTCATCTATGCTGAAGGTGTTTTCTAATCAAATGAGTGCTACGAAGAAAATGGCCAACTGCCCAAACATTTTTTTAAACTTTTATTTTATGTTCAGGGGTACGTGTGAAGGTTTGTTACATAGGTAAACTCACATCATGGGAGTTTTCCCAAGCATTTTAAACATGCTTAATATATGAATAGTGCTGGATTTCTCAGGCTTCATTCATAGTCAATATTGTGCAGTGGAAAGGAAATAAGCAGCCCTGGTTTTGAATTTTTGTCTCATCCATTAGTAGAAAAAAGCCTATAACTCCCTTTGGCTCTAGTTACTTCCTCTGTACAATGGGGATCACAGAACTCATCTAGAAGTTTATATTCATTCGCTTGTTTATAGTATCAGTAATATGCATATTATCTATAATATTATGTAACTTG
Organism: Homo sapiens; assembly: GCF_000001405.40. Taxonomy (NCBI): domain Eukaryota; kingdom Metazoa; phylum Chordata; class Mammalia; order Primates; family Hominidae; genus Homo; species Homo sapiens. The sequence goes on along the minus strand of NC_000011.10, from coordinate 56,987,474 downwards.
CATTGAAAATAAGTTAATGAAAACCTTCTAATAGCAAAATTAGGAAATAGAATTGTATAAATTTTAGTAGACTCATATTATTTATTAATATCTAGTCTAAAGCAGTGAGATAAATATATACTCTTATGGAGTCAAAAGAGAAAAGCATGTTGTAGAAAAATATGTAAATTGTGGACTCCTTGAAAAAACTAAACTCTCTGTCACTCCTACTGTCTCTAGCTTTCATTCTTTTTTATTTTTGGAGATGGAATCTTGCCCTGTTGCCCAGGCTGGAGTGCAGTGGTGCCATCTCAGCACACTGCAACCTCTGCCTCCCAGGTTCAAGCAATTTTCCTGCCCCAGCCTCCCGAGCTGGGATTACAGGTGCATGCTGCATGCCTAGCTAATTTTTTGTATCTTTAGTAGAGACGGGGCTTCACCATGTTGGCCAGGCTGGTCTCGAACTCCTGACCTTAGGTGATCCGCCCACCTTGGCCTCCCAAAGTGCTGGGATTACAGGCATGAGCCACTGCACCTGGCTGCTTTCATTCTTTTTATTTATTTCTGGATAAATGCCAGAAAGTGTGCACATCAATTCAAGTATAGTTATTCATGGGTGTGGCATTAGGTGAACTAGAACATTATTTTCTAAACTTCTAAACTTTCACTTTTATAAGAGGAATTCATGACCTTTATTGTTTGAAAAACCGAGAAAATTGTTTATGTTTTATGTGGTCATTGATACGTTAAAGTTGTCTGCCATTTTTTTAAATTAAGTGTTCATTTTCTTTTTTGTTTATCTCTTTTCTTTTTCCAGCGTTTCTGTGGGTCACTTGAACTTTTTAAAAATAATCCCATTATGGTGCATCTACAGTGATTTTGTAATATAGCGTTATTATTAGATATCTTTGTATAGTTTTTTAGTGGGTTCTCTAGGTGTTACATTATATGAGCATACTTTATTTTATTTTGCTTCACAGATATTGCATTTTTAAAAAATAATTTAATGGTTTGTGGTAATCCTGCATTAAACAAGCCTATTAGCACCATTTTCCAGTAGCATGTGCTCATTTAATTTCTTTGTGTTGACATTTTTTAGCAATAAAGTATTTTAAATAAAGGCATATGCTTTTTTAGACATAATGATATTGCACATTTAATAGACTACAGCACAGTATAAACATAACTTTTGTATGCATTGGGAAACCAAAATATTTGTGTGACTTGCTTTGTTGTGATAGTCACTTAATTGAGGTGGTCTGGAACTGAACTCACAATCTCTCTGAGATATGCCTGTATAATCATAACTTGTGTCCATTTTACCAGTTTTAGTGAAGTGTGGCAACCTTACATCCTTTTTTGTTTCTTTACTGTCTCCCACTTATAATGTAATTGTTGTAACTATTTCCTTCACGTACACTGAGAACAACCTTAGGCAGTATTATAATTTTTGCTTCAACTCTCAAATATAATTTTAAAAACTCAAGAGAGAAGGAAAGTCTGTTGTATTTTACCCTTTCTACTTTCTTAACCTTCTGATGTTTCATGTTTCTTTCAGTTAATAACAATTAAAAGAAAGAATATGGCAGAGTGCATAGAAAAATGATGCAATTATATTGTGTACAAGAAACTCTCTTCAAGATACATATAGGTTTGAAATAAAGGGGAGCAAGAAATATATCATGCAGACATTAATCAAAAGAAAGAAAGTATGTCTATAGAAATATTAAAGTATATTTCACAGCAAAGAAAATTACCAAGGACAAAGAAGAATATTACATAATAATAAAAATGTTAATCTATCAAGAAGAAATAGCAATCCTAAATGTGTAGGCACCAAACAAGTAAACTATAATATATATAAAGGAAAAACTGAAAAAATTGAATTGCCATAAAGGTCAATCTATAATTATAACTGGGGAATTCAATATTCCTTTCTCAGAAATTTACTGCATTAGACAGAAAATCAGCAAAGATATAGAAGAACTCAACACCGTAAGCCAACAGGATATCATTGATATTTATAGAAAGGTCCAACTCACATGAATACAATACATATTTTTTCCAGCACTTGCAGAACATGTATCAAGACAGATTGTATATAATCTCTGTAATTTTAGAAGAATTGAATTCACACAGTTTGTGCTCCTGACCACAATGCAATTGAACCAGCAATCTCTGGCTGCTAGAAAGAGAAGGGAACCAGGGATCCCTGCTCGCGTCTTTCTAGATGGGTAGCCATTCATCTTTAGTCTGTACCCCTTTCAAATGCATCCTGAACCCTTGGGACTCCTTTAAAAAATGCCTTCTTTTTCCTTTCTTCTCCTTGGTTTTCTCTTCACTAATAGGTAATTGTGTCTCTGTACTATAGGACACTCCCCTCAGATGCATCCTCCAAACTGAAAAGTTAATTTCCCAAACCTTAAACTGGCTGTTTTAGGATTGGGCTCAGGGGAAGGGAACCCAGACGCCCAGCATGTCAGCAAAAGTGAAAAGTTTTCTCGCAGCTGGGCTTTTGGCCTCCCTCTCCCTGTGTAAACTGGTAAAAGGTCTCGGAATTTTTGAGCTGTCCTTACCCCTCCCCTTGTTTCACTTTGATACATGTTTTCTAATAACCCGGTTTGTCTGTTCTTGCCTTCAGGCCATCAAACACCAAACAGTAATGCAACTGGAGTCTCAGACGATGGCCCCTTCTGCCAGGAACCCTTAAATAGGGAAGCTCTTATTGCTGTTTCCCCAAAATAGAGGCCCCTGTCAGCAGGAAGCAGTTAAGATTGGTCTTCGTCCTTATCCTTAATCTAAGGGCAGTTAGATGTACTTCTTTAGAGGGGGCAATGAGACAGCCAGGTGGGAGGCGGCCCTCAGAGAAACTCCAGCCCCCCTGCCCACTGAGGGAGAATCTCAGGAAGTTCACGATGTCTGCAGCAGGGAGGAGCCTGGCTCCTCCTCTTCCTGTGTGGAAGCTGGGATTTGAACGGTGGGTGGGAAGTGCTCTAGCAGGGACTCTGGCGTCGCGAGAATCCCTGTTTCCCCCTTTTCTTCCTTTTCACCCAATAAAACCATGTCTCACTCACCATTGCAATTGTCTGCGAGCCTGAATTTTTGTGATGGTGGGACAAAGAACCCCATCTTTAACTGAACTAAGGAAAAGTCCTGCAACACTACAGACATCTCTACACATATTAATTTGACAACTGAAATGAATCAATTAATTGAAATGTATAAACTAACCTATATGAAAAAAATGATAATTTGAATAGCCCTACAGCCATGAAGAACTGAATTTATAATGTAAAAACTTTCTTTCAACAATATCACTGGAAAATTCACTAAATGTATAAAAAAGAATTAACTTCAACTCTGTACAATTTCTTTCAGAAAACAGATGTAAAAGAACATTTCCCAGCTTACTCTATGAATTCAATATTACCTTATTAGCAAAAGCGGACAAAATAGCAAACAAACAAACAAAAAACCACAGCCCAATATCTTTAATAAATATAAATGCAAAATCTGTAACAAAATATTGGCAAGTATAATTCAGCTATGTATATAAAATTATACACAATGACCAAGTGGAGTATATTACAGGTCTAAAAGAGAAAAATCACCAGATAATATAAACTAATGAAGAAAAGGAATTTGACAAAATTTAACATCTACTTATTTAAAAAAATCCCTGAAAACTAGGAAAAGAGGGCAATTTCCTCAACCTGCTGAAGAGCATCTACAGAAAAATCTATAGTTAAAATCCCACTTAATAGTTATAGACTGAATGCTTGCCTCTAAAATTGGGAACAGGCAAGGATACTCATTCTCTTCAGTGCTATTCAACATCGTTTGGGAAGTTCTAGTCAGAGGAAAAGATGTAGAGGCATAAAAAGTGATACAGATCAGAAAGGAAGAAATAAATCTGTCGTTGTAGATGATACGATAGTTTATGTAGAAGAATCCAAGAACCTACCAAAAACTTCTAAAAGTAATAAGTTCAGAAAAGTTGCAGAATACAAGATAGTTCTAAAAAAATCAACACTATTACCGTATTAGCAGTGAACATGTAGAAGCTGGGATAAATACAACACCATTGATAAAAGTTCAAAAAATGAAATACTTAGGTATAAATCTAACAAAACCAATATAGGACTTGATGATGAAAATTACAATAAGCTGATGAAAGAAATCAAAGAAGATCTAAATAAATACATCTATTGAGTTTAGGAGTTAGAAGACTCAATATAGTGGTGTCAATTTTTCCTAAATTGATATATAGGTTTAACACAACTGCAATCAAAATCTCAGCATAATATTTTTGGCATGTGGACAAAAATATTCTAAATTTATAGGGGAGAGCAAAGGAGTTAGAATAGCTAATACAATTCGGAAAAAGAAGAAAAATAATGAAATGAATCACTTTACCTAACATCAAGATTTATTATATATCCACAGTAATTAATACTGTGGTATTGGTGGAATGATAGATACAAAGATGGAGCAAAATAGTGAATTCACAGATTCACGCAAGTGCAGCCATTTGATTTTTGAGCAGAGTCAAAAGCTTTTTTAATAAATAATGCTGAAACAATTAGATATTCATAGGCAAAAAAAGAACCCCTACCTAAACCTCATACCTTATATGAAAATTAACTCAAAATGAATCATAGCTTTAAATGTAAAATAGAAAACCTTAAAACTCTTAGAGAGTAATCTAAGACAAAATCTTCAGGGCAAAATTTTTAGGATAGGTTTTGTGAAGAGTTCTTAGATATGACATCAAAAGCACTATCCAAAAAGAAAAAATTTCCACAATTGGATGTCATTAAAATTAAACTTTTGCTCTGTTAAAGACCTAGTTAAGAGGATGAAAAAGCATGCTACAGACTGGAGGAAAACATTTTCAAATACAGTATCTGATAAAGAACATGTATTTAGAAAATATAAGAACTTTCAAACTAAAAAAAAAAATTAAATTAGAAAACAAGTGGAAGAAACGAATAGACATTTTATTAAAAAAGGCTATATGAGTTGTGAATAAGCACACGAAAAGATGTCCAACATCATTAACAATTTGGGAAATCCAAAATAAGAACAAGATGAGATATCACTACACTACAAATGACATATCACTACAGAATGGCTAAAATGAAAAAAAAGAAAAACAGTGACAATAACAAATGCTGGAAAGATGCAGAGTAACTGGATCACTCATACATTGCTGATGAAAATGGTAGTCACTCTGGAAAAAAGTTTAGCAGTTGTGTAAAAAGCTGCTAGACATACACGTACCATACAACCCAGTCTTTGGACTTGTAGGCAATTATATTTGCGTAAAACATATTCACACAAAAAGCTGTACAACAGTTTTCATATCATTTTCATTTGTAGTTGCCCAAAACTGTAAACAATCAAGTGCCTTACAATAAATGAATGGTTTAAAATATTGTGGTACATCCATGCTATGACATATTACTCAAAATAAAGAGGAATAAACTGTTGATACATGCAACAACTTAGATGACTCTCAAGGGCATTATTGTGAGTGTAAAAAAGCCAACATCAAAGATCATACACTATATGATTTCATTTACAAAACATTATCAATATGATAAAATTGCAGAAATAGAGAATAGATTGGTGATTGCCAGAGGTTGTAGTGGTAAGGGGAGGGGTGTGGTGTGACCAGAAGGGGTAGCACATAGCAGACATGTAGAATCTGAGCTCTGTGATCAAGCAAGGCTGTATCTTCACTGCAGTGGTAGCTAAACAAGTATACATACATATGAAATGACATAAAGCTATACACAACTGTCCCAGTATTAAAATCTTGTTTCGATGTCATGTTATAATTGTGTAAAACTGTGCCCTTGAGGAAAAAGTAGGTGAAGGATATATGGGACCTCTCCTTATTATCTTTGGAATTTCCTGTGAATCTATAAGTATTTCAAAATAAAAAGTTAAAAAAATGAAGAAGAAAAAGTAAAGTCTATTGTGCAGTGATGTGAGATTTAAGTGAGCAAATTTATGTAAATTTCTCAGCACAGGGCTGGGCATGGAAAGTATGCCCAGCAAATGACTTTAATAACAATGCAAATAATACATTAAAGGTATATTATATTAATTGGTTAATTGAGCAATCGATTGATTTATTCAATCATTTGTTCATTCATGTTCTTTCCCAGGTAATACTCAGGCTGAACCAAATCCATCCCTTTATTTCCAGTAAATTACCAGGGATGAAGTAATTCCTCCTGGTTTTGAGGGAAAACATGCTGGGACTTTGGCTAATCTTTTCTTCCAAAATTTCCTGCATGTACTGGCATGATACATGTCAGATTTTGAAAAAAATGCTATTTGCTTTGTTTTACTTACTTTGAGGTTGCCTACAGGTTCTCTTTCTGCAACTGGCACTGATTGCTGACCAGGGTCTCTCTTTTCAGTTCCTCCTCATCAGCGAGTATATAGCTGGGGTATAAGAGATCAATACCCACTTCCTGGAGAACCTGAGGTTCCAGGGGCTCAGACGTAATGGGAAAAACAATGTTTGCTAGTTATTTTCTGCTGAAGCGAAGTTAAGCTCTCCAGGGGGAAGAAAATTCTTGTTTTAATGCCGTCAGGGACTTTTTGCTTTCATTTTTGAGAACTGCCCTGCTATTGACACTTTGCTTTTAACCTTCTTCCCTCTCTCCCTTTTATTCTTCCTTCTTTTCTCCCGTGTTTTTTTTTTTTCCATTTCTTCCTGCTTTTATTTCTTCTTACCCTCACCTTCTCTTTTCTTCAAGGGTGAGGGATGAATAACAAAACATCTATATGGTAAAAAATTCAGAAGTATGAAAGTGTATAGAGTACAAACCATGTCCCCATCCCCATCCATCTATTAATTTCTTTTCTTTTCTTTCCCTTTTTTTTTTTTTTGAGACAGAGTTTCACTCTTGTTGCCCAGGCTGCAGTGCAATGGCATGATATTGGCTCACCTCAACCTCTGCCTTCCGGGTTCAAGAGATTCTCCTGCTTCAGCCTCCCAAGTAGCTCGGATTACAGGCATGCGCTACCATGCCTGGCTAATTTTTTAATTTTAGTAGAGATGGGGTTTCTCCATGTTGATCAGGCTGGTCTCGAACTCCCGACTTCAGGTGATCTGCCCGCCTCAGCCTCCCAAAGTGCTGAGATTACAGGCATGAGCCACTGCACCCAGCCTATTAATTTCTAATCTTCAGTTTCTTTCCCTTTAGATTACCACTGTTACAAGCTCTTGTTATTCTTCCAGATATACAAGTCTTGCATTGCATTTGAAAACATATTAAATTCATATTCTTTGTTTTCCCCTGCAACAAAAGATAATGTATTATTCACATTGCTCAGCTTTCATTTTTCCTAATATTTTTGGGTGATTTGTCTCCATCAGTACGAGAAGAGAAGCCTCACTCTTTTTAATGGTTGTATTATATTTTGCTGAACAGTTGCATTCATTATTCTGTTTAATCAGACTCTTTCCCCCATCCATTGGTTGACATTTAGGTTGTTTTCAATCTTTTACTAATATAAACAATGTTACTGTAAATATTATTGTGAATACATCTGTAGGATTAATAGGTATTTTGGAGAGAATACTGAGTAAATGGTATAATAATGATAACTTTTGATACTTATTGCCCAGCTACCCTCCAGAGGCTCTTCCAATTTATACCACTTCTACCAAATCTAGTGACTGTTTCTCTAAATTCTACCAGACTGTGACAAAACTTTATCAAATTTTGCTTTTTTTTTTTTTTTGAGACAAAGTCTAGCTCTGAGCCCAGGCTTGAGTTCAGTGGTGTGATCTCTGCTCACAGCAGCCTCTGCCTCCCGGGTTCAAGGGATTCTCCTGGCTCAGCCTCCCAAATAGCTGGGACTACAGGCATGTGCCTCCATGTCTGGCTAATTTTTGTATTTTTAGTAGGGACTGGGTTTCAACATATTGGCCAGGCTGGTCCCGAACTCCTAACCTCAAGTGATCCACTTGCCTCAGCCTCCCAAAGTGTGAGATTACAGGCATGAGCCACTGTGCCTGGCTAAAATTTGCTATTTGTATAGGTGAAAAATAATATATTTGGTTTGGCCTTTTCTCATATGAGCTGGATTGGGTATCTTCATATTTCTCAGCACAATCAATTTTTCATTTCATGTGAATTATCTGTTATATATGTTGCCCTCTGAAAAAGTGTTTTACTTTAAAATTGATATTTTGAATTGCCCTTTTTGCCTCATTAAAAAGAATGAGACACTATTTTCTATTATACACAATATTGCTATAAATTTTATTGTACATGTTACTAGGTACAATTATTTTTCATGAATATTGCACTAGTTTCCTCTTATTGCTTCTGTAACAAACTACTACAGGGTAATTGCCACTTCCTCTTCCCCAGGCCCAAAATTTTCTGGAGAAAGACATACAAAACTTGAGGGGTTTTTTTTTTTTGATTACTGAGCACTTCAGAAATTAAGATTGATGGAATTTAGCTATAAAATTTAATTATAAGTGTTAGCTGTTCTAGCTAATCTTTCTAATCCACACTGTACCACTGAAAATGGAATTTTATTGAATTAACTAAAGGGGCAATCTGTCATTTCTTTTGCTTTGGAATAGGGCTAGTCTCTTAAAGAAGTTCCCTTTCATATTATTGACTCCTGAATGACCTGATTCTGGGGGTGATAGCAGTGGTTGGGTTAGTACACAGTCTCCCTGAGGATGTTTAATGTAAAGTCACAGCCTGTTTTATACAGAAAGAACAGTTTCTTAGAAAGCACTCAGCTTTCTGAATATTTTGGAATTTTATTTTAATTAAACATATCATAACAATGTGCAGAGAATTGGATTAGTCATCACCCTGTTTCATGACACACTGTTGCCATTGGTCCATGCACAACATTATTTAATATTAATTACATAATAATTTATTAAGTAGATAATCTAGTCCAATGACTCAAAAATTATCTATAAGATATACCTACCAATGTACTCCTTCCCTGTATTGTGCACCTGCTTAGCCTCTTCCTTATCTGCAAATGGCAACATTCACAGAATGTTTCTTTGTGTTCTTTTATTTTTTGATTTATAGCTTTACATAAACACACACACACACACACACACACACACAGAGACATGCAAACCATATGCTTTCTAGTTTGCCTGTTACTGAAGTTAATAAAAAATTTCCTTCTATTTTATTGTGTGATGTTTATTTTTACTCAACAGTACTAAAATTTATCTGTCGTGTCATAGTTTCCCTGCTGCATAATATTCCATCATTTGATTAAAATGTAATTAAATTTATCCCTTCACCAGTATAGCAGCTGTGTTAATGAATTTGTATACCTCTTTCAACTAGTATAAATCACCAAGGATCTCAGCTTCTTACTTTGAATTCCCTTGTAGTAGTTTTTCAAGGGGATGTGAAAATGACTGTGTGCAGTATGGATTCTAAGGTAGACCCATATCTGAGAAACACAGGACTCCTTTGTCAGCCCATTTTGGCTCAAGGATTTCTCAGTAAGTTTGCCAAATCATCTTTCTGCTTCATGACATTCTCACATGCTTCTTCCCAATCTTCTCTCCCTCTCTTCTTGACTTGGAGTCAAACTTGCATCACTCTTAGCTTTTCCCATTGTCCTCCCTATTTCCTTTTACATAGGCATCCCCCTAACAAAATGTTTGCATGTGTAATCCCATCTTGGTGTCTGCTTCTTAGAGGATTTAGACGAAAACATTCTACCAGTGGATGTTTGGGTAGTTCCCAGATTTTGCTACTATACACAATATTGCTATACATTTTATTGTACATGTTACTTGGTACAATTATTTTTCATGAAGTTTGCACTAGTTTTCTGTTTCTATTGCTTCTGTAACAAACTAGCACAGGGTACTTGCTACTTCCTCTTTCTCAGGTCCAATCATATCATCACTAAAGTGGAGCGGAGTGTTGTTCTACAAGTTTTTTAATGGTCAAGGTCCAATAGGCCACACTGTGGCTCAGGAGAGTTCAGATAGCCCTGGGAATGATTGGGAATGTTTCGTGATATCTATGCTAAGAGAATGTATCTTGCTTCTGAACTTCCTTCCTGATACTTGTGGAAAAGAATGTATTTCCAATTTAGTGTCAGTGCATAGTACTAGAAGCTGTTTTTTCCAGTAGCAATTGCACATCTGGTACAGTGACTGAGATTGGTGCTTCCATTTGGCTAAGGTTGTGGTAGTCAATTTTCTGCCAGTATCTGTTTGGATTTTGTAGGTCCTGGACTGGTGAGTTAAATGAGGATATGATGAGGACCACCACCTTATTTATTTATTTATTTATTTATTTATTTTTACTCTAAGAACATAAGATTGCTTTAATTCCAGAAAACCAATTACATACATTGACATATGGTTAACTGTTACCATATCAAGGGATGAAAACCATATGATTGTTCCAGCAGATACAGAAAAAGATTTACTAAAAGTCAACATAAATTTATTATGCAAAGCTCTTAGCAAACTAAGAATAGACAGGAATCTATTTAACCTCAATAAATATCATCAATTAAAACTACAGCAAATATCATGCTTAAAAATGTAATGTGGAAAGCATCCCTTTCAGGTTAGACAGGAGTAAAGTAACCTTATAATTTATCCAAAAATTTAAGTCTTAGAGAATTGCACTATTCAACTCCATTCCACACCACCTGGCATAATTCTGATTTACGATTATGTTTACTATTCCTCAAAATCACTTTCCCTTTTACTGTAGTGGTAGGTGACCATTATCTTCTGCCTCATAGAAGATCGAGCATCAATATCTTTGGCAGTAGGATATTACAGCTCCAATATCCTTGAAAGCAGTGTGACTTCTTTCTTAACTGTGCTAATAAGTTATTTATGCAAAGAATCATGCCAGATGTTAAGGATTAATTCATAAAATATGTAGTTTTCTTGGTGGGGAATGATGGAGACACGACACATGCATCCACTGACAAAATTGCCCACTACTACTCTGGGTTAAGTGATAGCTCTGCCCGCATTCTTCTTGGTGTCTATAATTCCTGTATACCATTAGATATTCTGCCTTTGTATCTTCTGTGACACATACATACAAATAAAAAGAAAACATTATTAATAAAAACCCAGCAATTCTTGGAGATCCCTGATAGCTTGCTCAAGCTACCAAGCTGGTTTCACATGTTTTATTCCATAAACTGTGGATTGAAAAATTGATAACGCTGACACTGAGGAACTGAGAGAATCGACCTGGTCACCTGTATCCTGTTGCTCTTTTATTCTACACTTCTGCATATAAAATGACAGACATGTATTTTCTGTGTGTTTATTTACAACAACATTCTTCGATGTTGTTACAAGTAGTTGCTTCACCCAGTAAGCTTGGCAAAGCTCTTGTTGCTGCTTCACTTTTCAACCCAGAAACAGCTGCACTGGACTGCAGCTGACTCCTCTCAACTCTACTGAGAGTCCTCTGTCTAGATTTCTGATCTTTCCTTTCTGCTTTCTTTTGTCCATTTATTCCTTCAACATATGTTTGTTTGTTTGTTTATTTATTTATTTATTTAATTAATTTACTCTTTTAGACAGAGTCTCGCTCTGTGGTCCAGGCTGGAGTGCAGTGACAATCTTGGCTCACTGCAACCTCTGCCTCCCTGGCTCAAGTGATCCTCCTGCATCAGACTCCTGAGTAGCTGGGACTACAGGCACACACCACCATGCCTGGCTAATTTTTTGTATTTTTAGTAGAGACAGGTTTTCATCATATTGGCTAGGCTGATCTCAAACTCCTGACCTCAGGCGATTCACCCACCTCAACCTCCTAAAGTGCTGGCATTACAGGTGTGAGCCACCATGTCCAGCCAACAAATGTTTATTGATCAACTACAGTGTGCTAAATATGCTGGATGTTGGGGATCCAATGCTGAGCAAGTTGGATTGCTCACCTTTATGTTCTGTGTTGGTGGGAATGTTCATCTTTCCTCGTGGCAGGATGGATCACACCATCTTTCAGAGCCAATAAAGAAAAAAATTAACCATCAGATAGCAAGAAAGATACTACAACATTTCCTGTTTAATCAGGCATCTCCCTAAACTATCTTTACAGAGAGAGTGTTTTCATTTAATTTCTTTTTGCTGTAATGGTGAAGTCAGAAACTTTAAAACTGTGTATTGTCAATATTTCCTGTGAAGCATTTTTCAGCTCCAGGAAATATTTCTGTTATATTTTCCAAAATGTAAGAGCTTATCTATGGAAAGAAGTGCATTGGTTTATGATGTAGATATGTTCTTTATTTTGTTTTTTATAATTTCAACTTTTATTTTAGATTCAGAAGTTCATGTACAAGTTTGTATATTGCATGACGCTGAAGTTTGGGATAAGAACAATCCTGTCACCCAGGCAGTGAGTATAGTACCCAACAGTTGGTTTTTAAATCCTTGCCCCACTTGCTTCCTTGCACGCTAGTAGTCCCTAGTGTTTATTGTTCCCATTTTTGTGTCCTTGTGTACTCAATGTTTAGCTCCCACTTATAAGTAAGCACATTCAATATTTGCTCTCCTGTTCCTGCATTAATTCACTTAGGATAATGGTCTCTAGCTATATTCATGTGGCTGCAAAGGATATGAATTTGTTCATTTTTATGGCTGTATGGTATTTCATGGTGTATATGTACCACATTTTCTTTACCCAATCCACCACTGATTGGCACTTAGGTTGATTGTATTGTTGCTATTGTGAATAGTGCTGTGATGAACATGCCAGCACCTGTGTCTTTTTGGTAGAAAAATTTATTTTCTTTTCAATATATATCCAGTAATGGGATTACTTGGTTGAATGACAGTTTTGCTTTAAGTACTTTCAGAAATCTACATATTGCTTTCCACAGTGGCTGAACTAATTTAGATTCCCAACAACAGTGCATAAATATTATCTTTTCTTTGCAGCCTCACTAGCATCTATTGGTTTTATTCTTGACTTTTTTAATAATAGCCATTCTGACCAGTGTGTGATGGCTGTCTCATTGTGGTTTTGATTTGCATTTTTCTGGTGATTAGTGATGTTAAGCATTGTTTTCATATGTTTGTTGGCTGCTTGTATATCTTTTGAGAAGTGTTTGTTCATGTCCTTTGTCCACTTTTTAATAGGGTTATTTGTTTTTTTGCTTGTTGAGTTAAGTTCCTTATAAATTCTTGATATTAGACTTTTGTAAGATGCATAGTTTGTGAATATTTTCTTCTATTTTGTAGGTTGCTTACTCTGTTGATATATATATATATATATATATATATATATATATATATATATATTTTAACTGTGCAGAAGCTCTTTAATTTAATTAGGTCCTACTTGTCAAATTTTGTTTTTGTTGCAATTGCTTTTGAGGACTTAGTCATAAATTCTTTCCCAAGGCTGATGTCCAGAAAGGCATTTCCCTGGTTTTCTTCTAGGATTTCTATAGTTTGAGGCCTTACATTTAAATCTTTAACCTATCTTGAATTAGTTTTTGTGTCTGGTGAAAGGTAGGGTCCGGTTTCATTTTTTGGCATATGGCTAGCTAGCCAGTTATCCCAGCACAATTTATTAAATAGGAAGTCCTTTCTCCATTGCTTACTTCTGTTGACTTCATCACAGATCAGATGGTTGTATGTGGGTGGCTTTGTTTCTATGTTCTCTATTCTGTTCCACGGGGTCTATATTTCTGTTTTTGTACTAATACCACGCTGTTTTGGTTACTGTAGCCTTATAGTATGTTTTGAAGTGGGTAATGTGATGTCTCCAGTTTTGTTCTTTTTGCTAAGGATTGCTTTGGCTATTTTGGCTCTTTTGTGGTTTCACATAAATTTTAGAATAGTTTTTCTAATTCTGTAAAAAAAAATGGTATTGGTAGTTTGATAGAAATAGCACTGAATTTGTAGATTGCTTCAGATAGTATGGCCATTTTAATGATATTGATTATTCTTATCCATGAGCATGGACTGCTTTTTCATTTGTTTGTGTCATTCTGATTTCTTTGGGCAATATTTTGTAATTCTCTTTGTAGAGATATTTCATCTCCTTGGTTAGTTGTATTCCTAGGTATTTTATTTTATTTTTTTGGTGGCTATTGTAAATGGGATTGTGTTCTTAAATTTGGCTTTCAGGTTGAACTTTATTGGTGTATGAAAATGCTACTAATTTTTGTATATTGATTTTGTAACTTAAAACTTTACTAACGTCATTTATCAGTTTCAGGAGCCTTTTGGCAGAGTCTGGAGTTTTCTAGATATAGAATCATATTCTCCACAAAGAGAGTTAGTTTGATTCTTTTTCTATTTGGATGCCTTTTGTTTCTTTCTCTTGTCTGGTTACTCTACTTAAGACTTCCAGTACTACATTTAATAGGAATGGTGACAGTGAGCATCCCTGTCTTGTTCTAGTTCTCAAGGGGAAATGCTTCCAATTTTTGCTCATTCATTATAATGTTGGCTGTGAATTTGTCATAGATGGCACTTATTTTGAGATACGTTGCTTTGATGCCTAGTTTTTTGAGGGTTTTTATTATAAAGGGATGTAGGAGTTTATTGAAGAATTTTCCTGCATCTATTGAGATGATCATATGGTTTTTGTTTTAAATACTATTGATGTGGTGAATCAGATTTAATAATTTGCATATTTTGAGCCAAACTTGCATCCCAAGAATGAAGCCTACTTGATCATGGTGAATTAACTTTTGATGTGCTGTTCAATTCGATTTGCTAGTATTTCACTGTTGGCTTTGCATCTATGTTCATCAGGGATATTTGCCTGCAGTTTTATTTTTTGTTTTGTTTTGTCGTTGCTAAGTTTTGGTATCAGGGTAATTGTGGCTTTGTAGAATGGGTTACAAAAGAGTTCCTCCTCTTCAATATTTTGAAATAGTTTCAATAGCATTGGTATTAGCTCTTCTTTTTACATCTAGTAGAATTTGACTGCAAATTTGTCTTGTCTGGGCCCCTTTTTGGATGGCACTTAGCTTCCACTTCAGAACTTGATATTGGTTCATTCAAGGTTTCAATTTCTTCCTGATTAAATCTTGAGAGGTTGTGTGTTCCTGGGAATTTATCTATTTCCTCTAGATTTTCTAGTTTATTTGCATAGAAATGATGTTCATAATAGTCTCTGAGGATCTTTTGTATTTCTGTGGGATTGTTTATAATGTCACCTTTGTCCTTTCTGCTTGTGCTTATTTGGATCTTTCCTTTTTTTTTCTTTGTGAATCTAGATAGAAGCCTACCAATCTTATTGATTATTTCAAAATAAAAAACAAGTTTTGGTTTCATTGATTCTTTGTATGGACTTTTGGGTCTCAATTTTGTTCAGTTTTGTTCTGATTTTAGTTATTTCTTTTTTCTAATTGCTCTAGGTGTGATGTTAGATGGTTAATTTGAGATTTTCCTACATGCTCCCTATTTTAGAAACTTTAAATTTTGGCAGATTAGCTGTGCTGGATGCTTTGTTGTGTTGAATTTTAACAACTGTGTCTAACTTAACAAAACTTTTTTCCTATCACTTTTAAAGCTTATTTTCCTTCCTTATTTCTCAAGCTATAGATTAAAGGATTCAACATGGGAATAACAGTGCCATAAAATATAGAGGCTACTTTCATATTCTCCTGAGAATTATTAGACTGAGGCTGTAAGTACATGTAAGAGAGTGTCCCATAGAAAATGGTTACTGCTGTCAGGTGGGAGGCACATGTGGAGAAGGATTTTTTCCTCCCAGCAGTAGAAGACATCTTCAGGATGGTGACCATAATGTAGATGTAGGAAAAGATGATGACCAACTCAGTGAACATCAAGTCAAATCCCACAAAGACAACATCTAGAATGATGTTGATGTCAATGTTGGAGCATGAAAGGGCAAGAATTGGGAGACCATCACAGAAAAAGTGATTGATTTTATTAGACTTGCAGAAGGACAGTGAAAATGTAAAACCTGTATGTACAGAGGCATTTATTGAGCCTATAATATATGAGCCAGCTACGAGTTGGATGTAGACTGTTTGGGACATGATCATGGGATAGCGAAGGGGCTTACAGATGGCAACATAACAATCCATTGCCATAATAGCTAGGAGGTAACAGTCACTGGTTGCAAATGTTGCATAAACTAAGAATTGTATCACACAGCCCCGAAATGTTATCAAATTATTTTCTTCTGTGAAGCTTTGGAGCATCTTGGGAGTGATAGCAGAAGTATAACAGATATCAACAAAAGCCAAATGTTGTGGAAAAAAGTACATGGGTGTTTGAAGTCTGGAATCGGTCTTGATGAGTAAGATCATTCCAATATTTCCTATCAGGGAGGTCACATAGATAAGAAGAAGTACAATGAAAAGGACATGCTGAAATTCGTGTTGGACACCAAATCCCAGAAGATGGAATTCAGTCACTTCAGTGCTGTTTCCTCGACCCATGACTACCAAAAGTCTAGAAAGGACCAAGAGAAGGACCCAGAAAAGCAGGAACATCCTTGTGACTTTTTGCAATAAAATGGCTCTATATTTTAAGTCACTTTTTTCAATTTGACTTTTCATGACAAATACTCACAATAGTGTTATTTCCAAATTAAAAAAAATTTATAATCATCAAGTAAAGAGAGAGTTACTAGATGAAAGATGAAACAGATTTATCTTCAAAATGAAGAAGATTTTCTTAGAAGAAGACTGACTTCTAATGTGCGTGGTTCTTAGAAACATAGAGAAGCATTTTTTCACTATATTAAACAGGTATTTGTATTTATTCTAAATAACGTTAAAATGTAATTCTGTACCTTTTTAGAAACATAATTATTCACAGCCACTTATTTTATTTCTCTTTCTAGTTCTTGAAATTAGTAGAATTAATTGGAGAGCAATTTCCCAAAATATGTTCATATTCACATATTTTTGAAGGCTTCAAAGTGTCTTTGTACTAGTATTCTTAAAATGCAACTTCCATCTAGGTGCTATTCTTTACAAGTATATTAACCCTGTTATATAATGGATGTCTGAGAAATGGCCTTACATTTTCTATTGCTTATTACAGAAATTATGTAGTGGAGGAACAAGAAACAAGAAATAATTCTCTTCAATTAAACATTTAGTGAGGTCTGAGATATAATAAGTTGGTATAAGCTTTTTCCTAGGGTAAATTTACTGTAAAAATGAAAGAAATGCAGCCCTTTCAAGGAGTCATTCTTTCATTGTGATAAACACTTGCTAGAATAGGCCAGAGGTCCATTTAAGCTAGAATTTTGACAGAGTAATGACATTTATTATATCATTTTTGACTTTAATTATCTGGATTGAAATAAAATAATATGAAATTATGGGGATTCTTTTCAAGGACTAAGGAAACTAATACAAGCCCCGCCACCTACCCCCTCATACAGAATCTGTACATATCTGGGTTTATGTTGAGCCAATGGTAGGTTGGTTTAGTATAAAATATTTTGTTTCATCTATGTTGAAGGTGTTTTCAGATCAAATAAATGCTACAAGGAAAATGGCCAACTACTCAAGCATTTCAAACATGCCTAACAAGTGGGTAGTGCTGGGTTTCTCAGGCTTCATTTAGATGGAACATTTTGCAGTAGAAAGGAAATAGGTAGCCCTGGTTTTGAATTATTGTCTCACCAGTTAATACAAAAAAGGATAGAACTCCCTGTAGCCCCACTTGCTTTCTCTGTACAATGGGGATCACAGAACTTATCTAGAAGTTAATTGATGTTCATTAGATTGTTTATAGTATAAGTAATATGCATATCATGTACAATATAATGTTATGTAACGTATTTTAAATTAATTAAGAACAACTTTCTAATAGCAAAATTGGAAGATAGAATTGTATAAATTTTAGTAGATTTGTATTATTTATTAATACATAGTCTAAAGCAGTGAAATAAATATATACTCTATGGAGTCAGAAAAGAAAAGCAAGTTGTAGAAAAATATGTAGATTTTGGGGAAAAAAAAAGGCCAATTAGAAGGAGCTGTGGTCTCCAGCACTCACAGAGCGGAAGGAAAGCGGCAAATGAATTCAGCACCCTCAACTGAAATATCCAGGTTCTCATACTGGGGCTGACTAGGCAAACAACCTGACCCACGGAGTGTGAAAAAATGCGGGGTGGGGTGATGGCCCACCCTGGAGCAGCATGGAGCCAAGAGAATCCCCATCTCCAGCTAAGGGAAGTGGTGAGTGATTTTGCAACCCCACCTGGAAAACCACGCTTCTCTCATGGATCTCTGCATCCCACAGATCAGGAGATCCCTTCATGAGCCCATGCCACCATGGTCTTGGGCCCAATACACAAAGCTGTGTGGAGTCATCACAGCAGACCAGCCACTCAGGCACATGCAGAGACCCAGGACTTTTACATACTCAGGCCCCAGGAATTCTGGCAATATGAAAGACATGTTTGAACATTCCCTTAGGAAGGCAGCTGAATCTAGGGAGCCAAGCAATGCCATTTTGTGGCACCTCACAAGTTAAGGCTCACTGGCTTAGAATTCCAGCAAGCCAAGGGAAACAGGCTGGAGACTGCCTGAGATGGGATGGAGTTCCTGGGAGGCAGGGAAGGGTAGCCACCATCTCTGCAGTTTGGTCAGCTCTGCTGTTCCAGCCTGCCGGCTCTGGAGAGTCCATGTGGTCTGGTCAAGGAGGGGTCTCCCACAACATAGCAGAGCTGTTGCCAGATTGTGGCCAGACTGCTTCTTTGAGTGGAACCTTGATCTGTCTGTCCTCACTGGGCGGGGCCTCCCTGTGGGAGTTTCAGCAACTCCAGCCAGAGTTACATGAACAGAACTCTGATCTCTCCCTGGGATAGAGCCCCCAAGTGGAGGGCTGGCCACCATCTCTGTAGTTCGTTCGACTCAGTCTTCCCACCCTGCTGGCTCTAGAGAGTCCAGGTGGTTCAGACAAGGAAGGGTCCCCCCAACACAACACACCTGCTTTAGCAAAAAAACAGTCAGACTGCTTCTTTAAGTGGGTCCCTTAGCCTGTCCCTTCTGACTGGGTGAGACCTCCCAACAGGGGTCTCCAGACACCCCCTACAAAAGCACTTGGGCCAACAACAGCTCAGTACGCCCCTGGGATGGACCTTCCAGAGGAAGGAGCAGGCTACCATCTTTGCTCTCTCACAGTCCTTATTGGTGATACCTCCAGGTTTGGGAAAAACAGAGGCAACTGGGGTCTGGAACAGACCCCCAGCAAACTGCAGCAGCCTTACAAACAAGTGGCCTGGTTGTTAAAGGTAAAACAAACAGAAAACAACAACATCAACAAAAAAGACCCCACAAAAAAATCCCATTGAAAGATCAGCAGCCTCAAACATTGAAAGTAAATAAGCCCACAAAGATGAGAAATAATTAACTCAAAAACACTGAAAATTCAAAAAAACAGAGTGCCTCTTCTCCTTCCAATGCCTGCAATACCTCTCCAGCAAGGGCACAGAACTGGGCTGAGGCTGAGATGGTTGAATTGACAGAAGTAGGCTTCAGAAGATGAGTAATAGCAAACTTTGTTGAGCTAAAGGAGCATGCTGTAACCCAATGCAAAGAAACTAAGAACCCAATAAAACAATACAGGAGGTGATAACCGGAATAGCCAGTTTAGAGAGGAACATAACTGACCTGATGGAGCTGAAAAGCACAGCTTGAGAACTTCATAATGCAATAACAAGTATTAATAGCAGAATAGACTAATTGGAGGAAAGAGTCTCAGAGTATGAAGACTATCTTTCTAAAATAAGACAGGCAGACAAAAATAGAGAAAAAAGAATGAAAAGGAGCAAACAAAATATCCAAGAAATATGGGATTATGTGAAAAGATCAAACCTATGACCAGTTGGGGTACCTGAAAGAGATAGGAGAACAAAATCAATTTGGAAAACATACTCCAGGATATCATCCAGGAGAACTTCCCCAACCTAGCAAGACAGGCCAACATTCAAATTCAGGAAATTCAGAGAATGCCAGCAAGGTACTCCACAAGAAGACCAACCCCAAGACACATAATTTTCAGATTCTCCTAGGATGAAATGAGGGAAAAAATGTTCAAGGCAGCCAGAGAGAAAGGATAGGTCACCTACAAAGGGGAGCCAATAAAACTAACAGTGGATCTCTCAGCAGAAACCCTACAAGCCAGAAGAGATTGGTGGCCAATATTCAATATTCTTAAAGAAAAAAATTTCCAACCCAGAATTTCAAATCCAGCTGAACTAAGCTTCATAAATGAAGGAGAAATAAGATAATTTTTGGCCCAGAAAAGTTAAAAAGTGTTCTTTTTTTTTTTTTTTTTTTTTTTGAGACAGAGTCTTGATCTGTCACCCAGGCTGGAGTGCAGTGGTGCAATCTCAGCTCACTGCAGCCTCTGCCTCTCAGGTTCCAGCTATTATTCTGCCTCAGCCTCCTGGGTAGCTGGGATTGCAGGCAAATACCACCATGTCCAGCTAATTTTTGTATTTTTAGTAGAGATGGGGTTTCTCCATTTTGGCCAGGCTGGTCTCAAACTCCTGACCTCAGGTGATCTGCCCACCTTGGTCTCCCAAAGTGATGGGATTACAGGTGTGAGCCATTATGCCTTGCCTAAAAAGATCCTTCTTAGACAAGCAAATGCTGAGGGAATTCATCACCACCAGGCCTGCCTTGCAAGAGCTCCAGAAGGAAGCACTAAATATGGAAAGGAAAAACTGTTACCAGCCACTACGAAAACACACTGAAGCACACTGATCAGTGACACTATGAAGTAACCACATAGACAAATCTGGAAAATAATCAATTAACATCATGATGACAGGATCAAATTCATACATAACAATATTAACCTTAAATGTAAATGGGCTAAATGCCCCAATTAAAACACACAGAATGGAAAGCTGGATACAGTCAAGGCCCACTGATATGCTGTCTTCCAGAGACGCATCTCATATGCAAAGACACACATAGGGTCAAAATAAAGGGATGAAGGAAAATTTACCAAGCAAATGTAAAACAGAAAAAAGCAGGGGTCACAATCCTAGTTTCTGAAAAATCAGACTAAGCCAACCCAGAAAAAAAAAAGACAAAGAACAGCATTAGATAATGGTAAAGGGTTCAATTAAAGAAAAAGAGCTAACTACCCTAAATATATATGCACCCAACACAGGAGCATCCAGATTCATTTTTTTTTTATTATACTTTAAGTTTTAGGATACACGTGCACATTGTGCAGGTTAGTTACATATGTATACATGTGCCATGCTGGTGCGCTGCACCCACTAACTCTTCATCTAGCATTAGGTATATCTCCCAATGCTATCCCTCCCCCCTCCCCCCACCCCACCACAGTCCCCAGAGTGTGATGTTCCCCTTCCTGTGTCCATGTGATCTCATTGTTCAATTCCCACCTATGAGTGAGAATATGCAGTGTTTGGTTTTTTGTTCTTGCGATAGTTTACTGAGAATGATGATTTCCAATTTCATCCATGTCCTTACAAAGGACATGAACTCATCATTTTTTATGGCTGCATAGTATTCCATGGTGTATATGTGCCACATTTTCTTAATCCAGTCTATCATTGTTGGACATTTGGGTTGGTTCCAAGTCTTTGCTATTGTGAATAGTGCCGCAATAAACATACGTGTGCATGTGTCTTTATAGCAGCATGATTTATAGTCCTTTGGGTATATACCCAGTAATGGGATAGCTGGGTCAAATGGTATTTCTAGTTCTAGATCCCTGAGGAATTGCCACACTGACTTCCACAATGGTTGAACTAGTTTACAGTCTCACCAACAGTGTAAAAGTGTTCCTATTTCTCCACATCCTCTCCAGCACCTGTTGTTTCCTGACTTTTTAATGATTGCCATTCTAACTGGTGTGAGATGATATCTCATTGTGGTTTTGACTTGCATTTCTCTGATGGCCAGTGATGGTAAGCATTTTTTCATGTGTTTTTTGGCTGCATAAATGTCTTCTTTTGAGAAGTGTCTGTTCATGTCCTTCGCCCACTTTTTGATGGGGTTGTTTGTTTTTTTCTTGTAAATTTGTTTGAGTTCATTGTAGATTCTGGATATTAGCCCTTTGTCAGATGAGTAGGTTGCGAAAATGTTCTCCCATTTTATGGGTTGCCTGTTCACTGTGATGGTAGTTTCTTTTGCTGTGCAGAAGCTCTTTAGTTTAATTAGATCCCATTTGTCAAGTTTGGCTTTTGTTGCCATTGCTTTTGGTGTTTTAGACATGAAGTCCTTGCCCATGCCTATGTCCTGAATGGTAATGCCTAGGTTTTCTTCTAGGGTTTTTATGGTTTTAGGTCTAACATGTAAGACTTTAATCCATCTTGAATTGATTTTTGTATAAGGTGTAAGGAAGGGATCCAGTTTCAGCTTTCTACATATGGCTAGCCAGTTTTCCCTGCACCATTTATTAAATAGGGAATCCTTTCCCCCTTTCTTGTTTTTCTCAGGTTTGTCAAAGATCAGATAGTTGTAGATATGCAGCGTTATTTCTGAGGGCTCTGTTCTGTTCCATTGATCTATATCTCTGTTTTGGTACCAGTACCATGCTGTTTTGGTTACTGTAGCCTTGTAGTATAGTTTGAAGTCAGGTAGCATGATGCCTCCAGCTTTGTTCTTTTGGCTTAAGATTGACTTGGCAATGTGGGCTCTTTTTTGGTTCCATATGAACTTTAAAGTAGTTTTTTCCAATTCTGTGAGGAAAGTCATTGGTAGCTTGATGGGGATGGCATTGAATCTATAAATTACCTTGGGCAGTATGGCCATTTTCACGATATTGATTCTTCCTACCAATGAGCATGGAATGTTCTTCCATTTGTTTGTATCCTCTTTTATTTCCTTGAGCAGTGGTTTGTAGTTCTCCTTGAAGAGGTCCTTCACGTCCCTTGTAAGGTGGATTCCTAGGTATTTTATTCTCATTGAAGCAATTGTGACTGGGAGTTCACTCATGATTTGGCTCTCTGTTTGTCTGTTGTTGGTGTATAAGAATGCTTGTGATTTTTGTACATTGATTTTGTATCGTGAGACTTTGCTGAAGTTGCTTATCAACTTAAGGAGATTTTGGGCTGAGACGATGGGGTTTTCTAGATATACAATCATGGCAGATGACATGATTCTATATCTAAAAAACCCCATCGTCTCAGCCCAAAAGCTTCTTACACTGATAAGCAACTTCAGCAAAGTCTCAGGATACAAAATCAATATGCAAAAGTCACAAGCATTCCTATACACCAACAACAGGCAAGCAGAGAGCCAAATCATGTATGAAGTCCTATGCACAATTGCTACAAACATAACAAAATACCTAGGAACACAGGTAATAAAGGAAGTGAAGGAACTCTTCAAGGAGAACTAGAAACCACTGCTCAAGGAAATCAGAGAAAACACAAACAAATGGAAGAATATTCTATGCTCATGGGTAGGAAGAATCAATGTCATGAAAGTGGTCGTACTGCCCAATTTATATATTCAATGCTATTATCATTACACTACCATTGAAATTCTTCACAGAATTAGAAGAAACTATTTTAAAATTCATGTGGAACCAAAAAAGAGCCAGAATAGCCAAGATAATGCTAAGCAAACAGAACAAAGCTGGAGGCATCACTCTACCTGACCTTAATCTATACTACAAGGCTCTAGCAACCCAAACATCATGGTATTGGTAAAAAAAAAAAAAAAAAGGCACATAGACCAATGGAACATAATAGGGAACTCAGAAATAAGACTGCACACCTACAGCCATCTGATCTTTGACAAACCTGACAAAAACAAGCAATGGGGAAAGAATTCCTTATTTAATAAATGGTGGTGGGAGGACTGGCTAGCCATATGCAGAAAATTCAAACTGGACCCCTTCCTCACACCCTACACAAAAATAAACTCAAGATGGATTAAAGCCTTAAATGTAAAACCCCAAACTTCAAAAACTCTAGAAGAAAATCTAGGCAGTACCATTCAGGAGATAAGCATGGGCAAATATTTCATGAAGAAGACACCAAAAGCAATTTCAACAAAAGCAAAAATTGATAAATGGAATCCTATTAAACTAAAGAGCTTTTGCACAGCAAAAGAAACTCATCAGCGTGAACAGATAATCGAAAGAACTGGAGAAAATTTTTGCAGTCTATCCATCTGACAAAGATCTAATATCCAGTCTACAAGGAACTTAAATTTACAAGCAAAAAACAAACAACCCCATTAAAAAGTGGGCAAAGGATGTGAACAGACACTACTCAAAAAAAAAGACATACATGTGGCCAATAAATATGAAAAACAGCTCAGTATCACTGATCACTAACAAAATGCAAATCAAAACCACATTGAGATAGCATTTTATGCCAATCAGAATGGCAATTATTAAAAAGTCAAAAAACAACAGATGTTGGTGAGGTTGCAGAGAAAAAGGAATGCTTTTATACTGTTGGTGGGAGTGTAAATTAGTTCAACTATTGTGGAAGTTAGTGTGATGATCACTCAAAGACCTAGAGGCAGAAATACCATTTGACCCAACAATCCCATTACTGGGTATATACCCAAAGGAATATAAATCATTCTATTATAAAGATACATGCACACATAAGTTCATTGCAGCACTAGTCACAATAGCAAAGACATGGATCAACCCAAATGCCCATCAATGATAGACTCGATAAAGAAAATTTGGTAATACACACCATGACATACCAGTGGACAAGGAATGAGATTTTGTCCTTTGCAGAAACCTGGATGAAGTGGGAAGCCATTATCCTCAGCAAACTAACACAGGAACAGAAAACCAGACACCACATGTTCTCACTTATAAGTGGGAGCTGAGTAATGAGAACACATGAACACATGTCAGGGAACAACACAGATTGGGGCCTGTTATTGGGTGTGGGTGTAAGGAGAACATCAGGAAGACTAGCTAATGGGTGTTGGGCTTAATACCAAGGTGATGGGATGATTTGCGTAGGAAACCACCATGGCACACATGTAACTGTCTGACAAACCTGCACATTGTGAACATGTACCCCTGAACTTAAAATAAAAGTTCAAAGGAAAATAAAGAATCCCCCCAAGCCCACCACCAAAAAATAAGTAGCTTGTGGATTCTCTGAAAAACCAAACTCTCTCTCACTCCTACTGTCTCTTGCTTCCACTGTCATTATTTACTCATGGATAATTGCCAGAAAGTGTGCACAGCAAATTCAAGTACAGTTATTCATGGATGTGGGATTAGGTGAAAAAGAACATTATTTTCCAAACTTATAAACTTCTGAACTTCTACTTTCACTTTTACAATGGGAATTTATGGCCATTATTGTTCTAAAAATGAAGAAAACAATGTACATTTTATGTGGTCATTGATATGCTACAGTTGTATGCCATTTTTAAAATGAACTGTTCTTTTTCTTTCTTGTTTCTCTCTTTTCTTTTTCCTGCATTTCTGTGGGTCACTTGAACTTTTTCTTATAATCCCATTTTGGTGCATCTATAGTCTTTTTTTTTGTATAGTGTTTTTATTAGATATCTTTTTATAGCATTTTTAGTGGCTTCTCTAGGTGTTGCATTATATGGGCATACCTTGTTTTATTTTGCTTTACATATATTGTATTTTTTAAATAGATTAAAGGTCTGTGGCAATCCTACATTAAGCAGGTCTATTAGCACCATTTTCTAGCAGCATGTGCCCATTTAGTGTTGTTGTGTCAGCATTTTTAGCAATAAAGTATTTTTTAATTAAGCCATATACTTTTTAAAGACATAATGCTATTGCACATTTAATAGACTACAGTATAGTGTAAACTTTTATATGCACTGGGAAAGCAAAAAAATTGTGTGACTTGCTTTATTGTGATAGTCACCTAAATGAGGTGGTCTGGAACTGAACCCATAATATCTCTGAGGTATGCCTGTAAAATCATAACTGTCCATTTTATCAGTTTGAGTGAAGTGGGGAAACCTTACTTCCTTTTTAACTTCTTTACCTTCTCTCACTTATAATTGTCTTAAACAATTCTTTCACATACACTGAGTACCACATTAGGTAGTGTTATAATTTTTGCTTCAATTCTCAAACATAATTTTTAAAACTCAAAAGAAAAGTTTGTTGTATTTACTCTTTAATTTTTCTTACCTTCTGATGTTTCATGTCTCTTTCATTTAATAACAAATAAAAGAAAGAATATGGCAGAGTGGAAACAAAAATGACACAATTGTATTCTGTGTACAGAAAAACTCACCTCAGATATAGTAGCTTAGAATTAAAAAGAAGGAAAGGATATATCATGCAAACAAGAATTAAAAGAATGAAAGTATGGCTATATAAATATTAGACAAAGTATATTTCACAGCAAAAAAATTTCCAAGGACAAAGACGGACATTACTTAATAAAAATGTTAATCCATCACAAAGAAATAGCAATCCTAGGCTGGGCGCGGTGGCTCACGCCTGTAATCCCAGCACTTTGGGAGGCCGAGGCGGGCGGATCACGAGGTCATGAGATCGAGATCATCCTGGCTAACATAGTGAAATCCCGTCTCTACTAAAAAAATGCAAACATTAGCCGGCCATGGTGTCGGGCGCCTCTAGTCCCAGCTACTCGGGAGGCTGAGGTGGGAGAATGGCGTGAACCCAGGAGGCGGAGCTTGCAGTGAGCCGAGATCGCGCCACTGCACTCCAGCCTGGGTGACAGAGAGAGGCTCCGTCTCTAAAAAAAAAAAGAAAAGAAATTGGGAGATATACCTAATGCTAGGTGATGATTTAGTGGGTGCAGCGCACCAGCATGGCACATGTATACATATGTAACTAACCTGCACAATGTGCACATGTACCCTAAAACTTAAAGTATAAAAAAACAAACAAAAAAAGAAATAGCAATCCTAAATGTGTAGGCAACAAACGAGTGGGCTACAACATATATAAAGGAAAAAATAATAAACTGAATTGAGGTAAAGGCAAATATACAATTATAGTTGAAGAATTTAATATTTATTTCTCAGCAATTTATAGAACAACTAGACAGAAAATCAGCAAGGATATAGAGGAACCCAACACTCACCATCAACCAACAGGATGCCATTAATAGTTATAGAACAGTCCACCTCACATGAGTAGAATACATGTTTTTTCCAGCACTTGCAGAATATATATCAAGACGGATTGTACATAATCTATATAATTTTAGAAGAATGCAATTCACACTGTGTGTTCCTGACCACAAAGAAATTGAAGGAGACAAAAATCACAGAATGTAGCAGGAAACTCTCCAGGCACTTGGAAACAAAATAACATATTTATAAACAATCCTTGGGTCAAAGAGGCAGTCACAAGGGAAATACAAAAATTGAACTTAATAAAAATACGGTACTTAAAATTTATGGGGTACAGTTAAATCAATGTTTAGTGGGCATCATAGAGTACTAGATGCTTACGTTAAAAAAAGAAAAAGGCTAAAATCAATAATCTAAGCCTTTACTTCAAAAATGTTGAAAAAGAAGAAAAGTAAAGTAGAAAACAAGAAGAAAACAAATCCAAAGCAAGCAGAAGAAGGAGAATAATAAGGCTAAGATCAGAATTCAATGAATTGGATACAGAAAAACAATGGAAAGAAAACTGTGAGAGAGAGGCTCGTTTTTAAGACAATAAAACTGACAAACCTCCAGAAGGTTTGTCCAAGATAAGAGAGAAAAGATGCAAATTACTAAGCCCAGAAAAACAGGGATATCACTACAGACTCTGCAGACACAAAAAGAGAATAAGAGAATACTACAAACATCTATACACATATTAATTTGACAACTGAAATGACATAAATAAATTAATTGAAAAGTATAAGCTAACCCATATGAAATTGATAATTTGAATAGCCCTACAGCCATGAAAATTGAATTTATGACGTAAAAACTTCCTTTTAACAATATCACAGCATAATTCACTAAATGTTTAAAAAAGAACTTCAATTCTATACAATTTCTTTCAGAAAACAGATGTGGAAAGAACACTTCTTAACTTATTCTATGAACCCAGTATTACCCTATTAGCAAAAGCAGGCAAAATGGCACACACAAAAAAAGAAGACCATAGCCCAATATTTTTAATGAATATAGATGCAAAAATCTTTAACAAAATATTAGCAAATAGAATTCAGTGATATGTAAAAAATTATACACAGTGACCAAGTGGGGTATATTACAGGTCTAAAGGAGAAAAATCACAGGATCATATAAATAGATAAACATAAGGAATTTGATGAAATTCAACATCTACTCATAATTTTAAAAATCTCAGAACACTAGGAAAATAGGGCAACTTCCTCAACTTGATGAAGAATATCTACAGAAAAACCTATAGCTAACATCCTACTTAATAGTTACCAACTGAATGCTTGCCCCTAAAATTGGGAACAGATGGGAGAGAATTCTCACTCTCCCCAGTGCTATGCAACATAGTTGGGGAAATTCTAGTCAGTGAAGGAAGAATAGGCTTAAAAGTCATACAGATCAGAAAGGCGGAATAAAACTGTCATTTGTAGATGACATGATGGTATATGTAGAAGATTCCAAGAATATACCAAAAACTTCAAGAAGTAATAAGTGAGTTCAGAAAAGTTACAGAATACAAGATAGTTATAAAAAAGCAATAGTATTTCCATATTAGCAGTAAACGTGTGGGAACTGGAATAAACACAGTACCACTGATAATAGTTCAAAAATGAAATACTCAAGTATAAATCTAACAAACCAGTATAGTACTTGATGATGAAAATTACAATATGCTGATGGAAGAAATCAAAGAAGATCTAAATAAAGATATGTTGCTTTTGGGAATTATAAGACTCAATACAGTGGTGTCTGTTCTCCCCAAATTGATGTACAGGTTTAACACCAGTGCAATGAATATCTGAGCACAGTATTTTCAGTATGTGAAAAGAATAATCTAAATTTATAGGGAAGAGCAAAGAAATTAGAATAGCTGATACAATTCTAAAAAAGAAGAAAAAATGAGATGAATCACTTTATCTAACATTGAGAGTTTTTATATATCAACAGTAATTAACACTGTGGTATTGGTGGAATGATACAAAGATGGAACAAAATAGTGAATTGACAAATAGATCCATGTGAGTGCAGCCATTTGATTTTTGAGCAGGTTCAGAAACAATTCAATGGAGGAAGCCTTTTTTCAATAAGTAGTGCTGAGACAATTGGATATTCATAGGCAAAAAAATGAACCCCAACCTAAACCTCATACCTTATATAAAAATTAACTCAAAATGAATCACAGCTTTAAATGTGAAATATAAAACCTTAAAACTCTTAGAGAGCAATCTAAGACAAAATCTTCAGGGCAAAATTTTTAGGATAGGTCTTGTGAAGGGTTCTTAGACATGACACCAAAAGAACAATCCCCCTCCCCCCAAAAAAAACCTCAGTAATTGAATCTCATTAAAATTAAGCTTTCGCTCTGTTAAAGAGGACGAAAAAGCACACTACAGACTAAAATAAAATATTTTAAAATGCCGTATCTGATAAAGGACATACATTTAGAGAATATAAAGAACTCTCAAACTAAAAATAAAAAATCACATTAGAAAACGAAGGAATGACATGAACAGACATTTTACCAAAAAGTGCTATATGGATGGTAAATAAGCAGATGAAAAGATGTCCAACATCATTAGTCATTAGGGAAATGCAAAGTAAAAACAAAATGAGTTATCACTACACTACAAGTGAGATGTCACTGCAGAATGGCTAAAATGAAAAAGCAATGACAATAGCAAATGCTGGCAAAGACACAGTAACTAGATCTCTCATACACTGCTGGTGAAAATGGTGGTCATTCTGGAAAATAGTCTGGCAGTTGTGTAGATAGCTAGACATACACTTACTATACAACCCAGTCCTTGGACTTGCGGGCAATTATATTTGCATAAAACTTATATTCACACAAAATGCTGTACAAAATTTTTTATAATATTTATATTGGTAGTAGCCAAAAACTGTAAATGATCAAATGCCCTATGATAAGTGAATGGTTTAACATATTGTGGTACATCCATACTATGGAATATTACTCAAAATAAAAGAGAAATAAACTGTTGATATATGCAGAAACTTGGATGAATCTCTAGGGCATTATTGTGAGTGTAAAAATTCAACATCAAAAGGTCATATACTATATAATTCCAGTTACAAATATTACCAAAATTACAACATTATAGAAATACAGAACAGATTGGTGATTGCTAGAGGTTGGGGTGGTTAGTGAAGGGGTGTGGTAAGACCAGAAGGGGTAGCACAAAGGAGACATGTAGAATCTGAGATCTATGATCAAACAAGTCTGTATCTAAACTGTAGTCGTAGCTACACAAATCTACGCACATTTGAAATGACATAGAGCTATACATACAATTGTCCCAGCATCAAAATCCTGTTTTGATGTCATATTATAATTATGTAAGATTGAACCATTGAGGGAAAAGTGAGTGAAGGATATATGAAACTTCTCCCTATTATCTTTGAAACTTCCTGTGAATCTATATTTCCTAATAAAAAGTTAAAAAATGAAGGCAAAAAAGTAAGGTCTTTTGTGCAGTGATGTGAGGTTTAAGTGAGCAAATTTATGTAAATTCCCAACACGGGGCTGGGAATGGAAGATATGCCCAGCAATGACTTTAATACCAAATAATACATTAAAGGCATATTGTGTTGATTGCTTAATTGATCAGTCGATTGACTGATTCATTCAATCATTTGTTCGTTCATATTCTTTCCCAGGTAATACTCAGCCTGAATCAAACTACCAGGGATGAAGTAATTCCTCCTGGTTTTGAGGTGAAACATGCTGGGGATTTGAGTAACCTTTTGCTCCAAAATTTCCACCATGCACTGGCATGATACATGGCAGACTTTGAACAAAATGCTATTTGCTTTGTTTTACTTACGTTGAGGTTGCCTACACATTCTCTTTAGGCAACTGGCACTGATTGCTGATCAAGGTCTCTCTTTTCAGTTCCTCCTCATCAGTGAGTATATAGCTGGGGCATAAGAGATCAATACCCGCTCCCTGGAGAACCTGAAGTTCCAGGGGCTCAGATGTAACTGGGAAAAACAATGTTTGCTACTTATTTTCTGCTGAAGCAAAGTTAAGCTCTCCAGGGGGAAGAAAATTCTTGTTTTAATGCCAGCAGGGACTTTTTGCTTTCATTTTTGAGAATTGCCCTGCTACTGACAATTTATTTTTAACCTTCTTCCTCCCTTTTATTCTTCCTCTCTTTCTTCCCTCTTTTTTCTTTCTTCCTGCTTTTATTTCTTACCCTCAGCTTCTCTTATTTTGAGTTTGAGGGATAAATAACAAATCATTTTATGGTAAAAATTCAGAAATATGAAAGTGTATGGAGTATAAACCATGTCCCCACCCCTCCCTTGATTTCTGATCTTCAGTTTCCTTCCCTGGGGATCACCACTGTTACAAGTTCATGTTATTCTTCCAGATTTACAAGACTTGCCTTGCATTCGAAAACATATTATGTTCATATACTTTATTCCCCCAGCAACAAAAGACAATGTATGTCTTATTCATACATATTATTCACATGTTTGGGGGTGATTTGTCTCCATCAGTATGAAGACAGAAGCCTCACTCTTTTTATTGTTTGTATTATATTTTATTGAACAGTTGCATTCATACTCTGTTTAATCAGACTCTTTCCCCCACCCATTGGTGACATTTAGATTGTTTTCAATATTTTACTAATATAAACAATGTTACTGTAAATTATTGTGAATATATCTGTAGGATTAAAAGGTATTTTGGAGAGGAAACTGTGTAAAGGATTTAATAATGATAACTTTTGATACTTATTGCTCAGGTACCCTCCAGAGGCTGTACCAATTTATACTACTTCTACCAAATCTAGTGACTATTTCTCTAAATTCTAATAGACAGGAAACTTTTATTAAAATTTATTTTTATAAGTGAAAAATAATATATTTTGTTTGCCCTTTACTCATATGAACCAGGTTGGATATCTTTTTATATTTCTCAGAATAATTAATTTTTTATTTTATGTGAATTATCTGTTATATACGTTGCCATCTGAAAAAGTATTTTGTTTTAAAATTGATATTGAGTTAAGTACCCTCCTTTATATGAGTTGATATTTAGTTTATTTATATCTCAATATTAATTTTTTTACTTTGCTTACTTTTGCTGTGAAGAAAAGTTTGATTTTTATGTAGACACACACACACACATACATACATACTAAATGTGTGTATTTACACTGATGTGGTTTGGCTCTGTGTACCCACTCAAATTTCATCTCAAATTGTAATCCCCTTGTGCCAAGGGAAGGACCCTGTGGGAGGTGATGGGATTATGGGCGTGCTTCCCCCATGCTGTTCTCGTGATAGTGGGTGAAATGGTTTGGCTGTGTCCCCACCCAAATATCATCTTGAATTCCCATGTGTTGGGTGAGGGACCTGGTGGGAGGTAATTGAATCATGGGGGCAGGTCTTTCCCATGCTGTTCTCCTGATACTAAACACGTCTTATGAGAGCTGATGGTTTTAAAAATGGGAGTTTCCCTGGACAAGCTCTCTGTCTTTGCCTACTGCCATCCATGTAAGATGTGACTTGCTCCTCCTTGCCTTCTGCCATGATTGTGAGGCCTCCCCAGCCATGTGGAACTTTAGCTCCATTAAACCTCTTTCTTTTATAAATTGCCAAGTCTAGGGTATGTCTTTATTAGCAGCATGAAAATGGACTAATACAGTGAGTGAGTTCTCTTGCAATCTGATGGTTTTGAAAAAGTGTTTGGCAGTTTTCCCCTGCACTCTTCTGTCTTGCCTGCTGCCATGTAAGACATGCCTCCCTTCCCCTTTGTTTTCTGCCATAATAGTAAGTTTCGTGAGGCCTCACAGCCATGAGAAACTGTGAGTCAAACCTCTTTACTTTATAAATTACCCAGTCTTGGGTACTTTCTTGATAGCAGTGTGAAAATGGACTAATTCATACATACACTCATATACACATGCATACACACAAACACATATAATTTTTTTAAAATTTCAACTTTTATTTTAAATACAGGGGGTACATGTGCAGGTTTTTTACATGACTATATTGCACTCAAGTAGTAAGCATAGAACCCAATAGGTAGTCTTTCAACCCATACCCTCTTCCCTTTCTGTCCCCTAGTAGTCTCCAGAGTCTATTGTTTCCACATTTATATCCATATGTGCTCAGTGTTTATCTCCCGCTTATAAGTGAGAACATGCAGTATTTGGTTTTCCATTCCAGCATTAATTCAGTTAGGATTATGGCCTCCAGCTCCATCCATGGTGCTAAAAAAGACATAATTTCATTATTTTTAATGGCTGCATAGTATTCCATGGTGTATATGTACCACATTTTCTTTATCCAATTCACCACTGATGGGCAGCAAGGTGGATTTAATGTCTTTGCTATTGTGAATAGCATGGTGATGAACATATGAGTGCATGTGTCTTTTTGGTATATACCAGTAATGGGTAATGGTCAAATGGTAGCTCTGTTTTATGTTGTTTGAAATCTCCAGAGTGCTTTCCACAGTGGCTGAACTAATTTACATTCCCAACATTCTATAAACATTCCCTTTTCTCCACAGCCTGGCCAGGATCTATTGTCTTTTGACTTTTTAATAGTAGCCATTCTAACTGGTGTGAGATGGTATCTCACTGTGGTTTTGATTTACATTTCTCTGATGATTAGTGATACTGAACATTTTTATTCACATGTTTGTGGGCTGCATATTTTTTTCTTTTGAGAAGTGTCTGTTCATGTTCTTTGCCCACTTTTTAATGGGGTTGTTTATTTTTTGTTTATAAATTTGTTTAAATTCCTTATAGATTGTTGATATTAGACCTTTGTTGGATGTATTGTTTGTGAATATTTTCTCCCATCCTGTAAGTTGTCTGTTTACTCTATTGATAGTTACTTTTGCTGTGAGGAAGATTTTTAATTAGGTCTCACTCGTCAATTTTTGTTTTTATTTCAGTTGCTTTTGAAGACTTTGCCAAAATTTTTTGGCCAAGTCTGATGTAGAGAAAGGGTATTTTCTAGGGTTTTTATTTTTATTTTTATTTTTATTTTTTTTTGAGACGGAGTCTCGCTCTGTCGCCCAGGCCGGACTGCGGACTGCAGTGGCGCAATCTCGGCTCACTGCAAGCTCCGCTTCCTGGGTTCACGCCATTCTCCTGCCTCAGCCTCCCGAGTAGCTGGGACTACAGGCGCCCGCCACCGCGCCTGGCTAATTTTTTGTATTTTTTTTAGTAGAGACGGGGTTTCACCTTGTTAGCCAGGATGGTCTCGATCTCCTGACCTCATGATCCACCTGCCTCGGCCTCCCAAAGTGCTGGGATTGCAGGCGTGAGCCACCGCGCTAGGGTTTTTAAATAGGATTTTCATAGTTTGAGGTCTTACATTTAAATATTTTATCCATTTTGAGTAATTTTTGTATATGGTGAAATCAATCTTCTGTATTTGGCTAGCCAGTTATCCCAGTATCACTTATTGAATAGGAAGTTCTTTCCACATTGCTTATTTTTGTTGGCCTTGCCAAAGAACTGATGGTTGTAAGTGGGCAGCTTTATTTCTGAGTTTTCTTTTCTGTTCCATTGATCTACGGGTCTGTGATTGTGTCAAAACAGTACCATGCTGTTTTGATTATTGTAGCCTTATAATATAGTTTGAAGTCAGATAGTGTAATACCTTCATCTTTGTTCTTTAAAGACTGAATACTATTTCTCTGTGTGTGTGTGTGTGTGTGTGTGTGTGTGTGTATACTACTTTTTCTTTATTCATTCATTGATGGACATTTAGGTTGTTTTAATATTGCAGCTATTGTGAATAATATTGCAAAAATATGGGCATGAAGATATCTCCTGGAGATCCTGATTTAGATTCCTTTGGATAATAACCAGAAGTAGAATTGCTTGATGATATGGTAATTCTAATTCTAACTTTTTGAAGAACCTCTATACTGTTTCCCATACTGGCTGTACCAAATTACATTCCCACCAACAGTACACAAGGGTTTCCTTTACTCCACATCCCTGTAACACTTATATTTTGTGTTTTTAATAATAGCCATACTAACAAGCATGAAGAAATATCTCATTGTAGTTTGACTTGCATTTCCCTGATAAGTAGTCGTGTTGAGCATGGTCCCATCTTCAAATGTATTAAGGGTTCCTGGTGAGACCTACTCAGAAAGAATCCCTGACCCTTCTAGTCTTCATCAATGGTCATGAGAGGGATAACCTTTTCTTCTTTCTTCCATTCAGGGCATTCTCTCTTAAGATGCCCTGGCTTATCACAATTGTAACATCCAGTTAGTCTTAGGAGTTTTCCCTGAGTTTCCCTTCTTTCTCTGTGTCAACACCTTATCTACTTTGAGGGGGATCTTGATCTAACCTTTTTCTGACTACCTCTTCCACAATGGAAACTATGATTTTGGCTTTCTGTTTCTGCTTCTCTTCTCTTCTTACAAAGACCTTCTCAGCTTCACTCAGTGATTCCTCAATTGGTTTCTCATTCCATTCATCAGTTTTTTTGGTAATTTCTTTGTAATGTCAGGCCAGCTCTTAGTTACAAAGTTAACCTTCAGAAGGCTTTGCCTTACTAGGTCCTCTGGATCTAATCTGGAGTATTTTCTCATTTGATCTCTGAACCTCTGTAGAAATGCAGAGGGAGTGACCTCTTTTTCTTGTTGAATCTTGAATGCTTTTGAGACATTTGGTGTGCTAGAAGTGGACTCTTTGATCCCTTTAATTATAGTTCCCTGAGGTCCTGCATTTGGGTCCATTCCCTGGGATCATTATTATACCATTTGGGATCGACATTTGAAAATTTTTGTTCATCTGGCAAAACTTCTTCCCAAGAGGGTATTGCCTCTATTAACTGGTCATGCTCGGTGTAAAAGCCAGGTCCTAGGAATTGGTCCAGCTGGTCTGCTAAACTGAGGGGATCTTCTAGGAGTGGTTTCATTTCCTTCTTGAAATTCTTAACTTCAGTACTTGTAAGAGGAACATTTACAAAGCCATTCTCTCCCTGTCCCATGAGAACTTCCCTAAGAGGAAACATGCTAGATGCCTGTTGTGTGAAAGGAATAGGGAATTTCTCAATATTCCTCTTACACTGTTCTAATTATTTTCTTAAATTTGGATTAGGATTGAAAGGAAGAGTTGGTTTGGCTCCCCCATGGTCTCCAGGTCTTTCCTCCTCTAACCCACCTGCTGCCCCTTGATCTTTCTGTCCCCTATATTGTAAGATATATGGAGGGGGCAAGTGTGATAGGGGGGTCCCAGGGCTTTTCACTGGGCAAGGGCTTTTTACTAGTTTTTTTTTCTTCTTCTTTGAGAGGGAATGTGGGGACTAATTCCTTGATCCAGCTAAGAGCATAACCTATCTCCTCTTGTGAGGATGGGGTTTTATCATTCACATAGAGGATTAAAGCTTGGCACACCCAATCCTCATCTGAGCCAAATTTGGGCCAAAACACTGAAGGCTTATGAATGAGGACTTTGAGCCAGATAAGACAGGAATACTTTATCATCTTTTGCTTTTCCTTGTCCCTGGTTTGAGGGTTGTCCCTCCAAACCTGCAGCATTATCCCCAAAGGAGTATCCAGGAAAATGTCAGAGGAATTCTCTTTGACTCCCTCTTTCCTTTGTCCCCTAGGCCTAGAATTTCTGTTTCCCATTTTTGGTCAGTCTCTGTGTCTGAACTTTTCCTTGTGTACTCAACCCCCCCTACTGGAGATTTTTTGCACACTCTGAGAATCGCTTCATCCATCTCTGGCCATTTCCCTTGTAGGAGAACAAAACTCTGCACTCACTTTGTATCTAAGATACATCTCAGTTACACACACTTGACCTCCAACCACTAAGACAGTACATAGAGTCCAATTTTCCTACCTTGGCTCATGAACGAGGTTGCCTGGTTGCTGCTGTGCCTGCTTTTCTCCCTGTGTCGTCTCTGCTGCCTTCTGAATAACAGTCTCAGGTTTGTCTATGGCCTCTGTGGGGAGCCGGGACATCTGGACAGAGAGGGCCACCTAAATCAGGTGGGAGGCATCTCCCTTCTCAACTGGAGTCCCACTCCACACAGGCTCATAGATCCCAGATGAGCCCCCAAGTTTGTGAGAAACACATTCATCCGTTGAAACCCAGAGAATGGACTCGGAGACACAAAGAACAGCAGAAGCAAGTCTTTTAATGGTGGCCTTGCAAGATTGGGTGTCTGGCAGGCAGGCACACCTGGGGCAGTTACAGCAGGTAATTTATCTCCTAGCACACGAGTCCCTTCCCCAGTTCCTCACTGGTTGAGTACTATGGGGTTATAATCTTACTGGATGTTGCCTAAGTTTCATTATCCCCCTTATAAGGTTATGCCCTGGTCTCCTTCCCCACATAAGTTTTGATTTGCCAATAATGAAACTTCCCTTTTATGGGCTGACCCATCCTCTACATTCTGTTTGCTTATTGTGAATTTCTAGGTGCATGAGCTGTGTGGTTTCTCACATCTGCAGGCTGGCTGCCAGTACTTAGATTTATCATATCTTGAAAATGGACCATGTAAAATGTTTTCTCACAGATGTGTTTATTAGGACTTACAGGACACTCTTGGACAGCAGCAGGAGAGCTCTAGAGATCCATGCCTCTTCCCATCTCTAAACTGCTTTTAAGGTAATTTTTTGGCCTTTTGTATACTGTGTGAATGCAGTGAGACTGATTTTCTTGTTAGGTTCTCAGATAGTCTCTGGGATGTTTAGATTTTCAGGGACACCTGCTCCTTCACTGGGCACCATGGCCTTAGCTCACAACCCAGCCTTCAGGGTTCAGGAACCAGGCAAATATATACCCTTAAGTAACCTCATGTGGGACGTGTAATACAATAGTCCTCAAAGATGTGTTACTTTCTTGCCATTAACTGTCGCAATATGCATGGAGTACTGTTAACCCAGGAAGCTCACATGAACTTTTGGTGTCCGGAGTTTTTATTGGGACTTGATTATTTACTGACCACATGACTGACTGCTCTCTAAGATTCAAGATACTCCTGGAAGTTCAGAATAATACCTCAGTCTCCAGTGCCTCTGGAGGTATAAATCGACATAGAATATCCTAAAGACCCCATCACAAAT